>NC_000002.12:149307799-149610830 GCF_000001405.40 Homo sapiens
ATTTAATCAGGTATTTATGCCTATGTTAGTCATTATAGCATGCCAAATAGTTTCAATACTCTTTGTTCACAAGAAGTTTAAAATTTAGTTGGGGAGACAAAATAATCTGAAATAGCAATTAGTGAGAAGACAATGTGATAATTAACTATATTTTATATTGACAAAACAGAGTGCTAAAGAGTCAAGTCCAGAGAACAAAGTGGAGTAGAATGAGGTGTTAATTGCATAGTATAGATTAGAAACGAAGAAGCAGTTGCAGAGAGATGATTAGGGCACAGCTTTGTTAGGTAACTACGGAGGAGGCAGCTCTTAGGCAGCATTTAAAAAATCTTGTTCTTGGTTGTATTGCATTGTTCTGGGACTACTTCATGATTGTTGATATCAGATCCTATTAGTTACTCTAGTGTCAGGGAAGAAAAGGCATATACCAATAGAGCTGTGATGTGTTAGGCTGAATTTGAGGGTTATGGGGAAGAGTTACCATGGGGAAGGGAGTGCTAATTTAAGCTTTTACCTGGTAGCTTTTATCCCACTGACTAAATTCATTCTCTCCTAAATATGTTTTCTAGCTTTTCCTAAAATGTCTAACAATGTTCATGGAGACTAATGACGGGGCTTTTAAATAGAGTAGATTCCATTACATGATTTCCTTTACCATCAATCCTGTTACTATTTTATGTGGCACAGTGGTGGGGTCTTCATGTCACGCACTCTAAACCCTGAGGTGTGTTAGCATTTTCTTGTTTGTTATGAAGATCCTGCTTCAGCTGCTTTGCACTCTTTTTATTGAGGAAGCTGAAGGAGCTGACAAGATGAGTGACAGTGTGTGAGGAGACCTCTCTTGCTCTTCTGCAGAGGTCACATTGGTTAATGCCTAATGCTACCTACAAAACACCAAGGGCTTATCTCTTATACTAGTCCTTTCTTACACTATCTCATCTTATTCCTGTGGGCATCTATTCCAGCAGAGGCTTCCTGGTAAGCTTGGGTTTATTACAAAGAATCCAATGGGTTTTCTGTAAAAGTCATAATTAATCTTACATTTCCAATTTGTGAACTGGTTGGAAACAAAGTTGCTTACATGCTTTTATTTATCTGAAACTGTTAAAACACATGCAGCTTATTCGATGAGCTGCCAGGGACCACCAGTGTTCTTTAGACCACACTATAAAAAACACTGCTTTTGGTCCATTGAGAAAATGGGCTGCATTGTCTGAAAAGAGAACAAGATGGGGACTTGGTGCTGTTTAGGTGGAAGAGGAAAGGGGCTAAATAGGAAAAACAAACTGTTTTTATCTACTTTCACAACACTTCTGATACCAAATGTGGGGACAGGACATTCCCACACCAACCAGTACTCCAACTCTCCAGGCACCAATTGTGCCCTACAATTTAATTATGACACTAAACTACCTGGAGTTAGTGCAGACCCCTCAGGTTAAGTGGTCAGTTCCACAAGACTGTCCCCCAGCTTGGATGCGAATTACAAGTAGTGAGTCCCAGGTTACCCATGCTTCTGTCCAACTTGACTACAAACAGAGAGTTTTTATGACAGCCTCTTCAGGTTTGATCCTTTGCTGTAATGGCTTCAAATTCAGGGAAATATTTACTTGCATTTACTGATTTATTATAAAGAATATAACCAAGGATACAAGTGAACAGCCAGATGAAGAGATACACAGAGTGAGATCTGGAAGGGTCCCAAGCCCAGGAGCTCTGTCCTGTGAAATTGGGATGCATCACCCTTCCTGCACATGGCCGTGTTCACCAACCTGGAAGCTCTCTCAACGCCATACTTTAGGGAATTTTAGGGAGGTATAACTGACCATTACCTCAATCTCTAGCCCCTTTTCCCTTTCTGAAGAATGGGGAGTAGGACTGAAAGTTCCAAGCTCTAACCATGGCCATGGGGGCTACCAGCTCCCATTCTGAAGCTAGCCTAGCCAGAAGCCTATCCAAAGTTGCCTCATTAGAACACAAGATGATTTTATCCCCCTCAGGAAATTCTAAGGGATTTAGGCCATTCTGTGTCAAGAACCAGGATCAAAGACCACATTATACAAAAGATGTTTCTAATACTCCTAGCACTTAGGAAATTACAAGGGTGTTAGGAGCTCTATGGCAGGAACCAGGGACAGAGACCAAATATATTATATTTTATTATGTTACAGTGTCTGACCCTGGAGTATGGTAGTTTTCTTGCAACTGGGCAAAGCGATGAGGTCACTGCACTACAATATTCTAGAGATGGTAGAATCTCAGATAGAAATGACTCTGTGAAACTGGGAACCAAGCAGCATAGCTTTGGAGGTCCCAGCAAAGATTCCCTTAGCTGAGCTTAGTGGGAGTGTGGAAGAGTGTTGGAGGGACTGTATGCGATGCTAGTTGTTTGTATACCCTTAAAGGCCTGAGGCATAAGAGAAAATAGCTCCACTTCAACTGAGTTATCTTCCATTTTTCTTGGCAATGTAAGATTGAGGTTCTTGTAAGATCCAAGAGTGTCAACTAAGCCCTGATAGCCAACCTTCCCATCAACCTTGGTAAAGGGGTGTCAGAAGCAGATTTCTTTTATTTAGAAAAATTAAGACATGCAAATGTCATTGTATTCCGGAAGCTATGGGGCAATTCAGATCTGTTTAAAGTCTCCAACAGGGGGACTCCCGGAGGCTGTGGAGGCAGCGCAGGCCCAGAGCCAGGCAGGGACAGGCCCTGAGGAGGCTCCTTGGCCGTCAGCCCACCTCAGGTCCATTGGCTGCCCCTCCGCTCCCTGCTCCAAGTCCCCGGCCGCCGCAGCCCACTGGGAGTCCTGCTAAGGGAAGCTGAGAAAGGGGGTCCTGGGAAAGCGTTCCTAGTGCTCCTGAGGAAAGCTGCGACAAGATGGCAGCTCCCAGTGGGAGATGGAGGCCGAGTCTCTCTGCTCTCAGGAGGCCAGGCTGCTGCCTTTCTAACCCAACCATCTGGCTCTCAGCCCTCACCATCATGGCAGCTCTCACCAGGTCTGCTGCCTACACAGACTATGGTGTTCCAGGGAGTAGGATCCTGGCAGTCGCAGTGGCGGAGGGCGGGAGCACCTTCTTAATGTTTCTGTGAGGGGCCAGGATTCTGCAGCAGGTGCTCATCCCAGCAGCTTCAGGCTTTTGGTTGTTGGTTTTACACCTCTGACAAATGACATGGCCAGACACAGGGTAATGTCTGAAAAAACCTCTGTAGAAGAGCAGGATGCATGGGGCATGCTGCAGCTCACATAGCAGCCGCCAAGCACATGGGAGCCTTCATCCACCCAATTTGGCCAAAGAAGCCCACATACTCTCCGTGAAAAAGATTTCCAGAAGCTATTGTGTCAAAGTCTCAAAATACACACACTCACAGAAAAAGCAAACAAACAAACAAAAAACAAAAAAACCACCAACACTAAAGGTCATTCTTGAGTCTGATTTGAAAACTAGGGTAAAATTCTGCAGAAATATTCAAGTGGCAAGCTAACATCCTAATAGCCACATCTGTAGGTCCTATCCATCATGCCAGGGAAAATGCCCCATTCACAAGTCCTCAGCTTCTGGTTCTAGTTTTAGGGTTTGCTCTATAGTTAAAGGTAGAAGGTACGTTACCCACTTACTCTTATTCACAGATCTGAATATGGAGGTCAGCAGGGGAAAGTGACATGTCCTAAGTTAGAGTAGAGTCAACAAGAAAACAAGACAAACAATAACTGAGCCCCTAGTGTATACTGGGCATTGGCGAGCTGCTGGAGAAAACACAGTTCCTTCTTCAAGGAGCTCCATCCTCTTTGCAGGCAGGACAGGTTTCCCTGCGGCTGAAGGAAGCTTGAAATTAGGATAATGAGGTTGAGCAGGGAGGGGCCACCACGCTGCCCTGAGAGGATCGTGTATGGACACAGAGCTGTGGCATGGCCCGGCTTTGACCCTCTAGCTGTGTTGTGGGGTGAGGTAGGTGCTGGAGTGGCCTCCTGCTTAAGATGGAATAACAAGGAGCAGATTTACCTTCCCACCTGAAACAACTAAAAACTTGAACAAAATATATGAAGCAAACATTTTCAGGACATTGGACATCAGGCAATGAAGGCCAGTGATATCTGAGAGAGAGGAAACAAATGAGGTGAGCCCTGTAAGTGCCCCCAACTTATTGCCTAGAAACAGTTTCGAAGTGTGGTCCAGGGAGGGTAATTTCCAAGTATTTGAAAAATAAGTGACACACCTATACATTATCTATGGATCAAAACAGAATTTGAAATGGGAATTAAAAAGTATTTTGAAGTGAAAGAAAATGAAAATGTAAGATATGAGTATTTGTGGGATTCCAATAAAGCAGTGCATAGGAGGAAGTTTACAGCACTCATCCCCTATATTAGAAGAAAGGTCTCAAATCAATGACTTCAGTTTCCACCCAAGAAACCAGACAAACAGGAGAGAATTAAACCCAAAACAAGCAGAAAAAAAGGGTTGGGCTTTATTATAACAACAATTAGCTGTGTGACCTGGGCAAGTATTGTTCTCTCTGGTTCTGCCTGATTTTATCACTTGAAAAATGAGGATTGTAAACGATATTAGTGTTTTCCAAAGTATGGGCCTGCTGCACAAGAATCATAAGGGAGTTGGTAAGAAATGCTAATTTCTAAGCCCTGCCCCAGATCTAGGAAATCAAAATTTCTGAGTAGGGCCGGAGAACCTTTCTCTCTCTCTCCCCTTCACACACACACACACACACAATTATATATATGTTATATATGTATATGGATACGTATCTGATATATATAACATATATATTGGAGACAGGGTCTCACTCTGAGGCCCAGGCTGGAGTGCAGTGGCACAAACATGGCTTACCACAGCCTCAACCTCCTGGGCTCAAGCAATCCTCCTGCCTCAGTCTCCCCAAGTAGCTGGGACCACAGGTACTGGCCACCTCTCTTGGTTAATTTTTTTTTTTTTTGTAGAGATGGGATCTCTCCATGTTGCCCAAGCTAGTCTCAAATATCTCGGCTCAAGGAATCTTCCCATGCTGGTCTCACAAAGTGCTGAATTTACAGGCATTAAGCTACCAAGCCCAGCCTGAGAATCTGTATATTTAAACACAATAGTAATAGAATGTTCTAAGAGAGAAAGTGTCCTCCTTCTTGGTGGCATTCTGTTCAGTGACATGACTTCTGAAGAGATGCAAGGTAGGCAGTCTCAGCTCTGAACAGGAGGGGGTCTCAGCTTCATATAACCTCTGTCCACCTGTAACTCAAGCAGTTCAGTCATCATGGAAGACTGTAAGAGCCTAGACATGAGGATAGTAACAATGGCCAGGATGGACTAACCATAGGGATCTTTCATTCATCTTATAATATTAGATAAGCCTCATAGTCTTATCATCCCTTCCGAGGTAGGGGAAGGAGTCTGATTATTACATAGGCTGGTTCCCAGCTCTTCCAACAATGTGGGAGCTGATGATGTGATTTAATTTGCTTCATTTCATTTCTGCCTATTTATGTTCCATAATTTATTTATTTAATGTATAAATGCTTTATTATGTCTTTGAACCACATCAACAAATTTATTCTGACCTATTTTCAGGCTATTCTCTAAAATAATTTTTATTCGGGTGAATTACTGTTTCTGAATTATACTACCAAGTCTTCTGTTCCTTGGCTGTCCTTTGAGAAATTAGACTTCTTCATGTGTTTTTGAACTTTGGTTTGCAGGCTCATTTTGAGCATCCCCTTCAAACTTTTCCCTCCCTAAGAATTTAGTGGTTTTCTTTACCTAGCCCAGCCCTTTCACTCCTAAACCAGAATCAGGTTTACAATCCAGCTTGGGATGTACTGCCCCTAGGGGACATTGTGGAGTATAGCAGATCCATTACCGAGTCTGCATGGTGCTGGCTCGGTTCCTGGGAGTCACACTTCGTCTTCGCCCTTTGTCTCTTCAGGTTTGCAGCTTCATCTGAAGCCATAGTCATAATAGAGCAGCGAGCGTTGTTTGCCTCTGGCATCACATAGGAAGCCTGGCTCTGCTCCAGGTCTCACTCACATTTAAAACTCCTTTTCCCATAGGGACCAAACCCTCAGTCACTAGTGTCTACTTCCAGAGCTCAGACAACCCACGATTTATGGTTTTCTTTTGTTTCTGGTCCACGGAGATGTTTATCTTGTACCAGAGCCTAGTTAGATCTTCCCGCTTTTTTTTTCTTTTTAAAAAATATTTCATCTGTCATTGCTTTTTGTTCACAGAAGGTGAATTCACTGCATTTTGATCATTATAAAAGTCTGAATTAATTCATTTGAAAATGGTAAATAAATGACATTTCTTTCAAGCACAAGTCTCTGGAGTGAGATCCACATCCTCTACAACAACATAAGAAATCCTTGTGGAAGACACCTCTGATTAACTCCTATTTATTCCTCCACTTGACAGAGCCTGAGCATCGATATCTTCTATTAATATTTGTGGTATGTTGTACAAGTTGGTTCTTGTTGATTTGCTAGAAATGTTATGTGTGTGCATGCACCATTCTCCAAATAATCTGCCAACCGCTTAAAATCAGGGACCATGACTTATCATTAAAGTGTTCCCTAAATGACATATTTTCTGGTAGCCACACACAGTAAGCTTCAATATAAATATCAATTATCTGATTGATTTACTCCAGGTATCCCAAATTTTCTTAATCAAGTGCACTATGACGCTTAATAAAAATATTTATATATCCAAAGGTAATGTTGAAATAAAAAAATGGACAACTATATACAACATAGAAATGTGTACACATATTTGACACTTTCGGGGGGGATTTCCTTGCTACATGCTTTGAGAGTTAGTGCCTATTGACCTTCAACTTGGAAAACATTGTACAGTTATTTACAATCCATTTTGCATTTATACGGAGACAGAAAAATTCCCCATGAAAGGGGCCTCCAGCCTTGCCTATCAGGAAGTCAGCTACCTGTGACCAGAGAGCCTGAGTACATTTTTTCTGGGAGCAGGTGTTAACCCACCCCCACTAGTTAAGAGCCTGCAGGGCCCCTACCTTTGGGAGATAAAGAGGCAGTCTGTGTGGGGTCCCTTCTCCTCCACAGAGCCATTTGTTACTGGGGTTACACCCCCTGCAGGAATCTTTCAATGCTCTTTAAATCGTGGGCATGCACAATGCACCTGACCTTGTTCAAAGCCAGGGGTTGCACTGCCCCAGGCAAAGACTGAAGAAATCCAACAAAATACATCTTACCAGGCTTTTTCTACTCTGTTGCATGGAAAGGCTCCTGTGTCTGACAACCAAAATACTTGTTAGTTTTCCCTTTTTTTCTTTTCACTCCAATAACTTAATTAATGCACACCATCAGTTGTTCATAATTCAGCAATAAGAATCTTTCCTTTGATAAGATGCAGCCAGTGGGAAAAACACAAAACTTTGTATCCTCTGCATTTTAGATCACTTATTTAGTTCTGAGAAGAATTTTTTTTTGGCATGTGCGCCCCTTATGGAATCAGGAATGGACTTTGTGCAAAGAAAGCATGTTTTATCCTGTAGAAAGAATAAAACCCTTTGGAGGGTGGCATTTACTCAAGGGAACAGATGCCTGCAGGGTGTTCTCCTCACGGTGGGGGTGGCTGGTGACAAGGTGTGACATCTGCAGAAGAAATACAGGCAAGCACTTTAGCCCCCAAGTACTTCCCAGTAGAGAGTGGGCTTACTCACAACACAATAGTCGAAATCTGGCTCATGCTTGTTAAGCAATTCACTCAGAACTTTACCCACCCAATGGTATCTGTATTTTAATTACAGGAAAAAGGACTTGAAATTTGTGGGAGGCTACCACTTCCGCCACATACTCATGCACACACGTGCAATTCCTTGCTGAGAGTGGCAAAGACAATAAAGGAATTCACTGTAGGAGGTGTGTTCATGTATCTGTATGAGATTATGAGGGATACTTAACAAAAGTGGCATTTGCTAAGTGATTGAAAGATTATCCTTATACTCCAGGTTTCTTTTCCAGTTTCAGCTTAGGCTCACAAAGACAAACTAGATAGTTCCTGCATTCTGAAAACCCTGTGAAATGGACTGGTTCGAACGGGCAGTTTATAACATGATACTTTTAGATTGGAAGGCCCAGTGAGGTGAGGATCTTGAAGTACTCACTCCCTGAGAAGTTATTCTCAAAATGAAAACAGTTTAAATAGGTGGACAGGAACAGGTATTTATGAAGCAAAGAGTTAGGCTAATTTTTGCTTGGTCTCAATCATATTTAACATAGGGAGAGAAAAGTATTCCTGGTCCCAGAATTGGTTAGCACAAGACATGGGAATTCTATTGGTTTCAATTCTTGGGACTGGGAGGGACCTCAGGAAGATGGCATAATAGCATTCTCCAGGTCCATCTCCCTGCAGGAACATCAATTTGAAAAAGTATCTATGCATGAAAATACACTCACAAGAGCTAAGGAAACCAGGTGAGAAAATACAGTACCTGGGCATAGTGATTCTTGTGACTCATGAGGAAAAAATTATTTTAAAGTATATTCCTGTTATTTTCTTTTTTTTTTATCCAATTTAGATAACATGGTCAGTCACTTGAATAATGATCTTACTATCATAAACACTTCCTTGACTACTATCCTGTTGTACTAGCCCACAGAGTGCTAAACATGGAGTAATTCTAAACTGCAGTTACTTTTGCACCAACCTAATACAACTTGTAATGAAGATTGTTTTTCATATCTGGTTCCAACTGTCTGTTGGTGGTGGCTTTGAGCAGCAGTGTACAAAGAAACAAGCTGAGCTCAGAAGAAACAAGTGCATGAGTGGATCACCCTGTCTATTATGGACACAAGTGGAGAGTAGTGAGAGGTTCAACTTTATACTTAAGTCTCAAAATGTCTATCTCTATTGTCTCTATTGGACTTCGGACCTGCACATTCAACTACCCACTGGGTAATCTTATCTGGATGTCCCAACTACCTCAATCTGTACATGCCTAAAATTAAAATAAAAGTGGGTTAACTGATCCATCAAATTGGCATCATGATCCCTATTAGCATTGTGTTCCAGGCAGCCATTACCACATTTCAGATTAGTACTCAATTCAAAATAAACCCTCTTTGCCATCTGACTAAGGAAACTTGCTCTGATGGTGGAATTATAGGCATCAGCAATGGGGGTAAGGGAAAAAGTTGATGGGATGGTGGAAACGCAGTGTCTTAAAATCTTACCCATTTCACCTTTCCTGGCCCTGAGTACAGAAATAAGATCACAGGGAAAAATTCAAACTATGCTTGCTCTCAAGTGGAGTGATAGAAACTAGAAAAAATGAAGGTAATAAAACTTTTAGACTTTCTTTACAATATCCTATTTAGCTTATATATATCTGCCCATCTCCCTTAACTTCCTCTCCTTAGCCCCCAATATTTTTATTGTCAGATGGTCATTAGGACAAAAGCTTATTTATCTGAAGAATTATAGTGTCAGTCCCATGTAGGATGGTCTATGTGTTTACGCAAAAGTGCTCCGTGACACAAACAAGACACTTACGCCCCTTAGTTGCCTTGAGACATAAAACTGATTGATGTCTCAAAGCAACTAAGGGGTCTCTACTGGTAGCCAGGATTACCGTTTCCTTGTAGGAAAACTGGTAGAGAAAATTGAGTTCTTATAATAAATTCCATAACAGCAGCTTAGCTGTAAATGATTTTTTAAAAGTCATTTGACTGTGCAAACTGGTTAGAGCATAAATATTTTAATGATATTTCAAGAGCTTAATGTCAACCATCAGTGTCCAATAAATGAAAATTACTTTTAGTGATACATCTGGAAATATGATGGTTTTTTGAGCCAAAGTCTCTCAAGCTTTGCATAGAATCTGAATTTTTATTTTTACTCTGTGCCTGTTATATAAACTTCTTATATTTGTTAGAGGAAAAGAAGATAAATTGGACACTACCTGGGATATTGAAAAATGAATAAAATGTTAAGACATGTTAAATTTATTGTTGGCTCATTGAGGGAAAGAAAGTCAATAATTTATTTAAGAAAAACAATTTTACTTAAAGAAAGGGCAATATTTTAATAAGCAGAAATAGGAGAGGGAATATATTTTCAAATGAAAGCAGCACCACTGGAATGAAAAATGTAATGTGCCAAAGTCGCTACTTTGAAGGGGAGCGTGCTCATCTGAATGTAAAATCTTGTTATATTCCTGTAAAACCCTAACTTTATTTTCATTCTTATCTGTTTAATCATTTAACTAATATTTATCAAATACCCACTCTGTGTAATGGTGTTGTGGGAGGAAATTGTGGGGCCACAAAGACCCCGGTGAAGGAACGCCAGAGCATGTGAAAGCAGAAGATGCATCATCAAAGGATACCCGAAGATGTCTAAAAGAAGCTCGGTGGGAAAGCTGAGTGCTTGGAAGAACCAGGGTAACAATGTGACAAAGTGAAAGCAGACATTCTGCTTAAGTTCTTTAAAGCATTTGTTATGAAGTGGGGGAGTAAAAGTTAGGACTCAGAGTTTGTTATCACTTTTTAGTACAGTAAGGCAGTTTTGCCCATGGTTCCTGGAACAGGGACTATGGAGTTGGATGAATGGGAGAGAATTGGAAGAGATTTTTTTTTTTAATTATACTTTAAGTTTTAGGGTACATGTGCACAATGTGCAGGTTTGTTACATATGTATACATGTGCCATGCTGGTGTGCTGCACCCATTAACTTGTCATTTAACATTAGGTATATCTCCTAATGCTATCCCTCCCCCCTCCCCCCACCCCACAACAGGCCCCGGTGTGTGATGTTCCTCTTCCAGTGTCCATGTGTTCTCATTGTTCAATTCCCACCTATGAGTGAGAACATGCGGTGTTTGGTTTTTTGTCCTTGTGATAGTTTGCCGAGAATGATGGTTTCTAGCTTCATCCATGTCCCTACAAAGGACATGAACTCATCCTTTTTTATGGCTGCATAGTATTCCATGGTGTATATGTGCCACATTTTCTTAATCCAGTCTATCATTGTTGGACATTTGGCTTGGTTCCAAGTCTTTGCTATTGTGAATAGTGCTGCAATAAACATACCTGTGCATGTGTCTTTATAGCAGCATGATTTGTAATCCTTTGGGTATATACCCAGTAATGGGATGGCTAGGTCAAATGGTATTTCTAGTTCTAGATCCCTGAGGAATCGCCACACTGACTTCCACCATGGTTGAACTAGTTTACAGTCCCATCAACAGTGTAAAAGTGTTCCTATTTCTCCACGTCCTCTCCAGCATCTGTTGTTTCCTGACTTTTTAATGATTGCCATTCTAACTGGTGTGAGATGGTATCTCATTGTGGTTTTGATTTGCATTTCTCTGATGGCCAGTGATGATGAGCATTTTTTCATGTGTCTTTTGGCTGCATAAATGTCTTCTTTTGAGAAGTGTCTGTTCATATCCTTTCACCCAATTGTTGATGGGTTTTTTTTTTCTCTTGTAAATTTGTTTGAGTTCATTGTAGATTCTGGATATTAGCCCTTTGTCAGATGAGTAGATTGCAAAAATTTTCTCCCATTCTGTAGGTTGCCTGTTCACTCTGATGGTAGTTTTTTTGCTGTGCAGAAGCTCTTTAGTTTAATTAGATCCCATTTGTCAATTTTGGCTTTTGTTGCCATTGCTTTTGGTGTTTTAGACATGAAGTCCTTGCCCATGCCTATGTCCTGAACGGTATTGCCTAGGTTTTCTTCTAGGGTTTTGATGGTTTCAGGTCTAACATTTAAGTCTTTAATCCATCTTGAATTAATTTTTGTATAAAGTGTAAGGAAGGGATCCAGTTTCAGCTTTCTACACATGGCTAACCAGTTTTCCCAGCACCATTTATTAAATAGGGAATCCTTTCCCCATTTCTTGTTTTTGTCAGGTTCGTCAAAGATCAGATGGTTGTAGATATGCGGCATTATTTCTGAGGGCTCTGTTCTGTTCCCTTGGTCTATATCTCTGTTTTGGTACCAGTACCATGCTGTTTTGGTTACTGTAGCCTTGTAGTATAGTTTGAAGTCAGGTAGTGTGATGCCTCCAGCTTTGTTCTTTTGGCTTAGGATTGATTTGGCAATGCGGGCTCTTTTTTGGTTCCATATGAACTTTAAAGTAGTTTTTTCCAATTCTGTGAAGAAAGTCATTGGTAGCTTGATGGGGACGGCATTGAATCTATAAATTACCTTGGGCAGTATGGCCATTTTCATGATATCGATTCTTCCTACTCATGAGCATGGAATGTTCTTCCATTTGTTTGTATCCTCTTTTATTTCATTGAGCAGTGGTTTGTAGTTCTCCTTGAAGAGGTCCTTCACGTCCCTTGTAAGTTGGATTCCTAAGTATTTTATTCTCTTTGAAGCAATTGTGAATTGGAAGAGATTTTTTTTTAAAAAGGTGTATAAAGACAGAGCAGTGACGGGTACCACGGAGGGTGCTGCTGAGGCGATGATAGCAGAGGGGCCCAAGGAAGTCCGAGGCTGTCCTCTGGGGCATGACGAGGGCGGAGGGGACCAGGAGCCCGTCCCTTCCCTGAGGGGCCCTCCTGCCGCCATCCCATGCCCCCGCGCCGGCCCCCAGGCCACCGCCGCTGATGGGTCGGAGCCACCCCGCGGGCTCAGGAGGAGCCGGGAGGCGACCTCGGGCTCCCTTGCGGGGCTGCAGGAGCAGGTAGGCTGCTTGAAGTGTCGGAAGCTGCGGCGCCGTGGGAGAGGCCGGCGCGGCTGAGCGCCCTTGGGTGCTCCTGGCGAGTGCACGAGTGACTGTGGCAGTCCTGCTGCGGCTACCTCACCTGGCGCAGTGGCCCGGCTACACTCCCCGACTGCTGTAGCCCCCAACCGTCCCGGCAGAGCTTCTCTTTGGAGGCACTGCCGTCCCCCAGGCCGCGGCGCCGCCATCCCCACGGCTGGGCTATTACAACCCCTTCTACTTCCTGAGCCCCAGGGCCGCGGGGGCTTGACCCGGGGGCAGCTGCTGGCATCAGCACCCCTGCTACAGTCACGGGCCTGGGACCCTGGGTTCCTCATGTGCAGGCGTCAATCCGGGCCACTCCAGTGACAAAGGTAGGATCTGCAGCCCCTTCCCGAAGCCAGAGTGAGACCGGGCAACCGGCAGGCAAAGAATAAGTTATTCCATCCTTGGGCCACGGGTGGCAAGGATGGTGGATTTCTTTATTATCTTCTTTGTAAAAGCAACCATTGTCTTAAGCATTATGCACCTCAGTGGGATAAAGGATATCTCTAAGTTTGCTATGCATTATATAATGGAAGAAATAGATGAGGACACATCAACGGAAGACTTGCTGAAAATGATGGTTATGGCTCTTATATACAGATTATTAGTTTGTTTTTATGAGATAATTTTCATTTGGGGAGCAGGTGGAGCTACCCCAGGGAAGCTCCTGGTGGGGCTTCGAGTTGTGACATGTGATACATTAGTGCTTATTGCACTAAGTCGTGTTTTAGTGATTCCTTTTTCAAATGTTAGCATTACAACGTCCACTATACGAGCTTTGATCAAGAATTTTTTGATTGCTTCTTTTTTCCCTGCTTTTATCACACTGTTGTTTCTTCAACATAATCGAACAGCCTATGACATTGTAGCAGGAACCATTGTGGTAAAAAGAAATGGGGTCAGAGATGCCCCCCCAAAGACCTGATTTCCACACGCTATAATGACAAGACTAAATTATGTATCAAGGCCATCAGTATCCCTGGGTTCCACTAACTGATGATTTAGAAATTAAAGCAATCACTCCAGTGTGATGCAGCTGACTACTCTGAAAGTTTTGATTGTACTTGAATGCCAAAAACTTTTCCAGAAGAAAAACCTATTAAATTCAAGTATTAAAATTTTTAGATCAAAAAGGCAAATGATTTTATAAACAATGAACAATATATACTTTCTTAAGATCTAAGGTACTTTCATAAGATCTAAGAATTTGCTGAAAGCATTTTCAGCTTTGAAATCTCCAAATGAAACTTTAAAATTGATTTTGGTTTATCCCAAAACAATGGAAAATGTCCAGTTGTGTTTTGTAAACATGTATGTAACTCATCTTTTAGTTCACACTTCCTGGGGAGCCACCAAAGAAGGTCCCCATGGGAGCTAGGGGACCCTTACCCTCAGGAACAGTCAGTCTATTACTTGGAAGGTCTAAATTTAAAAGATGTTACTGTACATACAGGAATAATTGACTCTGATTATACTGGAGAGATTCAATTAGTTATTAGTTCCTCGACTCCTTGATCTGCCTCCCCAAGAAAAAGAATTGCTCAGTTGTTGCTGTTACCTTACATAAAACTAGGAAGCAGCACAGTGAAAAGAACAGGAGGCTTTGGTAATACTAATCCAGCATGAAGGGCCGTGCACTGGGTTAATCAAGTATCTGACAAAAGACCTATTTGCACAGTAACTATTCAGGGAAAAGATTTTGAAGGAGTAGAAGATACTGGAGCTGATGTCTCTATTATTGCTGTAAATCAATGGCCCTGGCACTGGCCTAAGCAAAAGGCATCCATTGGTATTGTTGGAGTAGGAGCTGCCTTCAGAGTTCTTTGATTTTACCATGTCAAGGGCTGGATGGTCAGGAAGGGACAATTCAGCCTATCATTACACCTATTCCTGTCCATTTATGGGGTAGAGACTCATTGTAACAATGGGATGCTGAAATACCTATTCCTACGGATCAATATAGTAATCGTAGTAGACAAATGATGAAAAATATGGGATATCACCTGGGAATAGGACTAGGAAAAGATAAAAATGGCCAATCAGAACCTTTAGAATTAAAAGGGCAAATAGATCGGACCAGATTGGGGTGTCATTTTTAGAAGCGGCCATCGTTGAGCCTCTGGCTCCCATTTCTCTTGTCTGGCTAACTGCCAAACCAGTTTGGGTGGAGCAATGGCTGCTGAAACAGGAAAAACTGGAGGCTTTAAAAGAACTGGTACAGGAACAATTGCAAAAGGGACATATAGAGCCTACTTTCTCCCCTTGGAATTCTCCTGTATTTGTCATTAAGAAAAAATCAGGGAAATGGAAAACGTTAACAGATTTAAGGGCTGTTAATGCTGTGATTCAACCCATGGGCGCACTGCAACCAGGGCTGCCCTCCCCAACAATGATCCCCAAATACTGGCCTCTCATAGTGATAGATCTAAAGGATTGCTTTTTTACCATTCCTTTAGCTGCCCAAGATTATGAGAAATTTGTTTTTACTGTTCCCGCCATAAATAATAAAGAACCAGCAGACAGATACCATTGGAAAGTACTACCACAAGGCATGCTAAATAGTCAGACTATTTGTCAAACTTATGTCGGGAAAGCTATTAAGCCAGTTAGAGAACAGTTTAAAAAATGTTGTATCATCCATTCCATGGATGATATTCTGTGTGCAGCTGAAACTAGGGAAGAACTGATGTTGTGCTACAAACTGTTAGAAAAGGCTGTAAATGCAGCAGGGTTAATTATAGCCCTCGATAAAATCCAAACTTCTACTCCCTTTCAATAAAGCCATGGCTACATTTTTTCAACAATGGAATATTGCCCATACTACGGGTATTCCACATAACTCACAAGGACAAGCAATAGTGGAAAGAGCTAATTGTACTTTAAAAACTCAAATACAAAAAGCAAAAGGGAGGGGACCAGGAATATAAGACACCACATATACAATTGCATTTAACTTTATTAACATTAAATTTTTTTAACTTACAAAAAGATCAACCCATGACTGCAGCTGAACAACATTTGACAGGGCAAAAGGAAAATAAAAAGGCTGGACAAGATATATGGTGGAGGGATGCACATACAAAGAGCTAGGAAAAAGGAAAATAATCTTATGGGGAAGAGGATTTGCTTGTGTCTCTCCAGGTGACAATCAGGTACCTGTGTGGGTGCCCACCAAACATCTAAAGATCTATCATGAGCCACAGCATCTAGTGGACCCACCTGTACAGTGCAAATTGAAGGCTGAAGGATTGCTTTTAAGCCTCGATTTGCTTTCTCTGTGCCTTCTGTTAGAAGGGGCCTGCTTCTTGTTATCAATGGTAAGTTTTACCCCATGCTAATTAACCAAAGAGGCAGAAGCTGAGTTACAAATGCTTCAGCAATGGCATGCCTCCTGGCTGCAGCCACAAAAGTTTTTGCTTCTGTTTCAGTAGATTTACTAACGTGGCAGTGAGGGTAGGCTTGTGGTTTTGCAGGAGATAAGCAAAACATGTAGGTGCCCTCAAGATGTGTACGACCATGGAACAGGAGACTGGAAGGACCCATGGATCCCAACCATGGACTGGGTTCCCCCAGTATGAGCCATGCTGAGAAACTGCTGGAGTGCCAAGGTTTTACCTATAGTTGCTTAACGGACCAGTGCTTTCTGACTGAACTCCTCTCTACCCTGAATACAAGAGACCCTAATAGGTAGGATCGCCCCTATTCAGCATGAAGAAGTTACAGAAGATGGACCTTCATCCTTCTGCAACCCCTAGGATTAAGGGTCCTCTTGTAAAAGGGAAAGGGGAGATACGTGGGAAGCATTCAAACCAGAGCAACTCCATTTTGAATAAGGGCTAAGAAAAATAAAGCTGGATCACCAACCGGCAAATAAGGGCTGTACAGCCTGCAATTGCGTTGCTCAATTAATTTAAAAAAGAGGCCACCTTATGCTAATAATAATGATAGCTGTGGTGGTTTTTACAAAAAAGAGATGGGGGCCATGTTGGGAGAAAAGCTGAGTGTTGGGAGAGAAGCTGAGGCAGGGCTTGCATGTCTGCTAGACGTGTTGGCTCCTTGCTTCTAGCACTCCCATTATCTCAAGCAGCCATGTTTTTCATTCACTTGATACACTGTTTCCTTTCAACCCCCACATCCTCACCACCTGTTTGAGCATCAATAAATAGCGTGGGCTCCCAGAGCTCGAGGGCCTTTGCAGCCTCCACACTTGCGATGGCCCCCTGGTCTTACTTTCTCTCTCATACTTTTTCTCATTCCTTTGACTCTGCTGGACTTCATTGCCCTCAAGACCTGGTGTTAGGTCTTATCACCCCAACAATGACTCCCTGCTCTATGAGCTGCAGAATTGATGTTGTGTTATCAGGCAAGGAAACACATGAATCTCCTTGTACATTTTCATCAGAGCTCTGAGATGACTAGATGAATTGTCAATAAGTAGTAGTATTTTTGAAATAAATCTTTTTTTTTTCTAAGCAGTAGGTCTCAACAGTGGGCTTACAATATTCAGCAAACTATTCTGTAAACAGATGTGCTGTCATATAGACTTTGTTGTTCTATTTAAACAGCATATACAGAGTAGATTTAGTATAATTCTGAAGGGCCCTAGGATTTTTGGAATGGTAAGTGGGGTAGCTTCACTAGCTGCGTCAGCCCCTAACAAGAGAGTCGGCCTGTTTTGTGAAGCTTTAAAGTCAGGCATTGACTTCTCTCTAGCTATGAAATTACTAGATGGCATCTTCTTCCCATGGAAGGCTGCTTTGTCTATATTGAAAATCCATTGTTTAGTGTAGCCACTTTCATCAATGATCTTAGCTAGATATTCTGGATAACTTGCCGCAGCTTCTCCATCAGCACTTGCTGTTTCACCTTATGCTTTCATGTTAGGGGCATGGCTTCTTTCCTTCAACTTCATAAACCAACCTCTATTAGCTTCCAATTTTTTTTTCTCCTGCAGCTTCTTCACCTCTCTCGGCCTTCATAGAAGTGAAGAGAGTTAGGGTCTTGCTCTGGATTAGGCTTCTGCTCGGGGGAATGTTTTAGCTATCTTTAATCTGAACCACTGAAACTTTCTCCATATCAGCAACAAGACTGTTTTGCTTTCTTATTCTTATATTCACTGGAGTAGCATTTTTAATTTCCTTCAAGGACTTTTCCTTTACATTTACACTCTGGCTAACTGGTACAAGAGGCCTAGCTTTGGCCTATTTCAGCTTTTGACACCTTCACCTTCTTCACTAAGCTTAATCATTTTTAGCTTTTGATTTAAAGTGGGAAACATACAACTTTCACTTAGAGGGACTTGTAGGGTTATTAATGGTCTATTTTCAATACTGTTGCACCTCAGGGAATGGGGAGGCTGGAGGAAAGAGAGATGGAGAATGGCTTGTTGGTGTAACAGTCAGAACACACACATTTATCAATTAAGTTTGCTGTCTTATCTGGACACGGTCCATGGCCCCCCAAAACAATTACAATAGTAACAACAAAGATCACTGATCACAGGTCACCATAATGAATATAATAATAATGAAAAAGCTTGAAATATTGTGAGAATTACTAAAATGTGACACAGAGACACAAAGTGAGCACATGTTTTTGGGAAAATGGCACTGATAGATTTGTTCAATGCAGAGTTACTTCAAACCTTCAATTTGTAAAAAAAAAAAATGCAGTATCTTTGAAATGCAATGAAGTGAAGTGAAATAAAACAATGTATGTCTGTATGTAGGAGTAGGATTATTGGGCTATATGGTTAGGTGTATATTGAACTTTATAAAAGTGGCCAAACTATTTTTAGTGCGGACATACCATTTTGCACCCTCACCAGTGTGGTATGAGAGTTTCAGTTGCTCTGCAGCCTCATCAACACTTGGTATTGTCAGGTTTTTTTTTTTTGCCATTCTAATAAGTGTCTAGAAGTTATCATTGCAGTTTTAATTAGCATTTCACTAAAGACTAATGATATGAGTATCATTTCATGTGCTATTTGTCACCCATATATCTTCTTTGGTAAAGTGTTTGTTCAAATCTTTTGGCCATTGAAAAAAATTTGGTTGTTTTCTTATTGCTGAGTTTTGAGAGTTCTTTGTATGTATTAACTACAATTCCTGTGTCAGGTGTATGATTTGCAACTATTGTCTCCCTGTCTATTCTTGTCTTTTCATTCTCGTAACCGTGTTGTTTGCAGAGAAAATGTTTTAACTTTTAGAAAGCCCAATTGATTTACTTTTTGTTATGTATTGTGCTTTTTGGCTTTGCATTTTCAACCTTCAATTTTTATATATTAAAAGTAAAATTTCTAAAAAAAGATTTCCTCCTAGCAATAGCAGATTATCTACATGTATGTAAATAATAATTACCTATATCTCCTAAATGTGAAATTAAATAAGACATTAGACAATTTGTGCAGAAAAAACAAATTAAAGTTAAGAAAGATGAGACAAGGATCTAATAATTTTTAAAACACGGAACTAATGTCTTTTCGATTTTGGATAATAGTTGCATGTAGACACATGAAATAAAATGCCTCATGGGGTTTCAAATACCCATTCATTTATTTACCCATTCATTTTAGAATATTTACTGAGCACCCACTATAAACCAGGCACTGTGTTCTACGTGGGGGCATATGGATTCATATGATGGGACAAAGAACTTGCAATAAATAGATCAATGGATAACACAATGTGGTAAGAACTGTGATTGACATATATTCAAAATGAACCAGGTTTCTTTTTTTTACATGTGGTAGTGTCATCATGCCTATCTCAGTATGAAATTGTTCATGTGACTATTTGATCTAAAGTCTTTCTCTCCTACTCAGGTGATGGGTGCACTACAATCTGACTTCACCACTATACAATTCACCCATGCCAAAAACCACTCGTACTTCCAGAGCTATTGAAATAAAAATATACATTAATTTAAAAAATCAGAAAGGGCTGCTTTTAAAATAATCAATAAACAAGGCTGGGCATGGTGGCTCATGCCTGTAATCCTAGCACTTTGGGAGGCCAGGATGGGCAGATTACCTGAGGTCAGGAGTTCAAGACCAGCCTGGCCAAAATGGTGAAACCCCATCTCTACTAAAAATAAAAAAATTAGCTGGGCATCAACAACTCAGGAGGCTGAGACATGAGAATCACTGGAACCTGGAAGGCAGAGGTTGCAGTGAGCCAAGATTGTGCCACTGCACTCCAGCCTGGGTGACAGAGTGAGACTGTCTCAAAAACAAAAACATGAAACAATAACAACAAAAAATAATCAATAAACAGATCTGTAGTGAGAGCTGGGCAGGTTGGGAAGGTGCAGGGTGAGACCACCTATGGTAAATGTGAGCTGGCAGACTCAGCAGGGGTGAAACAGAGGATGGCACTCAGCCATGTTGGGCAGGGGTGAGAAGGAGAGGGCTTAAAATAAATAAATAAATAAAGTGCGTCTCTCTCTTCGTGCACTCCAGGAGTGTAAATACAATGTATGTTTTCTTCATCGCGTCACTTTGCTCCAGCCTGGGCAGCAGAGTGAGACTCCGTCAAAAAAAAAAAAAAAAAAAAAAAAAAAAGCTTGCTTCTGATGTACAGAAAGAAGGCGTTGCTTAATTCTGCCCCGGGCAGTTTCGAAGACTTGATTTTTAAAAAGGTGGTATTCGAAGTGAATCTTGAAGCAAAGATAGGAACTTGCTGTTGGGGCAGGAGAGAGTTGAGAAGGAAGAGAAGCACAGCATTCTAGCACTATGAAATCTTAGACATGGGTGTGTGAAGGTCCACGGACAGGCAGTTGTAGGTGGAGCAGAACCATCCTGCCTGCGGAACTGTGAGGACAGAAGATGAGACCAACGTGGAAAGCTGGGAACGGACTGGGAAGGAAACGCCTTGCCAACCAGGCTCCATTTGAACTTCCTCACAGTGGGGTTGGAACTGAAGAATTTTAAGCTTGAAAGTGACATGATTACATTAGTGATTCTGAAATAGAGAGGGCAGCGTGTGGTCGACTGGAGAGCAGAGCAGTGAAAGCCTGTTGCTGAAGCGCTGGTAAGGCATGATGAGGTCTGGCAGTGAAATAGAGATGCTGGGAGGGATGGATCTAGAAGTCATCCTAGGAGACAGAAACACAGGACTGGGCGATTGACAAGATGTGAAGGGAAAAGCAGAAGGAAGATTTAACATTTTCGCTCTTCTGATGCCTGAGGAGTGTTGTATGTTGGTAGTCAACATTTTAAAAAAATTTTTAAATTAATATTAATGTTCTTTAGAAAATACCGTAAAGTATAAAGAACAAGAAAACCATCCATTATCCCAACACGCAGAGATAACCACTGCAGACATTTCATATGCATATCTTTCCAGCCTTCTTTGAAAATATATTTCTGAAAAGAGATCCTAAGGGTTCCATCTCTACCAGGAACTCGGCTCTCATAAACTGCATTAATACGTTGAACTTCACTTTGAACCCAAATATGAATATTTTCACTAAACTATGCACCGATTTTTTTTAAATAAAGTGAATAAGTACATGGACCGGAACTGCCAACTGGAAACTAAATGAGTGTCAGCAGTGACACCCGGGACATGCCCTCATTAGTAGATGCTAACCCGCAGAGGTAACCTGCCTAGACACGGAGAGACATTTCCAAGTTCAGGTTGATTAATTCATATTCAATTCATTCACCCTGCTGAGCCCTGCAGGAAGACAGCGCGGCAGCGATCTCCACCTTGAGGGGGCGCTAATTATTTTTTGCCTACTTGAACCCTGAGCTTGGGCAAGCCTGTGCACATACACTAAGAGAAAAACTTTCTGAGGTCTAGCAGCTGTCGATCAAAAATAGGTTATCCTAGGCCCTTCCAAATAGAGGGACTGGGGAAGGAAGTTTAATTTAAAAAAGAGTAAGAATGTTTTTATGTTGGGATGGATAGATTATTGGGAAGGCAGGGTGATTCAGGAGAGGCCTGAAAAAATGCTCCAGGGGTAGAAAATCCAAGGAGAAGGTGGAGGGGTCTCAAAGATCGACAAATAGCCACATGGCGGGCCGCCCTTACGAAGGTAGCCTTGCAGGCCAAGTTCGGGGGGAGGTGGGGAGGCTGGTTCCGAGTTTCCGGGCATATCCGTGGAGTCCTTCCAGACCTTCCTGGGGACCTTCCCCGGTCACCCCGGCTCCCCGCCGGCCCCCCGCGCTGCTCAGGGGAGAGTAGGACTATGACCCACTTCCACTCTAAGGCTCTAGATCGAACCGTCCAGGGGGGTCAAACACGATTTACAACAAGGAAGAGAAAAACCAATACGTCCCAAGAGGGCTGCAGGGGCTTTAACTGGAGGAAGGGTTGGGCAGAGGGTGGCAGTATTATGCCCTGGACTTTTTTGCACCAAACCCATAACCGGATTCCCACTTCCTAAGACCTGCCTTCCTGGCTCTTCCCACCGCCTCCATGCTCCGCCCCGCAGCTTAGGTCTTTTACTGCAAACGTCAAGTGGTCTCCGCCTTCCCTGGGTTCGGAGCTTCACTTGCTCTTGAGCTCTGCGGTCCGGCGGATTTCGCGGGGCCCAGGGGATGGCGGGGAGTGAGATTTGGCCAGGGTCATTTCACACTGCCGGGCCTGCAGCCACGCACGCAGCTGCTGGCCCGGCTGAGGCTGGCGGCTAGGGAGAGGCGCCAGGGGGTCGCGCACAGGAAGGTATCGGTGCACCCTGAGCAAACACTGCTCGCTTCCAACGCTCACTGGGAACAGGCTTCCCGGGAAGGTCCCAAATCTCTCCAGTTCCGCTCACCCTGCGGGCGGGAGCGCGGCGCCCGGGTGCCCCACCTGCGCCGGGCGGTCGGCTCCCGCTGGCCGGAGTTTGCAGACTTGGCGCTCAGGCCGATTCTCCCGGAGTTGGGCCGCGCGCGCCGGGCCAATGAGCGCGCCCCGCGGAGGGCTCCGCTCCCCCCGCGCGCGCTGATTGGTCCCGCGGCCCTCGAGGCCGGGCCGGCCGCGGCTGCGGGCGGCGGCCAGTGCCCGGCGCGAGTGGGAGTGGCGCGCGCGCCCCTAGCCGCCCCCCGCCTCTCCCCGCTGCGCTCCCTCGCTCCTTCCCTGAGCTCCCGGGCTCCGGCAGCGGGCTGGCGGGGCGCCGCATTGCACACTCTGGGGGCGCCGCAGTGTTCGTGGGATGGGGCAGCGGGCTGCAGCTGGCGGCCGGAATCCGCGCGCAGCCCGGGTGAGTAGAGGCGGGCTTCCCGGGAGAGCACAAAAGAACAGGGGATTGGTGCCAGCGGCCCCGGCTTAGGCGGGGCCTGGCCAAGGCAGGGAGTGCGCTGAGTCCCTGGAACTACCCGATGCTAGGGCAGTCCCCTGGGGCCAGAGGAACTGGGGTCCCGGCCTCCGGCGTTTTGCCCCTAGTGGGCAGAGAGCCCCGCGAGTAGCCTGGACGGGTCCAGAGGGGCGTGTGTACTCGTGTGTGTTGGGCTGGCGCGTGGAGGGTGGGATGGAAAGGTCAGGAGCTGCCAAGTTCAAGGCTGGAGGAACCTTTCCCAGGAGTAATTCAGCATCTTCTCACGGCCCAACATGCGTCCACCAGGAACTCCAGCCGGAGGGAGTTCCTGGGCGGCGGACTGGCAGCACCCCACATGTTGCTGCGGGGCGGGGGGCAGTGGCGGTAGCCCGGCTGCGGCCACCCGGAGCCTCTAAGGGAGGTGCAGTGTGCTGGAGGTACCTCCCCGCCGCTGCAAGACCACGCTAGGCCTTTCAGCCATCCACCCCGACAACCCAGGGAAGGGACCATCCACCCACAGAGTTGGGATTTGGCCTGGGCTTGACTTGGCGACCTGTTTTTCTCTCCGGTAACAGCAGTTCCGTTGATTCACATTTGGCTAAGCGTTCAGTTACAACCTAAAGCTCACTATCTGACGGTCTGACTCGCTCTGACCCCCACCATATCCTCACTATCTCTACCGCTGCCCTCCTCCAGTCCCCTCTCCCGCCCCAGTATCTGCCCTGCTCCTCACTGCGGGGCTCAAAACTTGGTGTTTGAGCATGATTGCCTTCGGTGTGGTCCTTGGCATTTTCAAGTGTCACAATCACATCCCGTTTCCTAGAGGACTCCAAAGACTTGTTATAATGGGATCGGGGGAGAGAATTGGGTGGGGGGGAATGGAAGAGGGTCTTTGGTAGTCACTTGTTGGAAGAACAGCATTGACCTCCCAGAGCATATGACAAAAAGAATGTTAAGCTTCTTTCTATGGTAACCTACCCAAGGTGTGACCTCCAAAATTCAATTTTCTTTGTGGGAGGCAAGGGAGTTTAGATTCTCCAGGGGGAAGCTTATTTCTTGTTAAATTGACTTGCGGTGACATACACACTGTTCTGCTCTGCTCTGGCCAGCCATTGCAGATGCCATGATATTATTAGAGCAATTCCCTTAAAGCCATTACATTTTCTTTCGAGTGAGAGGAACTCGAGCTAGCTGTTTAAAATTTTGGATCTGCACCTTATTTCTCTAGAAGACATTAATGGTTACTGTATATGCGCTCACGTGTACCAAGTTTGCAAAAGGTATTTGTGCAATCGCCCATGAAATGGGTTAATGCACATTTATGTTAAACCCATTTAAATGTAAAACATCTATCTGTTTTCAATTTTAGTTTCCACCTCGACCAAAGGCACCAGACTGAAATAAGACTTAAAAGAGGCTTCCTTGTTTAAATAGAGGTTTATAGAACTCTAGTCCTGAGAGCACACAGTAAGCTTTCTGAGCTTGTAGGCACACAAAGCTTGTTAAAAATTGTGAAATGGTTCCTTGAGTTAGAAATAATGGAAATGCTTCCAGACCAATTAAGACAGACAATTGATGAAGCTACACTCTCAAGCTGTTGACAGTCTTTGTAAGGTGAATGTTTATAGTACATAATGCATAAATCGGGCTGATTCTAGGCAAATAATATCAAGTAAAAAACCATACCATGTGTTGTATCATACTGGATAGTTTATATGGCATATTGAAATCTACTATTAAAGTGTCTGAGGAAATCATATCTTTATCATCCCCATTTCACAGATGAAACAACTGAGGCTTTCAAAGATTGACTTTTCCAAGATCAATAGCAGAGTTCAGTCAAGTGTTTTTCAAATTCTTTCCTACCTCACCCGTTCCCTTCCTTCCTTCCTTTTTGGTGTTTACCTACTTCTTTGTTGTTTACCTACTTCTGATTTCTGCACCTCTTTTTACTGTTTAACCCATAGCTTGAGGGACCATTGTGAATCATCCCCAAAAGGCTTTGCTGTCTGCTCAATATCATTTAGCTCCCACTAAGGTGAGGGCTGATAAAGAATTAAGGTGAAAACTAGGAATAGTTTTAAAGAGCTACCCTTTTCAAAGAGATACGTTATTTTTGCTAATGAGTTGTTAAAGGTACATATAATCAAACCCCTAAAGGATGATGTCCTAATTGTAATGTTTCAGAAAGACAAGTAACAGTAGGAGAGATGTGTGAGAAATATGTAAGTCTCCTATTTTATAAACACACTCCTTATAAGCTCTGTAGACGATTAACAATAGAAATAATAAATGAATATCTCATTAGTGCTATTCTTATTTTAAAAAGAATTGACAAAATAGATGACTTAAATAAAATCAGAACTACTCTGGAAACACAAAAAGCACCCACTTATCAAAAGTCCTGAAATCCTCATTGACTAGTGTACAAATGTAGCAGAAGACATTGGTTAGAGAGAAATCATATTTTTACTTGCAAAGCTAGCAATAAGAAGCGTACAGATATCTGCCTATCTGATTATTTTTTAAGGGCTCATCATCTGCAAATCTTTTCTTGGAAAATGATTGCTTACAATATTTACTTGTGTCATTGCATACTATTTATTAATGAGATTAATCTCATTTGCAATAACGTGGTTAAGTGTTGAGCTTACTACTAGTAAGTCTTGGTTAAGTATGTGGGCTTTGGATTCAAGTCTTGTCTTCACATACACTAACTGTGGGACTTCAAAAAATGATAGAACTTCTCTGTGCTTTAGTTTTCTTATGTGTAAAGCATGAATAATGCACCTACCTCATGCAGTTTTTAAAATTTATTCATGCAGCAAATATTCAGCAATTGCCTATTAGGTACCAGCTCTGCTCTAGATGCTAGGGATACATGTGCAAACTCCTTGCTAATGAAGTTTACCGTCTGGTGCCTGAAATCTAATGACACAATGCATTTAAAATGCTTGGGATGGGACCTTACACCTACCAAATGCCCCGTTATTGTTAGCTGTTGGTATCATACATTCTTTCAGGAACTGTTCAGAGTGCCTACCAGATGTAACACAGATTGCAGCATGTAATGATGAATGATATGTGTTTCAATTCAATTAAGTCTTCTAATGGAAGAGGGGACTCCAAAGAAGGACATCAAGAGTATAATCAGTCTCTAAAAGGGAATTCAATGCTGATATGTTAGGGAAGAAATGAAAAGAAATACTTAATTTACCCATAAGAAAGTGGGAAGCATACGAATTACCTTATAGAAACCCAAAAGTGATAAGAAAAACAAGTCTTGTACCCAAGCTCTGTAAAACACTAAACTCATAGTGAAAACACATAGGGAAAGTAAAGAAAAGAAAAAGAAAGCTTACCTGGATACATGTAATGAAAAAGGAAAATTTGAAGGGTCAGTTTATTAAATTGACCTTATGAAGGGCAACAGATCCCAGGCATACTAGAAATGGGATAACCAAAAGTGAATTTGTTAAAAAAAAATCCTTGCAATGGATTTCCAAAACGATAATGAAAGTCCCTTAAATACTGTGAAATAAGGATTGTGGAACTACTCATCTTTCATCATACCAAACATGTACTGGGAGATAAAAAGAGATAAAACAGCGTGTAAATGAATTCTTTGCTTCTGTTTTTGCTGAGTAATATTCCTACACCCAGGCTTTCTCAAGCAATACACACATTGGAGGTAATAGATCAAGAAGTGGCAAGTGCTGAGGATATTCCAGACCTAATCAGCAGACTAATTACAGATAAATCACCAAGACTAGATGGCCTTCACCTAAGTATATTGAAGAAGCCTGGTGTGTACGTGACAGCAATCTGGGGTATTGCTGGGGGATTGACTGGTGTCCTTGGGGGCTCCAGTCAGGGGAGGGGTTTCCAGAAGGACTGGGGGCCAAGAAACCAGACCCGTGTCCCTGTGGATGATTGGGAGATGGATATTCAAAGTAAACACAGATTACAGCAAGTAACGATTTTTTTTTTTTTTTTCTGAAGAAGGGGGATTGACGTATTAGAGTTAAAAAAGGAAAATACAGTCATGCACCTCATAACAATGTTTGGGTCAAGAATGCACTGCTTATATGATGGTGGTCCCATACGAGTATAGTGGAGCTGAAAAATTCCTATCACCTAGTGACATCTTAGCTGTGGTGATGTCGTGGCACAACACATTACTTACCTGTGGTAATGCTTGTGTAAACACACTTACTGTGTTACCAGTCTTAGAAGAGTATAGCACGTACAATTATGTACAGTACATACTACTTGAGAATGATATTAAACACCTATGTTACTGATTTATGTATTTACTGTTAATGCAATTTATCATTATCTTAGAGAGAACTCCTACTTATTTTTTTTTTTAAAGTGAACTGTAAACAGCCTCAGGCAGGTCCTTCAGGAGGTATTCCAGAAGAAAGCATTGTTATCATAGGAGATGTCAGCTCCATGCGTGTTATTGCCCCTGAAGACCTTCCAGTGGGACAAGATGTGGTGGTGGAAGACAGTGATATTGATGATCGTAATCCCGTATAGGCCCAGCCTAATGTGTGTGCTTATGTCTTAGTTTTTAACAAAAAATTTTAAAACATGTTTTCATTTAATAGAAAAAAAGCTTACAGAATAAGGATTTGAAGAAAATAAGTTTGTACCATGTGTTTGTGTTTTAAGCTAAGTGTTATTACAAAGGAATCAAAAAGTTAAAACATATAAAAGTTTGTAAAATAAAAAAATTACAGTAAACTAAGGTTAATTTATCATTGAAGAAAGAAAAAATGTTAAAGTAAATTTAGGGTAGCCTAAATGTAGTATTTATAAAACCTACAGTAGTCTACAGTAACGTCCTCAGCCTTCACTTCTACTTCCCACTCACTCACTTGCCACTCACTCACTCACCCAGAGCAACTTACAGTCCTGCAAGCTCCATTCATGGTACGTGCCCTATATAGGTGTATCTTTTTTCTTTTATACCGTATTTTTATGGTACCTTTTCTATGTTTAGATACACACATACTTACTATTGTGTTACAGTTGCCTGTAGTATTTAGTGCAGTAACATACTGCAGAGGTTTGTAGCCTAGGAACAAAAGGCTATACCATATAACTTAGGTGTGTAGTAGGCTATACATCTAGGCTTGTGTAAATATACTCTGTGATGTTCACACAGTGACAAAATCACCTAAGATGGCTCTCTCAGAACATATCTCCATTGTTCAGTGATACATGACTATATGTTTGTTGCCAAGTGTTGCAGGAAATATATTTTAATGTTTCAGAAAGCCTAACCAGGTTTCCGATTCCAGTTCCCTCCTCATTCATGACCTTTTCTTATGAATGGGAAATTGGCTAAGGAAACAAAAAACAAAAAATGGAGATCAATAGGTATATCTCTGAGTGGACAAATAGCCTCTTCCAGGAAGTAGTTTGGGGATGGTCTAATTTAACACTTTTGTAAATGCTTATGGGTGATATGCAGTTCTTACGGTAAGTAAAAACCAAGCTGCTAAAGTTGAACTATAGAAATAACTTAAAAGATCATCTAAATAGGAAGAAAAATAATAGAAGATTAAAGTCAAAATGGAAGATTGAAGATAAGTGTACTTGGAAAAAGCAATCCCAAGAACATTTATAGGAGATAGTTTTAAATTCTGTTCCCATCAGCAGATAGCATAGCTGGCTAGTAGTCTCTCAGCTCTCTAAAACACATGTGTCCACCAAGTTAAAGTCAGTGTTAGAAAAAGTGTAGGTTATAAAACTCTGTATTAATGTGATGCTATTTTAAAAATATATATGGCTGAATAAGTTTATATAAATAAACCCTCTCTATTTGTTCATCTGTGTGGAAAGAAATACATCAAAATATTAACAGTGACTCTCTCTAAGTAATATGGGATTGGAAGTGATTTTTATTATCTTCTTTTACCTGTGTTCTCCAAATTTTCTAGATTAAACACATATTCTTATAAGACAAAACATTATGAAAATAAGATTTAGTATTATAACCTCAGGTTTCATGTAGTGTTAATAGAAAGAAAGCTCATTTGATTATTATTTCTATGTCTTCTGAAAATCTGTAGTTGAAAATTTTTTTGCCTTTTTCTCCCCTCTGAATTCCCCATGTAAAAAGGGCAGCATGTTGAAATAACGTGTGTGTGTGTGTGTGTGTGTGTGTGTGTGTTTGGTGTTAGGAAAAAATGTGGTTGATGTGCTTTTTAAAATAGAACTAGGAAATGTAAAAAGATTTCGTTTTTACATTCAATGGATTTTACATTCAAATCCATAACTCAGGATTTGAAGAACAAAGTTATAGAAGCATTGCTGATTTCTTTCTAGACTGTAAGCGCTATGAGGACAGGCACCGAATCTGTTTCTTTCCTTTCTGACTGTGTAGTGCTTGCCTTGGTGTCTAGCACAGAAGACTCTCCCAGTAAATACGTTGGAATGTTTTGAATTGAATGATAGGATTAAAAACTCTGATAAGCATGTAGAAATTTGAAATAAGAGTTTCTAGGGCCCATTGTATCCTCTGAGGTCATATGATTCACTCACGTTTTAGTTTGTTTCTCTGTAAGTTATCCTGGCAGTCTTTGTATTATATGACCCCTGGGCCACAAAAGTGGTTTGTGCTGGTCATCTGGGATCCTCTGGCTTATTCTCAAGTTTTGATCCAGCTCCTGCCACTTGCATCCATCTCTCATTTCAGTTGGTTTTGTGCTTTGGGGCTGGTGTTTTGTTTCTTTCCTTGGCTCTGGATTTTGTCTCTCTTTCAGCCTTTGGCTTGGGTTCATCATCTTTTTCTCCCACTGTGGACACCAGTGTATATAATCCCAGTTAGCTCTGGCCCCCTTTAAAAAAAAAACTTATATTTTAGGTTCAGGGGTACATACACAGGTTTGTTAGATAGGTAAATTGCATGTCACAGGGATTTGGTGTACAGATTATTTCCTCACCCAGGAAATAAGCATAGTTCTCAATAGGTAATTTTTCATTCCTCACTCTCTTCCCACCCTTTACCCTCAAGTAGACCCCAGTGTTTGTTGTTCTCTTCTTTGTGTCCACGTGTTCTCAATGTTTAGCTCTCACTTATAAGAGCATGTGGTATTAGGTTTTCTGTTCTTGGATTAGTTCACTTAGGATAATGGCCTCCAGCTTCATCCATGTTGCTGCAAAGTACGTGATCTCATTTTTATGGCTGCATAGTATTCCGTGGTGTATATGTACCACATTTTTTTTAATCCAGTTTACTGTTGATGAGCATTTAGGTTGATTCCATGTATTTGCATTTAGGTTGATTCCATGTATTTGCTATTATGGATAGTGTTGCAACGAACATACACATTCATGTGTTTTTATGTAGAACAATTTGTATTCCTTTGGGTATATACCCAATAATGGGATTGCTGGGTCAAGTGGTAATTCTGTTTTAAGTTCTTTGAGAAATTGCCAAACTGCTTTCCACAGTGGCTGATCTAATTTACAATTCCACCAGCAGTGTATAAGAGTTCCCTTTTCTCTGCAACCATGTCAGCATCTTTTATTTTTTGGCTGACCCTTCTTGATAAGCTAGAATCTTTTAAAGAGTGGTTTATACCACAAACTATTAAATATTAACAATTGAATATTACTGTGGTCTGAATAGTGGCATACCTCCAAAATTATGTGTTGGAACATAATCCCCAATGTAATAGTATCAAAAGGTGGGGCCTTTTGGACAGAGCCCTCATGAGTGGGATTAGTGCCTTTATAAAAGAGGTTGAAAGGAGCTCCCTTGTTTCTTCTGCCATGTGAGGACACAGCAACAAGGTGCCATCCATGAGGCAGAGAATGAGCCCTCACCAGACACCAGATCTGCTGGTATTGTCATCTTGGACTTCTCAGCCTTCAGGACTGTGAGCAATAAAATTCTGTTATTTATAAATTACCCCGGCTAAGGCATTTTATTATAGCAGCCTGATGGACTAAGACAAATATTAACACCTGATCCCCAGAAGGGATCTAGGAGTCATTGTAGATTGTTCTCCAATATTAGCTTAATAAGGCACTGTAGTCAGATTATTCAGTAATATCCCTGGTATTGTCAGCAGGAGTCTTGGCAGAAGAACAGAAAATTTTATGTTGTTTTTACATAAAATCTGGTATATATGTTACAACATGCAACCCTTATTGTCATTTTCAAGAAAGACAGATAGGGAGGAATTGGATAAGAGCAATAACATGGTCAAGCCAGTGCCCAGGACTTTGAGTGAGGACTTAGGGGAAGTAGCTATTTTCTGACGACAGAATGTAAATAGAACTCTGGCTTGGAAGATAAAGACTCAAGGGATAGGAGCCTAGTGTATACATTATGAAGGTCACTGCCTGCTAGAGAGTCTTCTTTAACTAATCCGACTCCAAGACTAACACAGACCAACCCAAAGACTACGTATAACCAGAAGGCCATAGGGCAGGAACTCCTGCTTGCCATCAGGTGCTTCTCTTTGAGGGAGTTCTTGAAATGGTCCACGGCTCAGGTGTGAAGAGATGAGATCTATATTGGACAGGTTCTGGAGCCATCGTGGCTTAGAAGCCTCATTCCCCTAGGAGTTGATATCTCTTGTAACTCCATAGACAAAGCTTCCAAGGTCTCATAGGGATGTGCCCAGTTTCCAGAATCATGGCCCTCAGGGAAGCCCCAAGCATGGTGTCCTATCAGGTAATTTTAGTTTTCAACCAGCCTACCAATTACAGTCATAGCTGTAACTTGTTACTATGACGTTTTTACTCTTATCAGGTTGCTACAATAAAACAGCTAGACAGATACCCAAAGTCAAATTCTCATGCACAGTTACAAGTAGAGTGAATTTGCATTATTTTTCACAAAAATTAAAAACTAGAACTAGAATACATCTGTTGATATCTGAAAACAAGGGATTTTAGACAGAAAGCAATGAGGTCAGACTATGTAATACCCCTACCTCCTGTCCTGCATTCCCCCCTGCTCATCCTTATTCTCTGGACAAGAGGATGCAAAGTAAAATTAAAAATAGGTTCAAAAGTGTTTAGGTGTATGCGTGAGTAATTACCACATAATGGATTGTTAGGCAAAACGAAAGTATTGGGTGTAAAATCTTCATCTTTTGCTAGAATTTTTATTGAATTCTTTTAATTCAGATTCCTGATCACCTAACCGAATGAATTCACAACAACTTTTGCAGCAGTTATGACTTGTTCTCAGCCATAGATAAAGGAATTCGTAAACCCAGGATTGTCCTACTATTTCTGCCTTTTCTTTTGGAAATCATTATTGCTACTTGAACTACCAAAAAAAGTATATTTAAGCATTCCAGGTGATTAAATAACAATGCAGTTAGTGTGTTTTTGTAGTAGGATTTTGGGTAAACATTTTCAAAAAATATTTAATATTTTTATGACCTAAAAAAGCAGGAGAGATAAAGGTTATTTTAAGCACAATTTTTAGTGCCTTGTAGTATAACATATTAGCCCAGATGTACATGTTACTTAAATTTCTATCAAGATATCTAGAAATACTAGTTCTTTTATGCTGTTACAGAACTTTAGATAATATAATCATTTACTTGCACTTATAATAACAGCATTTATTACCCTCTACTTTTACTTACATGGTTTTTCATCCACAGGACTCTACCTGCTTGTGAGAGATTATGTTAATTTTCCATTGGCAGAGAGGCAATGTAGAGGGAAGGTTGGAGGTCTGGGCTCTCCTGTAGTGTAATTCTGCCTCCACCAGTTGCTACCTGTGTGACCTTGGGCAAGTTATTTAGTTTCCTCCAATTTTACCGGCTACACCATTAACTAGCTGGCTGACCTTTAGCCAGTAGGTCACCCACTGGGCATCATTTGCTTCAGCTGTACAAATCAAAAGGCTTTACTAAATTCCCAGATGTGTAGGAACCAACATATAGTTTTTGACATTTAAAATTACCCATTAATGCTGATCTAATAAAATTGCTTTGATTAACTGAAAGTGTGGCATAATATTGGTATATAGACTAAAATAAATAAACATTCAAGAATTCTTGTCTTCTAAGAACATGAGACCTCTAATAAATAATTTAAAAGGTGTAGCACATCCCCCCAGAATATATTTTCTTGCTATGTAGATCTTCACTGTTCTTTGACTCGCCATGTGGAATACATTTAATTTCTTAGAAAATTTTCAATCTTGGAGAAAAAAATTCACTTTCAAGTGTTCTAAAAATATTGCCATTTAAAAATACTGACTTTAATAGAAGTAATATCCTGCGTTTATATAGTGGCTTTTCATGGAAGATCAAAGGAATGGTATTAGAAGTACATGGTTTTTCTTTTATGTATAACTTCATAGGAGAATTTTCTTTTGTTGAGTTCTTTTAATTCAGATTCCCGATCTGAATTAAAAGAACTACCCGAGTGAATTCACAAAAAGTTTGCAGCAGTTGTGCCTTTTTCTCAGTCAGGTGTGTCCTTGGTCAGGGGTGTCCTTCCATCCATTATTCCACAATTTACAATGCTTCTCATCCTTCAAAGCCTAGTTCAATGCAGCCTCCCCAAAGATGCCTTTTCTCCTGATTCCCTCATCAGTGTAAATTTTGCTCTTTTACGTATACCTGTATTTTGTAGTAACATATTCTTTGTTACATTCTCTACATTCTCTTGTTACCTGTATTTTTAGTCTTATTTCTCATGGATGCCAACATGAACATAATGTTTTGCATAGAGTAAGCCCTCAGTCAATATGCTTAATAGAATAATGCCTTTCATAGAGAAAAGCTGTAAAGATCTGGGGGGAATCACAAAGGATTGCATCTTAGACTCGTTGTGCTACTATAACAAAATACCTGAGACTGGGAAATTTATATCAAACAAAAATTTATTTCTCACACATCTGAGGCTGAGAAGTCCAAGATCAAGGCACCAGCTGGTGAGGGCACAGTCTCTCTGCTTCTAAGATGGCACTTTGTTGCTGTGTCCTCACACAGGGAAAGACAGAAGAGCAAGTGAGTTAAGGCCATGTGAAGAAGTCTCTTCTATAAGGCCCTAATCCCATTTGCGAGGGAGGAGCCTTCATGCATAATCACCTCTTGAAAGTTCCATCTCTTAATACTGTCACATGACCACACCTGAATTTTGGAGGGATCACAGGGAAACCATAGCAGATTGGTTTAGATGGAAGGGATAGGTTTTGCATTATATGACAAACTGTTACCTAATTTTGGTCCCTGGATGTCCAGGAAGAACAAATGAATACCACAAGCTATACACATTCTTCTTAGAGACTCTACTCTGCTGCTGTGTCCTTATAATGAATACCTTTTAGGTATTGAGGGTATTCACAAAACAGACTCTAAGCCCTGAGTTGCCCATGACCTAGGACTTTGGAAAGTTAGGTATGATATTTTTACCCTTACCCTGGGGAAGGCACAAAACTATTAATGAAGGATATGCCCCCATGACCCAAATGCTAGGCCCCACCTTCAACACTTGGGATCACATTTCAACATGAGATTTGGATGGGATACAACACCCAAACCATATCAGTGGGTAATTTCTATTTTTAAAATATACAAAAGTTTAAGGAAGAAAATAATCATTCCCCATTTTATCACACAGATTTAATTATTCGTGTGTAATTTCTTTATTATTTTAATGATATTCTTTTTCTCTGTGTCACATGGTGGCTACCTAGTTATGGATACAGCATATGTTGAATGTATTTGATCCTTATCTTCCTAGAGTAAACCAGAGGCCAATATAGCAAATTTACTATGTATAAAGATGTACACTGTTCTTCTATGCTACTGAAAAACTCTTTCATCAGTAGTCTCCCATGTGGCCTCCTATTTGTGGGAGGGAATAATGTGCATAGTTAGGGCTGGTATTTTTTAAACAAAGAAATAGACAAGGCCAGATCTGTTTAATCTCTAACGGCCAGTGTTCTTTCTGTTCATTCCCATAGATTAGAATCACAGCCAACTGGCTTAAAATGTTGTTTTAAGGAGCACCAGGTGAGAGGTGGCCAGATCAGCATCAGCTCCCCACAGTCCTGATAAATGACTCAGGTTTGAACTCCTCCTGTTGCCAATGTTGTTATTCTTTGGTAAGGTGAACCAGGCAAGCAAAAATCAACATGGTACAAAAAAATTTTTCTCACCAAAGCTATTTGGAGGCTCAACTTTCTCAATGAAGGGCACTGCATTTCATAGATAGAATAGCATTTTAAAGACATGTACTGTCTATAATGGTACTTTCTTCTCAGTTGGGAACTATTTAGGAGAGATCTGTGCTAGAGGAGACAGTTTTCAGCTAGGACATGCAAATTCAAGAAAGGTCCAGTGCCATAGCGTCTACAAGACGTCTTGTAGAGAAGCAAGCAGACTCATTTCCTATAGCTTCTGGGCAGTTCTGGCATTGCATGTGTGTTTCAGATCTCTTCCGGAGAAGCAGTGTACTGAATAAGATCGAACATGGAAAATGGAAAGGAAGAGTGGGCAGAGAAGAAGGAGCTAAAGAACTTTTAATAAAGAAAGTATCATCTACTTTATAATAGATTAAAAAAAAACTTTTCGATCCTATCTGATTCCTGTCCTATCAGAGAAATCCCTAAAATGAACAAATTTGAGGAGAATGACAAACATCCATCTGCCTTAAATTATCTTCCAAATTTCTGCCACTCCCAGCTTCAAAGCCACTCCTTTGGCAAGTCATTGATTCAGCCTTAGAAGATCACTGTTAAAAGCCTTCCCTGAAGGGAAAATCATGCTCGTTAATGAATGAATCTAAGCTGGGTAACATACTCTTCCAGTAGGCAAGTGAAAGCTGGGGGAATATGAGTCCAAGCAAGGGGACTGAGATGGGGAAATAGAGGAGGTAACTTTTTCCTTGTAAGATGTGGGTGGAAAGGAAAGATGTTGAGATCTTTGCTTGTTTCCCACTTTCATCTAAACTCTCATCATGCTGTTTGCTGAATTATCAACCACCAATTAGTGGTAGGTTTTAGGCCAAGCCAGGTAACTTCTTTGAACTTCAGTTTCCTCAAAATGATTGCTTAAGATCAGCACTTCCAAAGGAGGACCTGTAAGGAAAAACACTGGTTCTGTGGGATATTACAGGAAAAAAAAAACAGTGGATTAAAAATGTTTTTGTTTTTTGAGTTGCAGGACTTTTAGAACATTTAGTAACTGAATGTTCACTCTATATATCTGAAAGAAGGTGTGATATATAATATTCAGTGATTCCCAGACCTATTTGACAGTGATACTCATTTTGAGGGTTCATCTTGAGGGTCAGTGTTTTCTGAACACAAAATATTGGACTATCTGGTGTCTGACGTCCTTCTATGTTTTAAATTCTGTGAATGTACAATTAGTTTGTCTCTCCTCCTATTTCTTTCCTAGCCAGCCCCCTTGCCTCTTACCTAGAACTGTTTTTGTGTTGTGTGTAAACCATTTGATCAACAATGTACTCTGTTAGAAAATCTCTGCATCTACTTTAAGAGAAGTGCATGTTGAGATAGTGCAAATCTGCAAGCTATGCACTTTTCCCTTTTATTTTTATATTTTAGACTACATTAAGTCAAAGGCAGTCAAAAAGCAAACAATAAATTCCCCAAGTGCTGTACACCCTGCCCAATATCCTAATAAAAATATTGAAACATTTATACTAATAGAGGGGATAATATTTCAGAAAAGAATAATTTACAAAAGACCCAGGTTTTATTCCGACAGAGGCGTTTCTAAGCAAAGCAGGGCAATTAATCATAGAGCTGTAACATAAAGATGAAAAGATGAATACTGAATATATAGAAAATGTGCGCTATTCTTCCCTTCATCTTTAGAATTACAAAAGATGTTTATCACCCCTTGCCTTACCAACACCAATCTTGGATTTTTTATTTGGCTTCTGCACCAGATTCACCCTTGACTTGATGAGGAGCAGGTAAAAGCTGAAGTGCTTTGTGGGAGTGGGTGCGGGAGTGGAGGAAGGTATAGACATCCAGGATGTAGGATGGCTGTGTCTGAATTAGACCTCCTCCTACAAAAATAGCTCCTCTTCCAGATGTTTTTTAAAGTGAGGGAATACAAGGTGGTCATCTGTAATCTCTTGAGTCAGAAAGAGAAAGAGGCAGGCATAGTGTCTTGTGCCTATAGTCCACCTACTTGGCAGGCTGAGGCAGGAGTATGGATTGAGTCCAGGAGTTTGGGGCTGCAGTGTGCTGTGACTGCACCTGTAAATAGTCATTGCATTCTAGCCTGAGCAACACAGTGAGACTCCATCTTTAAAAAAAATAAAAAGAGAGTAAGGATTCTCACTGAGACACCCCCCGACCCCATCTCTGAAAAAAGAATGAATAAAGAGTAAGGATTCACACTGACTATTTTTCATATACTTATTGTTGCATGTCGTGAATTCTCTGAAAGTAAAATGATCTGAATATCTACAGGTAACCTACAGGTAATCTATAGCAGACATCTTACTGTAGGCTATGTGTTTGGTTTGATTGTCTATGGTCCACCCTTAATTTAAATTTTTTTTTTTTTTTTTTGAGACGGAGCCTCGCTTTGTTGCCCAGGCTGGAGTGCAGTGGCGCGATCTCAGGTCACTGCAAGCTCTGCCTCCTGGGTTCATGCCATTCCCTGGCCTCAGCCTCCCGAGTAGCTGGGACTACAGGCACCTGCCACCACACCTGGCTATTTTTTTTTTTTTTTGTATTTTTTAGTAGAGACAGGGTTTCACCATGTTAGCCAGGACAGTTTTGATCTCCTGACATTGTGATCCACCCACCTCGGCCTCCCAAAGTGCTGGGATTACAGGTGGGAGCCAACGCACCCGGCCTTAATTTAAATTTTTAAGAATATTTGTCAAATTTTCTGGTATTTGAATTCAAGCTTACCTCTGATGAAACATTAATATTTCTATTTAGTTTTCCTTGTCTTGTTTAAAAAATTGGAATTTGTTGTGTGCATTTGATTATGTATATTTTAAAACTCCAAATTGCATTTTGAAATTTGGCAGACAACTGATAACTGTATTTTTCTCAAATATATAAAAGATATATTAACAATATTAGCTTTGCTCTGAGGTCTCGTAGGTCTGTAGCCTCCTTGAGTTGCCTTAGTGAGGCTTCCAAACTGCACCGTGCTCCAGTTTTTGAATTAAACTCTTCCATTTTTAGAGGCCACCTTTACTATTCTCCTGAACATATAAATGATGCCTTAGTTTACTAGTCTCAAGCCCTGGCAGAGAATAGATGTCAAGTAGATATTTGATGAGCAGACTCTCCCTACTTGATCAGTGTTTCTTGAATAAATGAATAAATTGTTAATGATAAGTGCTTATTATAATTGTCACCACTTTTATTCCAGTAATGTAGCCACTGCCTGGCATCTAATACTATTTTTTAAAAACAGTTAAAAAATATTTTTTTTTGTAACTCACAAACTTGATGTTAATTCGTATTTAATGTTTGTTTTTCTATTTAAAAAAATGCATAAAGTTAAAATTATTGTACATAAAAGTTTTTACACAGATTTCACAAAGCTGAACACATGTGTCTGTGCAATTGGTTCTGTACTGCAGCAGCTCAATGAACTTGGGAGAGACCTGAGTCCTCTCACGTAGGACTGAGTTGCTCTTTATGGGACTGAACATAAGTGCCATAAAACCACTTGGTAGGGTTTGTTTTGGCATGTTACAGCATTTCCCCTCGGGAATGCTCAAACATTTTATGGATGGAGGATTTCCATAAAGTCTTCTACATAACCTTCAAGTCATCTTGTGTGAAAAAGAACTTAGTTTGCATTTGTTCTGTAGATAATTGTTGATGTTTTATAGGTAACACTCTAGATGTGTAGAAAGATTGAGGCTTTCCAGGCACTTCTCAGACTTACTGACTAGTAAGTCTCTGTTATTAAAAACTAGTTTTGTTTTTTGTTTTTTGAGACGGAGTCTTGCTCTGTCACCCAGGCTGGAGTGCAGTGGCGTGATCTCGGCTCACTGCAACCTCCGCCTCCCGGGTTCTAGCGGTTCTCCTGCCTCAGCCTCCCAAGTAGCTGGGACTACAGGCAAGTGCCACCACGCCCAGCTAATTTTTGTATTTTTAGTAGAGACGGGGTTTCACCATGTTGGCCAGGATGGTCTTGATCTCTTCACCTTATGATCCGCCCGCCTTGGCCTCCCAAAGTTCTGGAATTACAGGCGTGAGCCACTGCGCCCTGCCTAAAAACTAGTTGTTTTTCTCACAATTCTGGAAGCTTGGCAGTCAGAGGTCAAGGTGCTGGCAGGTCTGGTGTCTGGTGACTTGCAGATGGTGGCCTTCTTACTGTATTCTTACATGGGGTGGGGTTGGAGGGGAAGGTGAGAGAAGAGAGGGCGAGAGAGAGAAGAAGAAGAGAAAGAGGAGGAGGAGGTGGAGGAAGAAGAGAGAAGAGAGAGAAGCAAGTTCTTCTATGTCTCATTAAGAGCACTAATGCTATTCAAGAGAGCCCCACCATCATGATCTCCCAAAGGTCCCATCTCCAAATACTGTCGCATCACATTGGGGTTTAGGGTTTCAGTGTATGAATTTTGGGGGACACAAACATTCATTTTATGGTACGTATCATTCTTTTTTAGGTTGGGCAGGGAACAGGCTCCTCATCTCTCTCTGGCGTTCCCCCTATTTTCCCCAATTCCCTAACAATTTGACCAAAGCCATGGCCAACATCATCACTTGACAAAATGGAATTGATTTGTTAAAGCGCTTGTTTATTTTAAGAATCAACCTAAAGGAAAAAGAATTCAAGTTACTTATTTTGGGGTCTGGATTGAAATTTTATTTGCTGTAATTTTATCCCCAAAATGACAGATTCCTTTTTCATATTTTTTGAGTGGGTATTTGTGTCATTTTTTTGGCAGCACTTAAGAAACTATCTCTTATTGGTGATTTTGAGAATTGTTCATACTTGAACAGAGATTATGAGCTTAAGTTTAAATAGCTTTGAAATCTTTAAAAAATAGTTACATCTTTTAATTGCATGAACACTGTCTATATTTAACATGTCCAACTATTTAAATGACCTAATATTTTATATTTGCCAATGCAAGCATAGCAACTGTCAGGCAACAAGTACTTTTTTTCTGGGCCCTACCCAGGGATATTAAAAAATAGAGTGGAGCTGGGCGTGGTGGCTCAAGCCTGTAATCCCAGCATTTTGGGAGGCCGAGGCAGGTGGATCACCTGAGGTCAGGAGTTCAAGACCAGTCTGGCCAACATTGCGAAACCCTGACTCTACTAAAAATACAAAAAAAAAAAAAAAAAAAAAAAAGAGTGGAAGACACAGCAACTGTTCTCATGGAACTTGGCTTCTCTCCCTGTCTCTCTCTTTAAATACCCAAGGGCCAACTTGTGCCAATCATAGTTCTGGGTGGAAATACAATAATAAATGAAATGGATAAAAGTCTCTAGGGATAAAGCAGTGAACAAAAACCACAAAAAATTCCTGTCCTGGTAGAGCTTACATTCTACAGGAATAGAGGCAGAAAATAAGGAAATAAATAAGAAATGTGCAGTATGTTAGGCGGTGGTAAGTGCTATGGAGAAACTAAAGCGAGGAAGGGGAGAGGAAGTACAGGGGTGGGTGGGAGGCAGCTGGTACCTTTAACTGTGGTTGTCATGGATGACTCCACTGTGAAGGTATCACATGAGCACCTGGACCAGCTAAGGGAGAGAGCCCTGAGGACCTCTGTGGGAAGAGCCCTCCAGGCAGAAATGCAAAAGTGCTGTGATGGCCTCATGCCTGGCTTGCCCTCCAAGAAGGCAGGTAGAGCAAGCCAGGGGGAGTGTAGTAAAAAGTCAAAGATGTACAGGGCAGGCTGTCCAACATGCAAAGCCTTAGAGGTTATCACACTATGTTGATTCTTCCCCCACTCTCTTCCTTCCTTCTTTGTGAGTTGGGGAGCCATTAGAAAATTCTGCACTGAGGAATGACCTGATTAAATGATTTTAAAGATCACTGGTTACTGTGAGAATAAATATAGGAAGGCAAGGTTGGAAAGAGGGAGACTAAATAAGAGGCTGTTGTAGCAGTCCAGGTGTTGGCTTAGATCTGGGTGGTTGCAGTGGAGATGCTGAAAAAGGGCATTCTTTGTCTATTTGGAAAGAGTGGAGGAGAGGATCTCAGAAGGATAGGATGTGGAGTATAAGTGAGAAAGCAGTGTCAAGCATGCTTCTAAGGTTTGGGACCTGATAACTGGAAGGGTGGGGCTGTCATTTACTGAGATACAAAGACTGAAGAGTAACAGATTTGGAAGAGGATCATGTCAGGTGTGCACACCTTAGATTTGAGACACCTATTAGGCTTCTAAATGGAGAAATGGAGTAGGAGGTTGGGAATATGAATATTAATTCAGGGGAGACATCTGGGCTGAAGATGTAATGATGGGAGCTTCATGATCTCAGTAAAAGCCATAAAAGGGGAGCAAATCCTCGAGAGTGAGGAGATGAGATCAGTCTGTCAGAGACAGAGTGAAGACAATGAAGTTGCAGTTGTGTGCTCCATTATTATTTGCTGTAGGTACAGAGAGAAGTAGGAATTTGTGGGCTAGAAAACTGAAGCAACTTTCATGAAAAGTGTGGGACTTGGACTGGTCCTTGCAAGTGGTTAGGATTTGGAGGGTTAGAGAAAATGAGGAGAGGGCATTTTGGTTAAAAGTTACCAGAATTAAACACAGTGCAATATGAGGTAGTAAGGGAAAACACACCAAAGTCATGATGGGATTTTCTCATGTGTGGAAGCGGTAATACTTGAAGATTTTGTTCAGTCTGTTTCCAAGGATCATGATATGCAAATGATAAAGAGACTTGGGTCCCATTAAATTTTTTAACATTTCCCAATACTTTGCTAACAGCTTTTCCTCCTTACCCTTGCAGCTGGTGCTGCCTTATATTTTGTAGTAACTTGAAACTGACATGTGGGGAATTTTAAGTACATATGTTATCAAAACATGTTTCACAGACTTTATAGACTATCAGGAGGTCATCTTGTCTTTCAAAAAGCAGCCTGGAATTTGAATTTAGTTCCTCTTATAATTTCATGCTCCAAAGTAACTATATGAGAAATTTAAAATTTATTAGCAACTTTCTCTTGTTCTTAGATTTTAGAGAGATGGCAATTTCATTAAACCTGAAAAAAAAATATATATGCTATGTTACCTAGAGGCAGATTATTGAATAACTTTACTTGCCTGGTGATAAATCTAAGGTGCATGAGTATTTTAACGCTTTCCCAGCAACTTTGGGGTTACATTTTTAAAAAGGAAAAAAATCAACAACCCTGCATTCCTTTTTGATACAAAGTAACAAAGCAAAAATGAACCTCATAAAAGAATACAAAGGATGCCAGCTTCAGAACAAATGGTTAGAGACATTGTGCCTTTTGTCCCCTCTCCCCACTTTTTCCTAGAATCTATGTAAGAATCAGGTATTGTTTTTATTCTGTCAAAGGTTTTCATGGAGTTGCAAAAGCTAAGGACTTTGGCAGAACTCTCTGAAGTAAGAGCAAATTATACATTTCGTTGTTCATTTTCCTTAAAGAATGCCTTTAAAATAATGTGGTGTTAATTGTTTGGCATAACCAGGTGTGACATTCCATATGCCCATTTGTTCTTTGGGTTTCAAGGAGGTTCAGAGTACAACTCCTGCAGGACTTGACAGTTTATCTGTGTCCCTTGAATCCTGCAGGTGTTGGCTGGAGAGTAGTAAGCAGTTAGTGGCAAAGGGGTTTATAAAGAAACCCTGTGGACTCTCTAGTGCTGTCCAGTAGAATTTTCTATCCTATTCTTGGTGACAGGAATATTCTATGTATGTACTTTCCAATACGTGGGTAGATGCTACCCATACTGGCTACTGAGTACTTGAAGTGTGGTTAGTACAGTTGAGGAACGAATTTTAAGTTGATTTCATTTTAATTAAATGCAAGTAGCCACATGTAGTTAGTGTCTCCTGTGCACTTGTTTTTATTCTGTAAATAAAATAGTGACTGCCCAGCCAAAGCTAACAATTCATCTTGGGCTTTCTGGAGCACAGAGTGGACAGATGCCCACACTACCCTTGCCGGGGCCTTTCTGCCATCCTGGTGAGTGTCCACAGGCAGATCTTTCACACAGGGACATGGCACCCCTGCTTATTTCCAGGAACTGGACGGTATACAGGACTTTTTGAAATGCCTCCCTCTTGTCCTTCCCAGAAGTGGGGAGAAGGAATAAGGAAAAGCAGAATGACATTAGATGAGGTGAGGTCATTTTTATGGTCTTAAAGACCTTTTTCTCACAGAGATATTTTAAAAAATAGCCTAGGCTGGGTATGGTGGCTCACGCCTGTAATCCCAGCACTTTGGGAGACCGTACAGGTGGATCACTTGAAGCCAGAAGTTCGAGACCAACTTGGCCAACATGGTGAAACCCTGCGTCTAATAAAAATACAAAAATTAAATGGGTGTGGTGGTGCACACCTGCAATCCCAGCTACTCGGGAGGCTGAGGCATGAGAATCCCTTGAACCTGGGAGGTGGAGGTTGCATTGAGCTGAGATCATGCCACTGCACTCCAGCCTGGGTGACAGAGTGAGACTCCATCTAAAAAAAAAAAAAAAAAAAAAAAGAAAGAAAACAAGCCTATTTGAGTATTTTATTACTGACTGAGAATTATCCTGGGCCGTAGATGTTAGAGGCAGCATTAGTACATACTGATCTTGCTGGTGTCTTGAAAGTGAGAATTCTGTGAAGAACCAAATTTCATACCTGGAGGAAGATTGCGTGTTCATAAGGAATATTCTCTAGATTATTATTTTAAAAATTTAAAAGTGGATTATTGAAGGTCTACCATGCACCTTCACGTAAATACAAAATGTGTATGTATTGTTCCAGGAAGGGGGTTATTAAAGAAAGGCATAGATAGCACAGGACATAAAAATGATGAAGATTGGGTCACTGTAAGCCAAGGAAGGGCTGAGTGTGTGACAAAGACAGGCGCTGGGCCCCACCCCAGGATTCTCCAGAAGGATGTTGCTGTTATGGAAGTCCTGGTTAAAATCACACTCCGGGAGCATGGTAGGTGGTGCAGGATAAAGGAGGTCTTTTGTCTCTCGGTGGTCAGTTTTTACACTGAAGAAGTTGGCCACAGTCTTACTGCTGCTGTGGTGAGCTGCCCCTGCCCTGCGCCAGTATCAGAAGCTGTCCCAGTTGAATTTGCTGAGAAAGGTGTTTAAAAAGATTTGTTGGTTGATATTTCTGTGGACATTCTGCCACTCTCACTTGTAAAACTAAATGGAGCTTATGTGCCAGGGACCATGCTTCACTTGCCATCTAAATGAGGAGGAAAAAAATGTGTACATGGAAGAAGAAAACTAACGATAAAAAATGCTATAAGGTAGATCCCCAATGAGTGGTGCAGACAGTAACTGCCATATCCGATAGTTGTCTTCAAATGCATAAAGGGCTGGCAGGTGGAAGAGGTGTTAGACTTACTCTCTGGGGCTCCGGAAGGCAAAACTGGTGGTATTTCTTTTTAATTAAAAAAATGATTTTTGAAGGCCTATTTATGTAGAGTACTCTGGGGAGAGAGAATGATTTAGGAGAGGACAGCATGTTCAGGATATGGAGATGTGACAGTGGCTGCAAGTTACAGGGAAGTTCATTCCAGTGAATAGAAGGGAGAGCTTCAGAAAACACAACAGGCTGCTGTGAGGAGGTTATCCCCCTTCATCGGAGGTGTTCACAAAGAGACCTTGCCTACTGGCTGGGAAAGGGGATTCATACTGGTAGAGCAGGGGTCAGTCAAATCTGGGTGGCTACCTCCTTTTGTAAATGAAGTTTTGTTAGAACTCAGCCATTGCCCATTTGTGTACGTATCCTGCATGGTTGGTTTTGCACTACAATGGTAAAAGTGTGTAATTGGGACAGAGATCACTTGTCCCTCAAAGCCTAAAATATTTGTTATCTGGCCCTTTATAGAAAAAGTTTGCTGGGCCCTACATAGGATTGGATTTAGAGATATGTAAAATCCTTTTTAATTTTCTGGTTGTAAGGGATTCAGAAAAGAAGACAAAAGCCTTGTGGGAAGTCTGAAGAAGGTTTCTTGCAAGATGTGAACTTTCGGTTGGGCCTTAAAAGAAAACGCTTGCTGGTCCTGGCAGAGGAGGCCTGTCCACATGGAACACTTGAGCAGATCTCAAGAGGACTGCATCTCTGGTCCTTGAATGCAGTGTACAGACTCATTCCAGCATCCATGCATTCATTCATGCATTGTGACTCCAGCATATTGCAGGCCAATGTAGTCATCTACAAACACTTCTTGGCCTGCTCTTGGTAAAGTAAGCACAAATTCTGGCATGAGCTGTTGGCATTTTGTTACTAACTTTGCCAGAGTGAAAATGCTCGTGAAGTTCAATGTTTATCATTGAGTTTTACAGAGTTATTTTATTTTAAGTATAATTGTCTCACCTAGAGACAACTTAGAATTTATTTATATATTCTGCTTAATTGTAGGATGTAAGAAATGATGGTTCCAAAACGAAAACCTCACTGTATTTGTAGGAGATGCAACTCGGAGTGTTAAGGATAGGATGATGCACATTACTATTCATGCCTTTTTAATTGATTAGCCTTTAAGGCTTCTGCAAGCCTTTAAAAGTTGTTTTGTCAACATTAGACCAGCTGCTGTGTAATTATGGTAGCTCTTCTTGCAGTTAAATTCCTTTAATAACGTGTTCAATCTGCCGATGCCAAAGTGCTTTGAACCTGTGATATATACTATGGAGAGCTTTTGTTTTTACTTACAGATGGTCGGTGTCATTTTCTGGGCAACTCTAGAATTTTCACAGAAATTTTAAAGATGAATTACTTGAAAATGGAAGGCAAATGAATTTGAACATCAGGTTACTCCTCCCCCTATAAAATTTGTTCATATGTGACTTGAATTTTGAACTTGGCTCATAACAACATAAATGTGCTCATTAAAAAAAAAAATTCCACCTTGAAACCTTTTTAAGGCTCTTTTCTCTGACTCTCCAGCTTGTAAATTAAATCAAATCTTTCTGGCACCAGAGAGATGATGGTGGAAACAGTGGGCCTGTAACAAAGATCACTTGTTAATGAGGAGCCACAAAAGGGTGGTTCTGCCTTCCATTCAGGGGCTGAAACTTCACTCAGAAAACTGAGTGTGAATTTAGCAGTGTGTGAAGTCTGGCATGAGAACATATAACTAGTGATAGGGTCTGGTGTCAGAAAGATACAAACAGAAGATCCTGTGTTTGTCTCCTCCCAGATTCACCTGTCCTTCCTCCCGCATTGGGTTGTACTGGTGGATAAGGCATGAGAGGTGGGAGCAGTGATGATGGTGGCTGTAGAGGCTGCCCCTGTTAGTTCAGGCCATTTTGGTGGCTTCCTTCCTATAGCCATTTTTTTCCCTCCAAGATGGAGTCTTGCTCTGTGACCCAGGCTGGAGTGCAGTGTCACGATCTCAGCTCACGGCAACTTCTGTCTCCTGAGTTGAAGCAATTCTCCTGCCTCAGCCTCCTGAGTAGCTGGGATTACAGGTGCATGCCACCACACCCGGCTAATTTTTGTATTTTTAGTAGAGACGGGGTTTTACCATGTTGGCCAGGCTGGTCTCAAACTCCTGACCTCGTGATCTGCCCACCTCAGCCTCCCAAAGTGCTGGCATTACAGGCATGAACCACCGCACCTGGCCTCCTATAGCATTTTAAAAGGCAAACCATTCAAAACAGAGGCACAGAGCATCAACACATGAAGGAATAAGAGATTAGACCAAGCTACAGCAGCTTTCTATGGCCCCATTATTTAATTTGTATTAAGGAATGCACCTGTGTTGTTGGAAAACCATGAGACGAGTCCATCAACCACCTGCTCACCTTTTCTTTTCACTGTACAGCATAAGGGGGCTTGGAATGCAATTAACCTTATACATTGTGAAAAAGCCGACATGCTTCAAGCTTGAATAGAAGTTCAAGAATATTAATGACCTGCAAAATTTGAAGAAGCAGCTAACCTTGGCGATATTGGCTTACGTAATGGTAGGGCTAGCCAAAAATTGTGCCTCCTGTACTCACTCACAATGTGCAGATTTGTTTGCCTTGAAAGCTCGTGAGCCCTGAGAATTGGGGCATTTAAGAGTTTGAGGAACCATAGACTTATGAGCATAGAGCACTTGTGGTGTTATGAAGTAGCCACTAGACACTCAAATAGAGAAAACTAGAATTTATTTAATTAAAAGTTGTTTAATTAATTATATTTTTCCTATGGGATAAAACTGTTCCTGGTAAATGGCTTAATCTTTTCAAAGTTACATTAAATGTTAGTCTGGAGTGTTTTTAATATTGCAGGCTCATAGAGTTGTGTATCAAGATGTGCCCAAGAGAACTACCATCAGTCTCAGCATTATATTTCTAAATACCAAAACTTGCTAGTGTCAGTAGAAGAATACATCTTTTTGGTAACATCACCTTTTGCTAAAATGCATAGTTTACACTGATATGATTGGAATTAAATCAGCCTCAGTTGTCAGTTCTAATCAGCTGCATGAGACATGGTCTTCAATTAATCTTATCTCATAAACATTAGCATTTTAAATACTTTGTCAGAGTCTTGCATACACTTTTCGAAAATTAGAAACTTTCAGAACTTCTTTGAGGACTTCAAAATTGTTTTTGATACCCTTCCAAAATAATCTTATGTTATCTTGAGATTGCATTGAATCAGAGAGGAGATGTTGGCTTTAAGACCCGATAGTCATAAACCTACATACATATATATGCACATATATCCACATATATGAGTAATCAGCTCCCAAGGAACCTAGTGGTCAGCAAGACAAGGGACTTGTGTATACTCAGATGGCCAAATGTCATGGAGGTCTTTATTTCTCAAACTAGTCATCCCCTTAACTCTCCTATTACGTTCAAAGGTACCCAGGAATAAAATCTTTTTATTTTTCTTATCAAGTATGTAGAATCTTGTTTGTAAGCAGCAAATACCTGGCTCAAATTAACTTAGGAACATTAATCTCATGTATGGGCCAGAATGTGTCTTTCTCTTTCACTTGACTTACTCTCTGTGGACTCTGTGAGGATTGGCCTTTGCACTCTGGGTCTGTGTGCTTGCCTAACAGTAAATTTTTATGGCGATGAACTGTGCCACCCCTCTGTTATGTTATTAAGTGTAAAATAAATTGAAAGAAGAGTTAAATAGTCAAAATGCTGGAAGAACAGGGCAATAGCAGGGACTTGAGAGCATTTAATACTCTTTTCCCACTTTTTTTTTTTTTTCCTATTACCTTACTGATTTCATTCTTTCTTAATGCAAAACAAGTATGCAAACAAGGTGGGAGTGATGTCCTCAGATGCTGCTGAAATGTACACATCTCATAGTTTATGCCAGCGTTTAGGACTGACTCATGCTTTCTCCAGTACCAGACTCAACAATCCTAGGGAAGAAAGCTCATTGGCCTATCTTGGGACAGATATCAACATGGACCAATAAGTTTTGGCAGGAGGTAGGACCACATTGTACAAAGTTGTCATTGGTGACCCCTTTTCTATGTATTAGTAAAAGAAAAATCACTGTGGGCTGGAGAAGCTTCAAACACACGAGATGTTTTCCTTCCCTACATGGACACATCACCTCAGTCTTCCCAAGTATGGCTACTGGCCTCTTCTGGATGTCTTCTTTTTCCCCATTACCTCTAGCCTGAGTGCCATTTCTTTTAATGATTTGGTAAAGAACTTGGGGCAAGACATATTGTAGACAGGAGGAGAATTTCTGGGTTGGTGATTTAGAGCAGATCTCTTCTGATCCTTTCCCCTGAGCCCAGTACCCCTCATTTACTTTTTGGCATGCAGGAGGAAGTGGCAACTCAGGAGAAGGCAGATGGAAAGGTTAAATGGTGAAGCTCACAATCTGCTTGGCCAAGGAAATAATGCCCTTTTCTTAAAGGCTAAATGTTTTTTCAGGATGAGTGGATCAGTGGAGTCCAAATATTCTTGTCTACTGTAGGAGATATTTGATTCTTTATGTATGTATAACATATGTGTAATAGTTGTAGATAAAGCAATTTTGATTTTTCTTTGTTTACTGATTTGTTTTCATTATCCAAATTCACTTGTATGTACTTTTAGGCTGAGAAAGTTTTCCAAACCATTTTAACATGCAACTCTTCAAAAATTTACTGGGATTCTTTGTATTTGCTTAAATAGGAGCCATTCTGTGTTTTTTCCCCAAGTTAATGGTGCTAACTCACTTAATGTTCTAATTCTGACAGCCATTCAGTAATAATGCATTTCCAGAGGAGTTGCAGTAGAATTTTAAGCCTTGTATTTTTGGCTCCTACTTAGTTATCTACCCTGATTGGCATTTAACCATTGAATTAGATTTTTCTTCTACTGAAGAGAGCTTTATGAGCTTTAACTTCAAGTGTCTGTGTCACAGTGTGATTTGTTTGCATTATGATTGACACTGAGCAAGCACTTTTTGCAGGAAAAGGCATTGTCTTTTAGGATTGAGGGAGGATTTGGACACATAGTCTCCTGACACTTTTTTCCAGGGTTCCATTTAATAGTTGTGCACATCAATAACAATCTCACCTGGCACATGTTAACATGGTTACTTTATTTTTGCAATCAGTAATGATCATATTCCCTGAGAGCTGTTTCTCTGGGCCTGTTGACTGATATGGCCATAAATATATCCCCAAAGGCTAAAACTGTACCTGTTTCAGCACAGATGAAATAAAAATAAATGTCCCACTGTTTTAGTATTACAAATTATAATCTCACTACAGCATGAACTTTAAGGTGGTGATAGTTCAATTTCTGCTCTTTGTTTTTGACATGATGGTAGAATAAATACAATTTTAAAACATTTTATTCAATTAATTTTCAGTGACCATTTTGTGTGCCTGGTTCATTCTGTGCTCTCTAAATCATGAAATACATTTCTTTCTTTCTTTTCTTTGCTTTTTTTTTTTTTTTTTTAAGACAGAACCTCACTCTGTTGCCCAGGCTGGAGTGCAGTGGCACAATTTCGGCTCATTTCAACCTCCACCTTCCAGGTTCAAGCGATTCTTCTGCCTCAGCCTCCTGAGTAGCTGGGATTACAAGCGTGTGCCACCATGCCTGGCTAATTCTTGGATTTTTAGTAGAGATAGGGTTTTACCATGTTGTCCAGGCTGGTCTTGATCTCCTGACCTCAGGTGATCCGCCCGCTTCGGCCTCCCAGAGTGCTGGGATTACAGGCATGAGCCACTGCGCCCGGCTGAAATACATTATATTTCAAAAATAGTACTACCTTTAGAAGTTCTTACCTTTAATTGTTAATAGTGAATAAACAAAATAATGTTTTCTGGACCTATAAATGGATTTTGAAGATATCCTTGCCTTAAAGAGACCAAATAATATACTTGCTGTTTCTTCCTATTATATTATCATATTCATTCACTCAGTCAGCAAACATCGATTACTCTACCTCTGGGAACCTAAAACATACTAGGGACGTATAGACAAGTAACAAGTCTTTAATAAAGAGTTAGAGAAATCATGACGTAAAGTACAATGGGGACACAAAGATAGGGACTGGCTGGTTGCATTCAGGGATTGCTTTAACTAGAAGATAACACTTGAAGTAAGCCACTTATGCTAACTGGGTGTGCCCAGAGAGGGCCAGAAAGAAGGCCAAAAGAATGTGAATCAAGTCCTAGAGCATAAAGCGGCATGGGCAATTGGGGGAAGTTGTTTGTTTAAATTTAGAGTCAATGTGTAAGGGAGTGAGTATCTAGAAGTGGGACACAAAAAAGGTGGGATAGACCCTAATCAGAGATGAATATGCAAATATATATATTTTCTAAATATATATATATATTTGACTAGAATTTGAATTTTATTCTAGATATTAGTAGTTTTCCAACGTTTTTGGTTTACAGTATTAAATTTAAGAGGAGGATGAATATTCCTGTGATTGTCAACTTGGGGAAGTACCAGAATCTTGTTGGGTGGAGGACAGGGGCACATTAATAATTTTAAAAACCCACAAGGTGATTGTGATAAGTCCTTGTGTCCTCTCCATTGAGAATTATTGCTATGGGCAGTGGAAACCACTGAGTTTTAAGTGGAGTCCTTAATATCAGTGACCCCATTAAAGTACTATCTCAATTTATTATTCTTTAAATAAAACAATTGAAAAATATACTTACGTCCTCCATCTCTATGCTCCCATGATCCTCTATGTAATTTTTCAGTATCAAATTTTAAAAAAACTCATTTGTTGTGCTGTTGGCACAAACATATTTTAAAGGAGTGTTTGGGAATGGAACATAAAACAGAAATGGAAAAAAAATTAACATTATATATGTCTGTCTTTGATTTCCATGACTGCACATCTTTGATTTCCATGCATGTCTTTGATTTTCATGACTCAGAGCTTTTCTGAGATTCCTATGGGGGTGTCCAGGCTAATGGGAGAAGCAGCTGGAGGAGAGTATGGCAGGCCGAGTGCCTGGCACACAGTAGGCACACAATGATTGCTAGTGTCTTTAGCTTCTCCTTTTAAACTTCAGCTCTTTAGTTGAAATTTAGGAGCCACTGGATTTTCTGTTAGTGGCTAATGTCAAGAGTGGCTGAGAAAAATGTTTGAAACTGAGGAGAAAATAGTGTCTCAGATATTAGACACATATAAACATTAGAAGGGAATTTAATGATTGTCTCGTATCCCAGCCTTCTGCTTCACAGTTGGTGAAACCAAGGCCCTGACTTGACATCACTTGAGTGACTTGACATCACAAGGCTATTAAATTACAGAAAAGGACCAGAAGCCAGGTCCTTTAATTCCTTCATGTCTCTCAGACATGTAGATGGCATTTCTTCCTGTTTTTTCTTTTTCTTAGAGTTAACTCCATGAAAGGTTCTAATCAGCATATCTAAAACATAGCCCTTCATGAACTTCTTCCTCTTTCTCTACTTTTTGTATCCCTCTATTACTAGAAAGGGATCCCAATCCAGACCCCAAGAGAGGGTTCCTGGACCTCGTGCAGGAAAGAATTTGTGGTAAGTTCATATTGTAAAGTGAAAGTAAGTTTATTAAGGAAGAAAATAAACAAAAGAATGGCTGTTCCATAGGCAGAGCAGCGGCATGGGCTGCTCACCTGAGTATACTTACAGTTACTTCTTGATTATATGCTAAACAAGAGGTGGATTATTCATGAGTTTTCTGGGAAAGAGGTAGGCAATTCCTGGAACTGAGAGTTCCTGCCCATTTTAGACCATATAAAGTAACTTCCTGATGTTGCTATGGCATTTGTAAACTGTCATGGTGCTGTTGGAAGTGTCTTTTAGCATGCTAATACATTATAATTAGTGTATAATGAGCAGTGAGGACGACTGGAGGTCACTTTTGTCACCATCTTGGCTTTGGTGGGTTTTGGCTAGCTTCTTTACCACAACTTGTTTATCAGCAGGGGCTTTGTGACCTGTATTTTGTACCAGCCTCCTATCTCATCCTGTGACTAAGAATGCCTTAATCTCCTGGGAATGCAGCTCAGTAGGTCTCAGCCTTATTTTTCCCAGCCCCTATTCAAGATGGAGTTGCTGTGGTTCAAATGCCTCTGACACCTCAGTGGCATCAACATCTACCATGCACTTGAGCTAGTCATTTCAGCATCAATTTTGTCTCCATCTTATACAGTATTCAGCTAGTCATCGAGTCCTGTTGGTATCACTTTGGAAATGTCTCTCACATCTATCTTTGCTTCTATTTCCTATATTACTTCCTTAATTTAGTCTTTACTTGTTTTTTTTTTTTTCCCTCTGGACTATTGAAGTAGCTTTTAAATTGGGTTCTGCCTTCTGCAGTCCACTGTCTCCACTGCCTCTGGAGTTTTCTTTTTGAAATATAAATCTCAATGATGGGTTCAGTAGCCTTCAGTGGCCTTTCATTCTATTGAAAAGTCCTTTTCTCTAGCTGTAGCCTTTCACAATATAGCTTTGATGTCCCTTTTCAACATTTTCTTCTGATCATTTTTCTACTCCCTTTATCTGCCAGACTCTGATCACACCAGCCCATTCAATGTTCCTAATTTTTCAATGTACTTTCCTGGGACACCCTTCATCACCTCAGTTTGAGCACACATCAGTGCTCAATTCTATGCATGCGTAGGAAAAGAAAAGTTGTTTTCCTCTGTTCTTTATAGTTCTTAGTTGGGGTGGACCCCTGTAACAAAAGACAGATTAAGATGAGAAAAACAAGTTTATTAACATGTATATTTCAAATATACATGGGAGATACCCAGATAAATGAGTAAATCTCGAAAGGGTAGATTTGAATTCAGGCTTAAATATCATCTTCAGCTAGAACAAAGAAAGCTGTTGGGGGATACAGTTATGGGAGGTAACCAGGAAAAGCGTGAGACACAAGGGTAAGATTCCTTATATAGATTTAAGTCAGTGCCTTCTCCATTAATACAAGTCTCTAGTGATTTAGAGTCATCTTTCCTGATGCAGAGAGGGTGACACAGTTACAAATAGAGATTTCCTTTATAGATGTAAATTTTCCTACAAAAGGGTAACTTCTACTCTGCTTTTAGAGCTTCTCCTGTATTTTCAGTGTTCAAAATAATCAGCTTGAAATAATCTTTATGCCAAAGAGGCATACTTTGGGATGGCGTATTCTGGTCTCTTAAATACACATCACTTTCTTTGAGTCCTCCTTTCCTTTCTTGGTCGAGATAAACAGATGGATCCTCTGTTACCCACAGAGCACTTTGTTTCTTCTCTAACCATACTGAGTGCTGTAGTCTGATGTGCATGAGAATTAATTTTCTTTTTGAATATGTCTGTTTTATTCAATAGTTTATGAAGTCCTTGAGCTCAGCAGTTGTATCAAATTCATTTTTATATCCTTGGTACCTGTGGTAAATTGAATAATGGTCCCCTGTAGATTTGCATCTTCTAATCCTTGGAACCTGTCAGTATGTTACCTTACATGGTAAAAGGGATTTCTTAGATGTGGTTAATTAAGGATCCTGAGATGGGGCTATTATCTTATTATCATGGTGGAGAAAGGCAGGAGGGTTGGGGCAGAGAAGATGATGTGATGAGAGAAGCAGGCATAGAGAGGGGATAGTCAGAAGAAGCAGAGGTTGCAATGATGTGCTTTGAAGGTAAAGGAAGGCACCATGAGCCAAGGAGTGCATGTAGCCTCTGGAAAAGGCAAGGAAGCTCATTCTCCCTTAGAGCCTCCATAAGGAATGAAACTGTGCAGATGCTTGATTTTAGCCCAGTAAGACCCATATTGGACTTCTGACCTTCAGAACTTTGAGATAACACATTTGTGTAAGTTTCGAGCTACTAATTTTGTGGTAATTTGTTACAGCAGCAATAGGAAACTAATACAGTGGAGGAGAGGAAAAATATTTTTTTCTCTACCCATTGTAGGTTTATGGATGAGGCCTCTATGACAAAAAACAGATTAACAAGAGAAAAGCATACAAATTTATTTAATAAATTTTTATGTGACATGGGAGCCTTCATAAGGAAATTGAGACCCACAGAAATGGGTAAACCTGAGTATTTTTAGGCTAGGTTTGATAACGAGTGGATAGTTGTGGAGAAATATGATGGGATAAAAAGGGTATAATGTAATAGGAATAAATTGAGGAGAACTTAGAAAGGTCTGTTTGTTCAGATTCTGCCCATGACTGTCTTAATCCATTTTGTGCTGCTACAACAGAATGGCTGAGACTAGGCAACTTATAAACAATATAAGTTTACTTGTTTCATGGTTCCAGAGTCTGAGAAGTTAAATATCAAGGATCTGGCATCTGCTGGGGGCCTTTTTGCTACATCATCCCATGGCAGAAGGTAGAAGGGAAGGAGAGTGCATATGAGAGGGTGAGAAGTGAAGGGGGCTAGAACTCATTATTTTCTTAGGAACGTACTCTTATGATAAATAACCCACTCCCAAGATAATGACATTAATCCATTCCGAGTCACCTCTTAAAGATCCCACCTCTCAACACTGTTGCATGGGAGATTAAGTTTTCAACACGTGCAATTTGGGGGATACTTTCAACTCAAAACAGTGGCGCTTCATCTTTAGCGACAAGGATGTTCCTTTTGTCCTGGTATAGGGAAGCACCTCTTAGATGAGGGTCAATGATCTGCTTCAAGGGAAAGTTAGAAAGTCCTTCTTAAGTTTTTTGACCAGCTTCAGCGGAGAAGTATGGGGGCAGGTCAGAGAGACCGTCCTGCTACTGAAGGAATTTTTCTCACATTCCTTTAGCCTTAAAGTTTCACTATGCCAAGGTGCCATATTTTGGGTTAGTATGTTCTGAACCCCATCAACAGCACTTACATGTAACATGCAGTTGGGCTTAGTGTATTTGCATCTGACCTTGACTAATCAAGAGAATTGTTCTCGATGCCCATGATGATCAAAGCTAACATTTATTGAACCTTTTGCTGTGTGCCAGTCACTGTGGTCAACATTTATACTTGATCTTCATAATCACTGTATGGCACCATTATTATCCCTATTTGGCAGATGAGAAAACTGATGCACAAAGTGTTTTAATAATTTTCCCCCAATCACACTACCCAATATGTGATGGCACTGGGACTTGGAAGTGAGCAGTCTGGCTCCCAGGTCTGTGGCCACAGCGCTGTATCCTGCTTAGTCATGTTCTCATGTCACATATATGCAATTTATGTGTGCTGTCCTAGTGTGATATGTCGTGAAGAAAATTGGAAGAGCTAGATTTGAATATTGATGCCTTCAGTAATCAGTTGGCTCTGTAAATGTGGGCAAGTCAGCTAACCTAGATCTGTGTGCCTGTCTTTGTTAAATCATTCCTTTTCTGCTTACCTTATGGGGTTAATATGAAGACTGAATGATAAATCACATGGGAAAGTGCTTTGAGAAACAGCAGGCACTACACATATGCTATTTATAAGTATATATTTGGTTGATGTAGATCTTTTGCAGATTTCCTCATACCAGGATTACCTGGCTGGTCTGATTCATTTGGTGAGTAGGGGCTTAATAATATTTGGTAAATGCATTTGATAAAAATGCTCTTTTGCCCTCCTAGTTCTCATTCTTATATTTTGGGTTGTTGACACTAAAAATCTGAAAGCTCAGAATTTAGTCTCCTTCATAGAACTTTATTTTCTTTCCTACTTTTAAAAAAATGAGCCTTTCTTATCTCACTCCTTAGCTAGTATTTTTATCTTGTAGCCCATAGGAAGGTACGACTTATAGAAGATTTGCAATGATTTCAGCAGCTTTTCAGAAGGGCTTTGAGTGAACAGTTAATCTCTTGAGAATGCAAAGTCATTTGTGGTGGAGAATCTTAGGCCAGTGTTGAGTTGCAAATCCTGGGGAGTCCTGACTCAAGAAGATAGGGAATTTAAAAAGAAAGCCAGTGAAATACATTTGATTCTCTTTTTCCCTGTCCTGCCTTAGCCTGCAATGTTACTTATTCCTTTAAGATGCTTTAATTGCTAATTGTCTGCTGTTTGATTTTGAGGTTAGTTGAAATCACCAGGATGATGGAAGGCCTGACCTGACCAGACCTGAATTCATTGGCAAATTCTCAACTTTTTGAAAAATTAATGAGTTTTGGCTGAGATGACACCTGACTTTTTACAGCATCTTGTTTTGATTTATTGTTTCTTTTGTTTACTTGTCAGATATTCCCGCCCATGACATGGATTTACAGAGTACAATTTTTTTTTTTTTTTTTGCATGTTCAAAGTCAAGCTATCCTGATTGGTGCAACATACAGACATAAAATGATACTTTGAGGGGCATCCTTTTGGATACATTTTTGTTCCTCTCTCATTGTTTCCCTGGGATGAATTCTTAGACATAGAATTACTCCAGGAAGGGTACCAACTTAAAACATTAAAATCAAACCAAACAAGAAAAAGATACATATTAATAGATTGTATTCCCTAAAGGCTGTACTAATTAACACTCCCACCAGTAGTGTATGAGAATGCATATCTCACGGCAACTTTGTCATTGTTCACTTACTCTGTAGCATCTCTGGAGTACTCACAATCTTCTAGGTTCAGACATTTTTCAGAAGTTTTCAAAATCACCCCAGGTGATTTGAAGCTGAAACCACTGGTTTAGTTGATAGGAGAAAAGCATTCTCTCACTATCTCTTAGTGGTTTGAATCTCTCTCACTATCCCCTTAAAATAGATCAGTCACTTTAGGTCATTGGTGTGTTTTGCTACACAGGACATACTATTCCTAATGAACAGCCCCTTCATCACTCTAACACTCTTGAACCACTAATTCACAGTAGTGTCACTTCTAGGCTTATTAATATAATCTTTTGCCCATGCAAAGCTCTCCAATGTTCAGATAATTCTGCTGGATGATGTTACCTTTCAACTGAACCACATCATCTTGTTGGCAAAGCACCTCATGAATACTATCTCATTTAACTATTGCAGGGACCTTGGAATTAGACATTTCCATTCTATTTTTACAGAGAAAGGAAAAGGAACCCAAATAAGTAGCTTTTCTCTAAGGTTGTGCAACTTATAATCACATGTTAGGAACTGAATCAATGTAGGTCTTCTGATTTCAAGTTCAGAGTTTCCAGTGTTGTGTCAGAACCTGTCTTTGGCTTTCGCTAGTTCTGCTGCTTTTTTAATGCACAAATGGATCTGGTTATTGGATTGTTATTAAGGATTTTTTTTTCAGTGTCTGCATTTCTTACGCTTATTTTCTTCTCTGTGTGCTCATTTAGAATTCTACATATTTACAGCTGTGTTTCTCAACGTTTATTTTTATTATTGCTCCTCCTTCCCTAGGAAAAAAATTTAATTTAATTTACATTCTTCCTAATGAGAAAAATTAAATATTAAACTGATAAGAACAGCTACTACACTTGATCTTAGCCAAAAGGCTGAGAAGTGAAGAGAAATTAAATATTAAGGAATAAAATTTTGACAGGTAGGGTTGAGCCTTGGAGGACCACAAACTATGATATCTGATGTTTTTGTTCCTCAACAACCAATTTTAATCTTGGGAGTTCAAAAATGCTGTTAATGGACACACCAATTTAGATGACTAACCCTGGCTATCAGGGCAGAGAGGAGAGCTGTTGAACATTCTGATAGATCTTATAACCGTATGTGTGCAACTAGTGGAACACATGACACCGACATTACTCTCAGCTCACATCAACTAATGACTTACAAGGAAGCTGTGCTTCAGTGTGGGTGGCTAATTATTCAAACTTGCATTCTGTATGATTAAACCACATGGAATTTCACATTTGCTTTTGTTTTCCATATATTTTATGGGTCATATAGATTATATCTCCACCTTTCACCCACTGCCTGCCTTTTTTATTAAATGTGAGCTTTGTATAAGGCTTTTGTCTACTTTTTGTCATAGCTCTGGGCTGAACTTTTAGATTCATTAGTCTCTGATTTGTGGCAGTTACCTACATTTTTACTTACAATTTTAGATAAATAAATGCCGGCGTGTTCACAGGCAGGAAAACACTGCATTGGTAGATAAGGGCCATTCCATGCTGGGCTTGACTGGTTGCCACCAACTCTGACATCCCTGACCCCTTGGCAGAGAAAGAATGTAAATGAGCGAGAATAAAGAGCCCCAGGTAGCTTCTGTTTGTTTTTACAAGAGAACCAGAGCTAGGTGATTTGGGAGAATGCCAGATATTATAAACACAGAGCCAGAGAAAAAGAACAAGGATGGCAAGAAGAGTCCAGGGACTGGGGGAGGTGCACTTGCAGGGGGTGGAGGTTGGCCCAGAGGAAGGTTTTCATTCATTTCTGTGTGTAGAATTTTTAAGATTAACTTGCTAATTTTTTTATTGAAGTCAAGCAAGATTTTAAATCATTTATCAGGGCTCATAGAGTACCTATTTATAGAAGTCAGAATAAAAGTAAATGAACCATGAATGCTAACACACATCTAGCAAATTTAGTAAGATTTAAAAGTTAAATAAACCAATGGAGCCTGCAGATTTTCTCCAGGGCCCCTTTACAAGTTTTAACTTTGTTTCCATTCCCCCCCACTTCATTTTACACACTGTCATGTGTGATTCTTTTAGCCTTAGCTTTTAGAATACGAAAATGATTTACAAGCCTGTTTTTAGAGGCTATTTCATTTTTAGTTAAACGTTTACATGATGCTGGCTTCCTATGTAACTGCTGAAAAACAAAAGTTTTTTTTTTCTTTTTTACAGGTGCTAGACTGTCAATCAGGATAAAGGAGATTGTATGAATTATTTGTTGTTGCATAACAAATTGCCACAAGTAAAACAACAAACATTTATTATCTCAAATTTTGTATGGCTTAGGTGGGTCCTGTGCTTCAGGGTCTATTACAAGGCTGCAATCGGTTGTTAGCCAGGACAGGGATCTCATCTGAAAGCTCAACCGGGAAAGATCCACTTCCATGCTCCCATGGTTGCCGCATAATCCAGTTTGTTGAGGGCTTTTGGACTGAGGGCCTCAGTTCCTAACTGCTTTGGAGGCCACCTTCAGTTCCTGGTTATGTGGGCCTTCTCAACATTGGAACTTGCCTCCTCAAAGCCAGCAAGAGATAGTCTGCTGGAAAGACATCCACCATCTTTGCTATATTCTGTTGGTTAGAGAGTCACTAGAACAGCCGACACTAAAGGGCAGGAGATTACACAAGCGCATTAACACCAGATCGAGGGGCACCTTAGGATCCTAGGCCAAGGAGATATGTGACTCCATCCCAACAAGCCTTCAGGATCTTAGATTCTTTGAGGGAAGAGACCTTTTTTTCGTAGTTAAAATATTTACAAAACCTTTGTGAGGTCATAGCTAGCGCTTTGTGCTGAACTGGATTGTGGAGCCCTGGGCTAGCACTGTGCAGGGCATGAAAGACCAACCACTCTGTAAATGCACATAAAGAACAACCTCCTTGAGCAATCTCAAGCAAGAGAAAGAAGAGGCTTCCGAGCTCCAGCAAAACAATGGGAAAAAACATACCCTTATCTTTTCCTTCTCATTTTCAAAGGTGTGTTAGAGGGAAAGGAATATATTCTGGTTCTGGAGATTTTCAGTTTTCTTTTTATCTCATTAATTCCTGGCTGGGTGTTCCAGGACAAGGTATCCAAAAAGCCTTTTTTGAATCGCAGGTACCGTGAATATAAGTAGAAGAAAGACACCGTCTCTTCCTTTAAGGAACTTACAGTCTTATGGAAGAGACACAGATGGAAGTGCACAATTACCGAATATCATCAAAAAGCCTGAGAAAAAGTTATGCAAAAGCTACTGTGTGAGCACAGAGGCTGTAAACCTAATCCTAAGTTGCAGGTGGGTGAGTATTAGACATCACTCAAGGAAGGCTTCCTGGAAGAGGTGACACAGAGTTGAATTAGTTGGACTTAACCTTTGAAGAAATGAAGGCAGGCTTTGCTGGGAGGCATTGGAGTATTAGGTATAAAGGTTTAGAAGCAGGAGAGCATTTGGGACCTCACAAAACTGCAAGTTGTTCAGTATGGATGGAGTTTAGGGGACTTCTTGGAAAGTAGTAAAAATTGAGGCTGGAGCTGGGTGTGGTGATGCCTGAAATCCCAGCTATTCAGGAGGCTGAGGCATGAGGATCACTTGAGCCCAGCAGTCAGAGGCTTCAGTGATCTATGATTGCACCACTGCACTCCAGCCTGGGTGACAGAGTGAGACCCTGTCTCTACAAATAAAAAATAAAAAGATGAGACTGGCAAGGTAGGCAGGAATAAAATGATCATCAGAGTTCTTGGATGTTGTTCCAGGGATTTTGGACTTTACCTTAAAGGAATCAAGGGATAATCCAATCAGATTGTGCTTTAGAAGTAGAGAAGGATTGGAGGGGTGTTAGGCGACAAGAAGACCAAATAGTATGTAGGTGAAGGGAGAGGGGGTCTAAAATACAGTGAAGTCAGAGGAAGAGGAGATAATGAATTTGAGATCCTAAAGATGCAGAATCATCAAGACAGGGTGATGGCACTGGTTGTGGAGCGGGAAACAGAGGAAGAAGGGAAGCTTGACTTAGATTTCTGACTTTAGTGACTGGGTAGATGGTGGGGTGACTCGCCAGTCTACAAAATATTGGGAAAGTGATACGTTTGAGTTTAGTTTTGGAATTATTAATTATAGGAGTTTGTAGGAATCTGAGCAGAGATGAGCAGTGTTTCAGGGTGTCCAGATCTGGAGCTCAGGTGAATGTGGAGGAGACCACCAGGGGAGAGTATGCGGACCCAGAGGAGAAATAGGGTGAAGGGTGAGTGCCTGTGACATCTGCAGTTAGAGGGGAGAGGACACTGTAAGAGAGGAGGAGAAATGAGTGGTATGATAATCAAGGTTCCCGGGGTTACAGGCCACGGGAGCCAACACAAGCTAGCTCAAGCAAAAACACACTTTTTAGAATTTAGGTTATCAAAGGCACTCAAGGTTCTGGAACTAGGACCCAAAAAGTCTCCAGGAGCACAGCAGGCACTCTGTCACACTAAGGTCCTCATATTGCAGCAAGGCTGTTCCCTTTTTCTGTCTAAAAACCATCTTCCTCCATTGCTCTGTGTGGGTGACATACCCACAGCTCCTGAGTTGAAGCCTCCTCAGATAATGAGATCTCCCATCCAATTGACTGCCTTTCGACCTCAACTCCAGTTTTCTGGGAGACTTAGTCTAGCGTTTCATCTTGGAAAGGTGCCCATGGTGTCATGCAATACAAATGTGGCTAATGAGGGCCCACCCTGGCTGTAGTCAGCCCTTAGAGAAAGAAGGATGTAGTTAGAATCGTATCTACCATGGGCAGCTGAAATGATAGGAAGACAGTGGCAGGAAGAGGGGTCAAAAAAGCCAGACAAAGGGAGAGATTCAAAGAGGAGGGAGGAAGTGGTCCACTGTGCTAGATGCCGCTGACCCAACAGAAGGATTGAATTCAGGAAGAAAAGGACTGTGAGTCCATGACTTTGAGTAGCTAAGTTTGTGAAAAGAAGTGGGAAATTGTTGGTTTTCATTTAGACGGGTAAGGCATAAGTATGCTTCTCTGTGGGGGAAGAGGAGGAACAGGCATTAAAGTGGGAGGGTAGACAATACAGCTGAAGGAGGGCATAACTGATGGTTGAGATTCCCGAGAAATCAAGAGGGAACAGAGGTGGAGCGATTAGCAGCAGACGGGAACGGGCCACGGCTCTCACCAAGGCTGGCAGGAAAGTGGGGTGCAGATGTAGATAATTTGGAGGGTGAGCTGCTAAGAAATTAAGTCCAGATTCTGGTGACAGGAATTATTTACTCTTTATAAAACCCTAAGTTCTTCTTTTGCTCCTTAAATGTACTGAATAAATGCTGAGAAGAGCAATTTAAAGGTCTTTGACAACTGAAGAATCTGGTATTACATATGCCAGGGGATTGACACAGAGAGCTTATGCCAGGCCAGGACTCCTTATAGGAGCCCCAAGTTGGGCCCAGTGTCCCTGTCTGAAGTAAATGCTCCTGTGTTCCTGCTGTGGTCTGTGTTCCTCCAGAATCCATATGTTGGAACTTAATTTCCAGTGTGATAGTATTAAGAGGTGGAGCCTTTAGGAGGTGATTTACTCATGAGGGTGGAGCCCTCATGAGTGGGATTAATGACCTTATATAAGAGGCGTGAGGGTGCTGTTCATCCCTGTTTCCCTCCCATCTCTTTTACCTTGTGAGGGTGAGCAACAAGGCACTATTTTGGAAGCAGAGAACAGCCCTCACCAGACACGGAATCTGCTGGTGCCCTGATCTTGGAATTCCCACCGTCTAGAACTGTGAGTAGTACACTTCTCTTGCTTATAAATAAATTACCCGGTCTGTGGTATATTGTTATAGCAGAACAAACAGACTCGGACAATTCCTAAGTAAGTTCAAGAACATCCCATGAGAAGCAAACATAAAAATATGAATGTGTCACTCCAGCCTGGGCAACAGTGAGACCCTGTCCCTACAAAAAATAAAAAAATGTTAGCTGGGCATGGTGGTGTGCACCTGTAGTCCCTGCTACTCAGGAGGGTGAAGCAGGATAATTGCTTGAGCCTAGGACTTCGAAGTTACGTAAGTGAGCTATGATTGCTCCACTGTACTCCTGCCTAGACAACAGAGTAAGACCCTGTCTCTTAAAAATAATGAACGTAGCTAATGACAACTGTACAAGAATTAGAAAGCTTTGAGGTTGTCTTTCTCCTGTCTTCTTGCTATGGCTTTCCTCTCCTCACTGAGGCTGACTCTTTTTATAAGTGAGAGGATCCCACTCTGTTGCCCAGGTTGAAGAGCAGGGGGCGAGACCATGGCTCACTGCAGCCTTGACCTCTCAGTCTCAGGTGATTCTTGGTTGCATGAACAGTATAGGGCTGGGATCCTGTGCAAGATGGCCTTGCTCCCAAGTTTGTCAGCTGTCATTGGCAAAGCACGTATCTAAGGATGTCTGGCCCAAAATGGACTCATCCTCTCACCCACCACTCCATTTACCAGAAGACCTGGAAGGTTTTCTTCCATGCATCTTTAGCAAGGCTAAGTGAGAATTACTAGCATGGGATTCAAGAGAAACTTAGGTTTAGTAAAAAAGAGAAAGTGGACGTATATATCATTAAATATTCTAAAGCAGTATTTTTTCCTCTAAGAAATCTTCTGGTTTAGTTTACCAAAAAGAGGATGGGATGATGGTGATGTTACCCAAGTTAATTTATGTTTCAAATGGAAGAAGCAAGCAGGTTTTTTGTGTGTGTGTATTTAGGAAGCAGAAACCATGATTTGTGGGAATTCTTTCATGGTAATAGTCACCAGCATTTTTTGAGTGCCTCACACGTGCCTGGAATCGTGTCGTCAGAACCCGTGCCTGGCACTTAGCAGGCGTCAGGAGGCACAGGTCTGCTGATGCACTTAACTAGTGTTTGTGCTACCAGAGGATGCAGAGGGCAGACTTTCCAGTAAGAAATGGGATGAGCTGTGAGAGTAGCTTCGTCAAATCTGCCATACTTTGCTGGAGTGTCCATAGTACTCCTATTTAATCCTGATTTTAGGCCTAGAAATTCTCTGCTTGATCTGAGGGAGGGGTATTGGACCATCGAGGGAGCAAAAACAAGTCCTTAAGCCCTTCCACCTGCCCCTCCACAGAGGCTTCCAAAATTCCAAACCCAGGGGAGATGGCTCTTTGACCTTCAGGTGGCACAATAACTTATAGGAGAGCGGAGGCATTCCAGGGATTTGCTGCCCTGGGATATTTATTTGAATAGGTCCTTATTCTGGACAGAAAGACAAAATTAAGGACTATGGCTTGAAAATAGAGATTTGTCAGCCTTCTTCCTGGGTGAATAGAATGTTCAGTGGGTGCAGGTGAGGCTTTATCAGACTTCAAGCTGCCGCAGCACAGCCCATCCTCATTAATTCCTAATACTTGCGATACAACTCTATCAGTAAGACCTTACGCCTGATAAAGTCCCGTTCCTCTCTTAAGACTATAACCGTATACTTTGCTTATGCTATTGTACTTTTGTCACTTTGAATTCCCTGTTTGAATTTAAAGACTGGTCTCTTTGACTAAATTTCCCTAGCAGAATATCCAGATTGGTTCAAAGCCCATGAGTAGAGGCAGTAGTTCCTCTTAAATACTGTTGTCTTAAATACTGAGGGACAATTCACAAGGACACCTTCATCTGGGGTGTTGGGTGCATTTCATTCTCACTTTTAAATTAACAAACTATTTTGGGAATTGAGACATTTGACATTAGATGACTCCAGGATTTCACTGTCTTAAAGCTGGTCTAAACTTGCAGAGCATTCAAAGAATTTGGTTTAGTTTAAAAAATTATTGATCTCTATGAGCCAATGTATATAATGGTCAAGAAAAGACAATATAAATTCATTGTAATAAAGGCTAGGATAGTAGATTCCTGTGAAGAGGGTGGGGATGGGACAGGGGCATAAGCTTTCTAGAATGCTGGAAGTGTTTATAACTTGTTTCAGGTGTTGAGTTACACAGGAGCATACAAATGTAAAAATTCACAGAGCTTTATTTACAGCAGTGAAAAAGAATACAAAAATTTTCATCTAGGGGTTGATCCCATCATTCCCTAAGATTGCAGGCTTCATTACAGGTCCTCAGTGTAAACCTTTCTGGAGTTTTAAGATCCTTTAGGGAGTTACAGGATCAGATTTGTGCTTTGAGTAGCTCTCTCTGGTTGTTGCTAGAGAAAGGGTTGGAGGGGACTAAGTGAGAGCAGTGGCCATGGCTGGGAGGCTGATGCTGTGGTCAGCAAGAGAGAGCAGGCCCTTGATTAGAGGGCAGGCAAGGGGCTTTGTGGGGTGCAGGAGAAGGTGTTGAGGGTGACTCCCAGGAGTCCTATAGGAGCAGTTGTGTGGAGGGAAGGGCCAGTGCCTGGAGATCAAGAATTCAGCTGCAGGCAAGTTTAGTTTCTAATGCCAGTGAGCCACCGTTGAAGATGACAAGTAGGTAATTAAGTAGATGAGTCTGGAGTCAGAAAATCAGTCTGAGCTGAAGTTATAAATTTGGGAGTTGCTGGCATGGTATTTAAAGCAATGAGAATGCATGAAATCACTTTGGGAGAGAGCATAGAGTAGGAAGGAAAGGGGTTCCAGGACTGTGTCCTGAGAAATTGCCACATTTAGAGGTCAGGTAGGGGAGGAGTCAGAATAGGAGGCTGAAAAGGGATGAAAGGGGAGTACAAGGACAGCAAGGAGACCGAGCTGTCCTCGTGTCCAAGGGAAGAATATTACAAGAAGTGGAGAGTGGTGAACTGTGGTGAGTGTTGTTGAGGAGTCAAGTAAGTGGAGGACTGAAATCCTCACTTGGATTTCATAGCATGGAGGCCATTGGTCATCTCAGCAAGATTGGCTTATTTGGAGGTGTGCTGGTAGAAGCCACACGGTAGTGAAACAAAGCTGTATGTGTTTTTCTTGCAGGTTATTTGTTGCTTTAGTCATGTATTCAAAATATCAATCCTTCATGTAACATTTAATTGTATAAGCTTAATTCTATTATGTAATGTAAAGAGATTAATTGGAATCTAGTTTCTTTAGCTATTTTAGTGAAAGACATTGAAGATAGAAAGTTGCTGTGGGAAACTATTTTTGTGGCTTTATATTTACTCAGTTGGATTTTTAAAGAGGTCATTTTATGGTCCATTCCTGCCCCCATGCAGGAATGAACTGCATGATAATTGATTCATATTGCTTTAAAGGGCAAAGTATTGAGGGAACTTCTTGGGAAATTTAGATTTTGTCTAGCTGATCCTGAGGCTAAGTATCCTTGGAGGCTAAATGGCCAGCATCTTTTCTTAAACTTATGGAAATCTCAATAATGGAAAGAAACCAGGGCAGGGAAGGCTCACATCACTTTATTTCAGAAGTCAAGCATATGGTTTTGTTGACTAAAATACATAGACTGAGAAAAAAGAAAAACAAAGGAAAAAAGTCTCAATTATGTTCAGGTCTGGAGTTTAGGAAGTGTTTTGTGAATACGATGCATCTTATGGCTTTGTATTTGATGTCAACTCAATGTTTAGTCGAGGTTGAAAAGTAGAGTAGATGTGTGACTTTCCTACTTCCTGTGACACAGTGACATCTAGCCCTGGATCCTGGTGCTCCATGATATTGGGAATGAAGGCAACAATTTGAGTATTATCTAGATAGAGCCCAGCAAGTAGTAGGTGCCCGAGTGATATTGTGTTGAATAAAGTTACACTGAAGGGAAGTCTGTCCCTGACAATCTCCCTTCTCTTGTTTGCTGAGTCTTAGGCTCTTAAGAGAAATGATCTATATTAATTTTCTCCTTATTCTTGCATTTAGGAGGTTCTCCTGAGAATCGGAAAGTCCAGTCTATAGTAAGTTTCCCTCTGCTGGTGTCAACAGGGAGGGTTAACATCCTGCTTCACAGGAAGGTAGCACATGTTAGGCTTTTACTATACATGGTTAATATTTTCAGGATGAAATTTGATTTTACAGCATAGTCATATTTATGCAATATGATATTATAATACAATTATGAGGAAAAATAGTGGTTTTGTTTTGTTTTGCATGCAAGGAAATGTGCTGGGATGACCAGGAAAGAAAGCAGTGAAGGAAACAACTTCACTCCCACTATTTGTGGAGCTTGTTTGGTTCTGGCAGGAAGTCAGGGTTTCAGAGGAGATGGGATGTTCAGTTTGGTCCAGGTGATCTTCAGTCTTCAAGGATCTAGAGAGACTTGGGGGTTGTCCATGATTCATCAGAAGAGCTGTTTCACAGACCTCAGGGTTTGTTAAGGGTTAGAATCACAGTGCCTTCGTAAATTTTTCTTAGATGGAGGTGAAGGTATGAGTAGATTTATTCTGAAGGTAGACAAACCAGGATTTACCTTGATTTCTTGAGTATTTTTCATCAGCGTAAATGAACCCAATAAGTAAGTGCCCGTGGGTGGCACTGTGATTTTTGATATACAGTTGGTATCAAACTAATTGTAATGGGTCTTGGCGAGATGAAGTCATGGACTGTGGGAGGTAGGTGGGGTGTGAGTGGGGAACACTTGAGTGAGAGGTTTCTTTTCCTCTGAAGGAATGATGATGATGATAATCATGCCTACTGTTTATTGAATGGGCACTGATGTGGTCCTGCCCTCTGTATTGGCATGACGAAAATAAAGCTCAGCAAGTTCTTATGTGTTCTTTGACCCTGAAATCCCAGTGGTCTAAAAATAGATTTAGAAAATACCTTTCCTAAAGAGAATCAGAAAAATGTTTGGGGTTCTCCCAACATTTTCTCTTTGTATATTCTTGTTTCTCTGTTTATTCTACCATGCTTTTTTGTGGGCCCATTGCTATAACTGTTACCATGACATTTGAAATTCCCAAGTGCTATAAAGAGACAGTGTTGTTATTATTGCTGTTTGTTATTTTTTATTATTGCTGTGATTGCAGGGAGGCAAGGAACTGGGTTTGACAGGTGGAAGGGGGAATTCCAACAAGAGTACGTCTGGGATGATGGGAAGCTGAGGACTGGGATACTGAGAGAGTTAGACAGGATGTGACTAACGAGAACAATGCCATCAATATGCAAAGCATACAGAATTGCGAATCTGATTCCAAAAATGCTACCACTGCAAAATTACAATAGCAGCGTTTTCTTAGTGCATAAGCCAAGTGTTATTTTAGCCTGAGAGAAGGCAGCTGAACTGGAGATAGTGAACGCACCTAAACAAATGTGGCCTGGGATGAAGCTGCAAAAACACAAAAGGGCTGCATGCTGGCATGGAAACCGCCTCAGAGCTGAAACAACAGAAGCTGAAGTTGAGCAGTGTCAGCCCGGGATGTGTGGTTTGCCCTGGGTCTGTTTTGGAGGCCTTGGGAAAACAGCCCTACAGATAAATTCTCCAGATTTGCGGTCTAAAACTGGTACAAAAGAAACAGCTCTGTCTAACTTGGCAAGATTGAAGAGCTTTCTGGTGGTTAACTTGCACTGTGCATATCTATTTGTATGCCCTGCATTTCATCTGAATACTATTAAAATAAATGGAATTAGAAGTCCCTCACCCACGCCATTCTGAGCCCAGAACATTTTTTTTTTCCATTGCCTTCTTAACTCTGCTCAGTAGGGGGGTCTTCCTAGTTTGGAAAAACCACTGCTTGGATGTTCTAGAGGAGGGGATAAAGAACAAGGTCAGATAAACCTAATCTCCTAATCTCCCATCTGTAAAATACTACTAATAATAACTACTTCATAGGGTTGTTGTGAGAATTAAATGCAATTAATAATATTGCAATTTAATATAAAATTCATTATCATTAGATGCCATACATGTGTAGAAGATCTAATAAAAATATATTACTGGGTACTCATTGTGTCTTACCCACTGTTTCACTGTCTTTATATACAATTTCTTATCTGGGATAAGCAACTTAATCCAGGGACGCATGTAAAGCTTATAAAGTGTAGAAAGATTTGAAATCCTCAGAACTGCTGGTAAAGCTCACATGTAACCATTGCTACTGTTCCCTAATTTGGAATCTGGCATTTTGTAGGTGCAGTACTGACTAAATTCATTTAATTAAATATGGAGCAATCCAAAGCTCCCATGTTCTTTTCTCCTGGTTTTATATAAACTGTCTACAGTGCAGTCACCAAACCTTTGCATCTCCTTTGTCACTGGGATCAGGAGATAGCATAAAATCAGACTTCTGCTGTATATGGTTATACATATATGAGCCATCTCACTATAGGGCTCCACTGTCTTAACCAGGGTCTGGACTATTGCTGCTAAGAAAACTGATGACCCCTGGTTTAGAACTTTGTCTAACAACAAATGACTTTGAATAGGCAAGTGGTTTTTTGTGGTGAAGTAGATGACTCTTTTCTTTCTTTTTTCCTTTTTTTTTTTTCTTGGAAACATGCGGAGTGATGTTGTCTGTCAGGTCTGCTGGCAGGTTCTGTTGCAAGGAGACTATGCAGGAATCTGCCTGCTTGGCTTAATCACTGGAAAAAAAAAAACACAACTGCCAAGCAAGTCCCAGGTTGAAGTGGGCACCGCACACAGGAGCTGCTTTATCAGACTTAAAGGGATGCTGCGAGAGGCAGGAGCACTTCTCCCAGATGTAGGCTCTAACCTTGAAGGAACAGTGGCTCTCACAGGCCCGGTAATAATGTGAGCATAAAAAAGCAAAGTGGCTGGGTGCGGTGGCTCATACCTGTAATCCCAGTATTTGGGAGGCCAAGGTGGGTGAATCACCTGAGGTCAGGAGTTTGAGACCAGCCTGGGCAACACGGTGAAACCCCGCCTCTACTACAAATACAAAAGTTAGCCCGGTGTGGTGGCACACACCTATAGTTCCAGCTACTCGGGAGGCTGAGACAGGAGAATTGCTTGATTCTGGGAGGCGGAGGTTGCAGTGAGCTGAGATCACACCACTGCACTCCAGCCTGGACGACAGAGCGAGACTTTGTCCCCACCCCCCCCCCCACCCCCCCAAAAAAGCAAGGGAAACTGTTAGGGCACCTCTGATCCTTCCAGTGTCTGTATCTGTGTTTGCTGGCTTTATCATTACTCTTGCCCTGGAGCCTCCTGCAGGCCTCATGTGTATTCATCGCAAATATACCATCTCCAATGTGCCTGGCATGAGGTCAGGCCCTGGGGATCCAGTAATGAGACATAGTTCCTATCTATATATTGTCTCTTCCTTTTTCTATGCACCCCCTAAAGCTGGAGATGCTGTTTTACCTATTCTTCAAAAGACTTTCCTAGCTATGTGTAACTCATAGTAATAATCAAGGGAGTATCTATGATTAATAATATATATATTTTGAGACAGGGTTTCACTCTGTCACCCAGGCTGGAATGTAGTAGCACAATCACAGCTCCTTGCAGCCTCAACCTTCCCTGGCTTAGGTGATCCTCCCACCTCAGCCTCCTGAGTAGCTAGGATTACAGGTGCCTGCCACCACGCCCAGCTAATTTTTGTATTTTTTATAGAGACAGAATTTCGCCATGTTGCCCAGGCTGGTTTCGAACTCCTTGGCTCAAGCTGTCCACCTGCCCTGGCCTCCCAAAGTGCTAGGATTACAGGCATGAGACATTGGGCTTGGCCCGATTAAACTTTTTAAGAGGACTTGTCCCATCATTTCATGTTAATTCTCCTGTTTTTAAGTAGTCAGTTTAGTAGCAATATTTTAACTTATTCTAATACTCATTAATTTATTAACAAATATTTTTGGATGTCTCTTATCTGTAAGGTGCTATGTGGTTCATGTTTTTGATGAGTGATTATTTTCGTTTGTACAGATCGTTTAAATGAGAGTTTGCAGAAGATGAAAGGGGAGTCTTGCATTCAGCAATTTGCCCTGTATTTAATGAGCCAGCCACCTTGTGTCTTCCCCTCCTATGACATAGCCCTTCAGCTCACCCTACAATTGCCACATGAAAACTTCTCTCATGAAACCCACAGGGTCAGTATCTCTCAAATACTCTTTTTCCTCCACTTCTGGGGCATGATCTTGCAATGTACTCCTTACTGCCCCATCCTGGAAACTTGTGCCTATATCCTTGTTTTCTATACAGTGTTTAGCCAAGGTCCTTGACCGGAATATAGATCACAAAAAGTACTGGTTGTCAAATGTCAAAGTAACTGACATTTAACAGAGAGATTATATTTGAGGATGCCAAGAATTAGCAAACATTTTTTTCTGATCATCTCAGGCTATTTGAAGAAGTTATGAATTCACCGAATTGACTGAAACCTGCCCTCTGAATAATTCTTCAGCACTATATAAACCAAAGTTTGTGTTGGTTCAAGCAGGCAGGAGGGCTGTGCATCTGTGGTATGGGAGCCCCCTCAACTAGAGGCTAGAAAAAAACAGCATTTATGCTGCAGCTGGTTTTGGTATCAGATGAGCAGCTTTAAATTGGGAGTTAGGAGAACTGGAAGACTTGAGTCCAAGAGGAAGGTAGTTGAAGCAGAGATGGCTCAGAAACCACTAGGATCTGTGCATCAACACCTGCCTCAGGTCTTTATGGACATAACTGCTAAACCTTTGGAAGCCTGAGGTTTACAAACCACTTACCTTAAATGTTTACGCTTAAATTTTAAGAAAAAAATTTTAAAAGTTTACCAAAGGATGCTCAATTCCTGGAATAGAATAGACCTTCATTTTACAATTGATATTTGGAAAAAATTCTGGGTTAGTTCCTATTAGATTCAATGAAAATCAGCAGTGGAAGAATTTATTCTCATGATCGTGATTGAACTTACCTTGGGTGGGTGCTTCAGTTCTGTGTCTTTGTGTCAGGAAAGGCTGTGGGCTGGAAAGAGCCCTGAGCTCAGCTGTGTCTCATGTCAGCCATGCTCCTTCAGAACCACAGAATAAGGCAAGGACTAGACATCTGAAATCATTCACAGCTAATAGCTGTAATTCCATCATTTAGTTCATTAATTCAACAAATGTTTATCAAGCATCACCTACTAAGTGCCAGGCATCTTCCTAAGTGCTAGTTTACAGCAGTGAACAAACAGAATCCCTACCCTTGAGAAGCTTCAATCTGCAGCATGGGTGAAACTGACAGTGAGCAAGATAAATCAGTAAACAACAGTAGATATCAGAAGGTGAGAGAGAAGTACTGTAGAGAACTCCCTCGAAACAGAGCAGAGGAACGGGAAGGATTTGCAGTTTTCGATAAGGAAAGCTTCCCTGAGAAGGTGACCTTGAATAAAAACTAGATGGAGGTAAGGAGGCAAATGCCACAGGTATCTGGGGGAATCTTCCTGACAGAGGAAAGAGCACATGCAGATGCCCTGAGGCAGGAGCTAGTTGGCAAGTGTGAGAAATAGCAAGCGGTGGAATGATCCTGAATAGGAGATAAGGTCAGAAATGGGGAGCGGGGGCAGCTCTTGATTATATAGTGTCTTGAAGGACTTTGTTATACCTCTGGATTTTACTGAGTGAGGAAGAAAGCCACAGGGGCGTTCTAAGCAGAGCGAAGATAAGACATAACTTATCTTTTAAAAGAATCACTCTACATGACATGCTAAGAAGAGGCTATAGAGGCAAAGCAGGGAGCCCAGGTGGGAGGCTTATGCGACATTCCAGACAAGAATTGATGGAGGTGGTAAAGGGGCGATCCATTTGAAAGGTTTGCATATGGTAAGTTGTGAGTGTGGGACAAAGTGTAGAGTCAAGGATAGTCCAAGCATTTTGGCCTGAACAGCTAGAAACATGGGAGTGGCCATTAACTCAGGCAGGGTACTCTGTGACCATAGCAGATGTTTGGAGACTGACCAGTTATTCTGTTTTGGACATTGAAAGTTTTATAAGGGCATGAGACCTCCAGGAGAAAACGTTGGGTAAACAGTTGGATACAGAAGTATGCAACTCAATGAAGACATCTGGGATAAAAATATATAGTTGAGAGACATGAGCATACGGATGGTATTTAAAGCCATCAGCCTGGATGAGCACACCAAGGTATGAGTGAGAAAGAAGTTATTGAATGAAGGGTTTAAGGACTGACCTTTGGGGTACTCAATTTTGAGTCTGGGACACAGGGAAATAGCAAAGGAAGGTGAGAAAAAGCAACCATTAAAAGAGAAGGAAAGCCAACCCAGAGAAGAGTCCCAGAAGCCAACTGAAGAAGAGGATATGAAGAAGATGTGATCTGCTGGGTCAAATGCTGTAAATAAGATGACAACTGAGAACTGAGCAGTATATTGAGCACCGTGGACATCATTGGTGGCCTTGAGGAGAATTGTTTGGGTGGTGTGGTGGGGCAGATGGTTTTTGGAGGGAGTTGACAACAAAATGGAAGAAGAGGAACTGGAGACAAGTGTAAAGACTCTTGAAGAGTTTTACTGCAAAAGGAAGAGAAGAATAGTCTGGTACCTTATAGGGGAACTTCAGTCAGGAGGATTCTGTTTTGTTGTTTGGTTTGGTTTTTGCCTTTAGAGGGGTGAAACAACAGTATGAAGGTTTATTGCTGGTACTGATGTAGTAGAGAGCAAAAAGTTAAGATACGGAGGGGAGAATTGCTATTGGGTTGCTGAGTAGGGAGGAAGAGATGGGGTCTGTTGACGAGGTGGCCCTGTTTTAGGAATATAGTTCATCCTCTGTAACAGGAGGTAGGCAGAGTGTATGGGCAAGATTCTCACAGGTAGAGAGAGGTGGTGGTGAGACCATGTGCCAGTTCTTTTCTGATTGCTTCAGATTTTTTAGTGAAGTCAGAAAACAGGTCACCAACAAAGAGTGATGCTTGGGTAGAAAATGATAGAAATTTGAAGATAGAGAAGGAAGATAGAACATTGTCATCAAAGAGAGTGAGAGCACGAGTGGACTAATGTCTAATACTGCAGACTAAATTTTAATGGTAACAGTAGATTTTTATTAACCTACATTTGTCAATGCTTTTCCATTTACCAAGTGCTTTCTCATATGTTGGTTGCCCCAACAACCCTGTGAAGTTGGCAGAGAGTTGGGTGTTCTAAAATCACACAGCTTGAAGTCAAAGTGTGGATCTCAAATCCAGGTCATCTGAATTGCAGTATAGAATTCTTTCCTTCTGTTAATATTCTCTTTTTAAATGACTGTTAATTCGTGATGATTTCCAGGTCTGAATGTACTCATAGGATCTCTTTTTTCCCCTTATGTGTTTTATTGCTCTGAATAGTCCTAGAGAGAAAAGATCAGATTAAGTATTTTTTGTTCATTACTATGAAATGTTGAGTTTCACCATTTTTCAGTTATAGTCCAGTGTATAGCAAGTTTTAATGGGGACAAAGTCCTTGCAGAGCTTAAAAATGAAACCTTCTTAATAGGAAAAACATAACCTTGTTAATGGAAGTTTTGGTTGCTTTCCAGCCCAAAAATACATTTTTAGAAATATATTAATTAACACTAGAAGTTATAATTTCCTTAAGTGCAAAGTATTATCATAAATAAGGTTGAGGAATATGGAATTGCTCTTCTTACCTTGCAGTCACATCTCATACAATGCTAATTGTGCCATACGCATAAGTAATATTGGGTTAAAATATCTCTCATGTTCCCTTAGAGATGATTAGAATTTTTAGGTGGAAATATTTTCCTATTGTATTAGAAGTCATTTAATCAGTCTTAATTCATACATCTCCTCAAAATGCCTACTCTTAAAATCAACTCTTTGGCATACTCCGCCATCTGAATATTTGCTCATTTCTTTCCACCTTTTTTCAGACTTGATTCTGTGGCCCTATATCATGTTTGTGAACCTCATGTTGACGTCAGTCAGCATTTCAGTTCAGTATTACTCTCTATACCATAAATCACTGGAGTTTCTAAGTCTCTCATTAGCTTGATTCAAATCTTACATAAGATTTAGTTAGTGTCAGAACAATTCAACTGTGCACAAATTCTGGTCAAACAAAAACTATAAGAATTGAGATCATTTTAGAACATCTGTAGAAAAGTAGTAGATTTGATAGCCTATTATAATTCTGTTAGCTCATTAATATAACAAATTTATGAAAATATTGTGGACTCTTTTCTAGAATTCTTTAAGATAGATTAAGTTTTCTTATAGTACTTCACATATGGTTTTGCCTGGATAAAAGGCAATATATCTAGAATCTTTGATCTCTTACAATACTCTCCAAGGAAAATGGTCAGAATAAAAATTTCAAATGTCAATATCTGGTCTATAAAAAATTCTAATAAGTGCTTTTTAAATAAAACATTTCAATAGGGTATTTTTATTGTGGTGAAATATATATTGCATAAAATTTACAATTTTAACTAAAGTGTGTAATTCAGTGGCATTAATTAATTCAGTGTTTTGCAACTATCACCACTATTTCCAAAACCTTTTCATTACCTAAACTTAATAAGTGCTTTTGAAATTACAGGAAAATATTAAAACTTTTCTATGCCGGTTGACTAACCCTGAATAATGCCTTGAGTTTTAATAGGTCAGTAAAAATGTTTTGGGTCAAAAACAGAGTGTTCATTTTGTAATATTTTTGTTTCTTACTAGGATAAACTTAACCACATCTTTTGGCTCATTGATTATTGTTAAAATTCAGTTTTTTTGGGGGGTAGGGTGATTGCTTTTGTGAGCCTTCTTTTAATCCTTTTTATCAGAGTATCACAAAATTAAACTCAACATCTGTTTAACATCAGAGAGATTTGATGATCATGTGCGTTGCCACATGTACAGTCCAAAGATGAAACTCAGTTCAGTTTAAAGAGACTCCAAAAACAGATGACTAAAGGAAACAGTACTTGGAAATGGGAGTGAGAGAAACATTCATCTTACTGAGTCATTATGGGTCAAAGCCTTCCATGTACTGTGTAAAAACCATAGAAAGAACCAGTTTGGTAAATTCCAATGAAGTGATCATACATTGAGCACATTTATAACTTTTCAATTTAAAGCATTGGTCCATTTGCTTTTGGATAATAGTGGGGATGATTTCCTAGTAACTGATGATATGTACTAGTAAGTAATAAAACTGAGTTTCCCTACATATGGTGTGTTTGTTATAACCTACACCTCTTTCTTCACCTATAAAACACATATTTGCCCCTAAGGATCTAAATTAAATACTTTGTTTTGTGAAGTCTTCCTCAACTCCCATAGACAGTCAATCAGTCTTCCTTTGGTGTTAATAATATGCTATAAGAAATACATATTATAGCAAACATCACATTAAATTCCTGTTTTTTCTACACTGTGAGCTGCTCAAGGGTAGAGGCTATCTTTTATTCCTGCTTATATTCTCAGTATAGTTCATGTTCCATAGTAGAATCCCATTAAATATTTGTTGACTCACTATTTGAATGGATGAACTGATCAATGTAAGCATCCATACTGGAGTCTTCATTTTTTAACAGCATCTCAATTATAAGATGTTCATATTTTATTTACTAAGGCAATTAGCAAAATATATATAGGGTTCAGTCGTATGCATTGAGGCAGCAGACATTTCCATTTATGACATAAGCTGAAGGCAAAGTATTCTTATCACAAACTCCTGGGCATTTGTCAGTGCCTGTAGAAAACTCAAATGACATCTGCAATAGAAATACCTGGATGTCTGTGTTTGTTGGTTGTGGGGTTTGAGAAGGCATTACAGGGGGATGTGTCTCCTCCAAGTTGCCTATGCTAGACTGTGATATCTCCATCATCTGCTTTGTTCCTGGGCAAAGGCTCAGCACTGGCCCCAGTCATGGGCACTGGTTGGGGGAACATTCCATTTGACATGGCGCCTACCACAGAGGTGTGCTCGTGTTGGCACTATAGCTGTTAACAGTACCACAGAGGTAATAGCACAGAGGGAATAGCCTGACCCAAGGTGTCACCATGCATCTCTGTGACTAGACAGTGGGACTTCCCTTACTCCTCTCCAGGCTCTGTTTTTAAATTTTTTTTATTTTTTTATTTTATTATTATTATACTTTAAGTTTTAGGGTACATGTGCACAGTGTGCAGGTTAGTTACATATGTATACATGTGCCATGCTGGTGTGCTGCACCCATTAACTCGTCATTTAGCATTAGGTATATCTCCTAAAACTATCCCTTCCCCCTCCCCCCACCCCACAACAGTCCCCAGAGTGTGATGTTCCCCTTCCTGTGTCCATGTGTTCTCATTGTTCAATTCCCACCTGTGAGTGAGAACATGTGGTGTCTGGTTTTTTGTCCTTGCGATAGTTTACTGAGAATGATGATTTCCAATTTCATCTGTTTATGGATGTAGATGGCATTTCTCTACCTTCAGTAGCTTCGTGGGACCATCCTTTCATTTCCTCTCCTTTCATTTTATCTCTCTTCCCTTTGTTTCCCTTCTGATTCCTCCTTTGCCCTGAAGGAAAGTTATGAAGCTCTAGGTGGCAGAGTGCAAATGGGTAAAGATGGGGTGTTCATTAGCGCCTGATGTATTCACTGTGTGTAAACCCAGCCTACCCATCTCAGAGACCACCTTTGCCTGAAATCCTCTATTTAACATGTGGCATTCAGAGCAGAAGCGTCTGAAAGGCACATTTCTTCCACTAAACCTCCAAGAGGACAAACCCAGCAAGGACATAGTGGATTTATCTGAGTTTAATGGTATTAGCCTGAGACCAGCCATGATGTGCCAAAGACATTGGCAATTTGGAAAACTACCAACAGAGTCCTAATGTCAGTCATGTCTGTATAGGGCTACCTTGGTGACTTTTTTGCTAAAATTCAGGGACTTAGCTGGTCTCCTCAGCCAGGCAGTTGGAGTGATTTATTTTCTGGGACTGAAATGACCAGTGGATTCAGTGAAAGCAATTAGACTGACTTTGTATAGATACTGGAATTTTCCTTTCCCATGATTAACAAACAGAGTAATTAAGCCTCGTTTGTTTGTGCTCATTCTGGAACAGAACAGCTATGGCAAAGGGGGAGGGGAAAGGGGTTGACTTTTCTCTGGCACTGGAAATCAAAATGCACATTTGTCTTTGTGTATACAGAAAGAGAGGGAAAAAGAGAACAAGAGGGGCAGAGAAGGAGAGAGGCAGAGAAGAAGTGAGGCAGAGAACAGAAATTACCTGCTTTAGAGAGTGGAGTGGGGTTGGGACTCCCTTTCCAGGGGTTGGAAGATTAAGGCAGCACTTGGGTCTGGAACACTGCTACTGTTCCCCAGGTATGGTTAAATAGATACATCTTGGCAACAGATTCAGAATCCCCCCCCAAGACCTGTAATTAACCGTTACAATTGCCTATGTTTTCCAAAATGAAAATTTCCTTAAAACTTAATCCACATATTTTAACCTTTTAAATCTTTTGTAAAGAGATAAATAGCATGTGGGGGAAGTTACCCCTTCTTGAAGAATGACGATTAACCTGAACTCAGCTATAATTATAAGGAAAGGAGAATCTTTAGAAAAGCAATGGCAGGGTACTAGGTTTTATATCCTGTTGTACCTAGATTTAGAGTATTTTGGTTTCCATTACAGCTGCCTGAGCATTTCTTCCTCTGTGTAAGATGATTTTTAGATTTCTCATTCACCACATGCTTTAAATTTTAATAACGTTATAGACATGGAAGGTCCTGATTTTCTGCCTCTTACCAGTCTCATCCTCTTACCTCAGCTGCTAGAAACTGTTCTCTCCACAGTAAGCCTGTTTGCATCCTAAAGCCTTCAGCAGTGAGGGTGGAAATGGGTTCTTGAATATCAGGCTCAGAGTGGGGACCTGTGACCTGCTTTCCAGATGGAAACCATGAGAGCCGTGCATGTAGACATATTCCCAATTGCTGAAAACAAAGAGGTGGTAAGCACAGGATGGTGCTGGTGGCGAAGAACCATGTCTTCTCATTTAACAAAGACTATTCAGAAAATAGACATTTTAGAACAAATCTGAATGCTAATAGAATTTCTGAAAAGGGAGAGAATGGATATAAAGTATACTGTAATCAACACTGGGAAGTTCTGGTAGACCAAAATGAATGTACAGTTTCTGTGTGGCAGCCTGCAGCCAAGCCAGATGGCTGACAGTGGGCCTTACCTTCACTACCTCTTGAGTATAGACAATGAAAAAAATTGAGAACATGGAAAGAGTTTTATCAAGACTTGGAAGATCTTTAAATCATCCTTGCATGTAGTGCACAATCATGGCTCACACACCAGCTATCTTGCTTCCCAGTTATGAAAATGGAGCACTCTGTCCCCACCCCCAACATGACCCACAGGAATCTGTGTCTCCTGGAAAGGCTGGGGACTGCAGTGGCCATTGAGACCAAGTGGAAAAAAAATCTCAGTGCACCCAGCAGGCCACTTCTCTCTAGCAATATCAAAGTGTGCTGTTTAGGAAAGCCAGCCTCTTCCTTAGTTTGAGATCCTCTATTTTTATATAATATTAACTCTCATTTCAATGTGAACATCTGAACAAAAAGTTTTTTCCAAATGAATAGAGCCAAGGGGAGATATTGTATTGAGTGTGGACAGCAGAATGAGAAAGAAAATGTTTTAGTACTTCTAGTTCCATTTAGTCTTCTTGATACTTTTCTCTTAGGCCAAACCACTTTGAGTAACAGAGGTCCTTGGCTAAGTTCCAGGTGGAAAGAAGCAAACTGGCATTCAGTTCCATTCTCTTTCTCATCTTGCCCTTTTTTGAGGTAGCACTGACTGGTATGTTAATTTCACTGGTTCATTTTTCATTTAATAAATATGTACCTAAGATTTACTTCATGGGAAGTGCTGTGTTAGATGCTAGTGATGCAAAGATTAAAAAGACAGGTTGCAGCCTGGAGTGACTCCTTTGGGTGGAATTAAGGAAGCATCAAGGAATTTAGCAACTCAGTGGGAAAGGATTGGGGTGGAGTTCTAGAGGGGGAATCTGCTTGAGCTGAGATAGGGCAGACAATGAGCACGAGGTGCTCCCAGCAAGGGGAATAGGTCAGACAAATGTGGGTGAGTGAGAGAATATAGAGGGAGCCATGAAGTAAATGATGAAATAAATGGAGAAGATGGGAACGTGTACTTTTATCAAGAGTTGGAGCATCTTCTCAATTGTCTTTGCATGTAGTGCATAAAACCAAGGCTCATCCATCAGTCACTCTTGGCCTATGGAAGGTGGGGTCTACATGAAATATGACCTTGGTGTTATACTAAGCAGTTTTGACTTCTAAGTATTTGGTAGGGAGCACTGAAGGATTTGCAGTTGGGACTTACATGTCCATATTTTCATTTTGGAAAATGTATTGTGACCCTCAGTTCTAAATGACCGAGCCTTACTTAAATCACCTTATGCCTAAAGGAAATTTTGAGTAAAGTTGAAATATTCTATGTCTTCTAAATAGTAACCTAAATTTCATTTAGATAATTAAATATGTGTAACTACCTTTCTTTCTCTCTCTCTCTCTTTTTTTTTTTTTTGGTCTAAGTTGGTCTACAGTGTCTGAAAGAGTTGAATGGATTTCTTTAGAAGCAGAGGAAGTGTACTTTGATACTGTTGGTGTGCCATGGATATACAAGGGCGCAGGGTTAGCCTGGGATGAATCATTCACATGAATTCAGAAACATTGCTATTAAATGAAAAAAATGTATTTATTATAGAGTAGAATGCAATTGGCATGTTTTAAAAACAAACATGAGGCATGAAGGAAGTTTCTACTTTGGGCTGAATCTCAAGCCCTTTTGGGTGGGTGCCTGCAGTGGGGTTGTCAAGAAGACTGAGAAGCACTGGGCTCTGTTGTTGAGCAAAGCCAAGCACAAGAAGGTCCTTATGCAAAGATGGTGTGTCAGGAGAACATGTCTGGGTGTTAGTTAATGCTTGTGGAACTCTCACAACTCCACTAGGGGGATGAGGAGCTGGGAAGGTGGGGGTTGTGGTGGGAGGGAGAGTCGTAATTCTTGTTTCAAGGCCTGGCTTCTTTTTTACAAGATGATTAGCTACATTTAGAAACCTATTCTTTACACATTCTTAATTTTGCTGGAGTTGGAATATCTTTTCCTCTTCTCTGTGTTGGTATTTTATGAGCAGATCAACTCAATCTGTTTTCAATAACATTCAAGTTAATAGTACTATGACTTAGATGAAAAGAAAATTAAAAGTTATCAACAGCTTGGTATACTTAACCCTTCCTAATGCTGGGCACATTGGCTCTCCTTTCCTGGATGGACTGAGAAAATTCTGGAAAGTAGTTGCCCAACAAAATAGGTTAGTACTGTACTGCACACTTTGTTCAGCTTTACTGTGGGCATTGTCAGATCAGGTTACAGCATAGGATTTAAAGGTCAATTATGCCATGACTTTAGGGGAAAGAAAGAGTGACTAGAAGGTTAAAAAAAACCCCTAAGTTTTGGCTTTTAAAGACTTATGAAATTGTATTCCCTTTGTGACATTTGATGAATCACTTTTCTTAATTTCCATTCTGATAATAATCTCCCTAACGTTTTCCTAGGAAGCTCTTTCATGGCAAAAATACTGTCCTGTAGATGCCCGAGAGAGTTGGGGCCAGTTATACAGGGTGGGGGAGAGTTGGGGTAGCTACTCCTGTCTCTCCGAGTTGATTTGATACTGCTTCCTTGAATTTACTGAAATTAAGACACCTGAAGAGATTAAAATTTTGTGGCATAAAAACAGTCACAGCTAGGCATGGAACTGGTTTCAGGGAGAATGACCAAGTTAGGCATTTAGAGGATGAGAACCAAATTACAGATATACGAAAATTAGAGAAGCCAAAATGACCCCATGCATTAATGAATGGCCTGAGGGAACATCTGTGGTTGTCTGCGTCTTAGCTTACAAACTGAATCCAGGGACGTTTTCATCACAATGCCTGCATCTGAATAGCATGGAAGGTCACCAGGATTAAGAGTTTTGACCTGTCAGCGCAATGGGGTTTAGGTTTGGTATCTTTATTTTTGGTCTGTAAGCTCTTTTGTTCAAGGCAAAGTTGATCTCTCCCTGAGCCAGGCCTTGAGTGGAGGTGGACTGGCTTCGTGTTTCTAATTAGTCAGACACTCCCCCTGCTCCTGACTACTGATGGATGTCATGTTAGTTCAGGACCCCAAGCCCTCTCTCTCTTTGAGCTGCAGTGCAGGGATCCACTTTAGTACTGAACTGTCATTTGTATGGTTAGCATGGTGGCCGGCTGTCTTGAGATTATGTTAGCAGACCCCCTCCCTATCCCTGGCTCTTGACCTTTTAGCATACAGCCTCTTGGCATTTTCCCAAATGGAATAATATATGTGTAAGCACATTGAACAGCATTATATGCTGTTTGCTAATCAGATGTGGTTGACTGTAATTATCTTGCATTCAGTTCCTTGTTGGTAGATATTCTGTACAGGTAGTTCATTCGTATTTTGGATCTTGATTAATTTTCACAGTGCCATATATTGACCTTGAAAGAAGTCTTGGTCAGTTTTGAAAATCTTTAACCATGCAATGGTTAGTCCTTCAGCCCCACCATTTACTTTGGCTGTCTGGCCTCTTACCTGAAGCATCTTATTACTTGATCTCTACTTCGAATGATCTCTTTTCCATCCTTTGGGAAGGACAGTGGCCCTTGTCCCTCAGGGGAGACCCTCCTACATGCTGTAGCTGTGAAGCTAAATGCTCACTGGTTCTTACTGGTTTAGGGGATATGGGGAGGCCTGGCTTGTCCTGGATCCCTATCTTCTACTCATGCAGTACTTCCTGTGGTTCCATTTAATTGTACATTTGTATGTTGGTCATTTCAACCTTGCTTAGTGGCCCTCTGTCCTACTTAGAGACAGCTAACTTTTTTGGCTTTCTGGAAAATTCCTTGAGATTTGTTGCAGCATTGCCCACTCCTCAGTCATGTAGGCCCTGCCTGTACTGCTTATCCTAGCTTACATTTTAAATCTCAGTACCTCAATTCTTATGATAGCCAATTCTATCTTAGTATTATGACTTCTTGATGTCCAGCAGAAAATATTGCAATCCATTAACACACAGAGTAGTGTAGACAGTTAATTGAATGGAAATATTACTAGATGTACTTTATAGATGATGAACAGATTATGACATTGTATAGATATAATTGGGTTCTTCCTTGGAGAGATTCATCAATAATAAAAACAACTTTTATTTATTGAGAACATATGCTGGATTGCATAATGCTCTAAATATTTCCTCTAACACTTTCAACCTGTATGGTGAGCATTGGTATCCCCATTTTATAGAGGAAGGACATGAGATGCTTGCCTGAGGTGGAATCAGTGTTATTGTGCCAGTATATCTGACTTCAAAGTCAGTTTTCCATTAGGCTGTGTGGCTATATATTCACAAAGAAGAATCCTAGTGGTGATAATTAGTGACCTACTATTGGCAGGAGAAGACACTAGCATTCTCTTGAATGTACACCATATTTGCTTGTCAACTGATTGATCCTTTTTTGTTATCTGCCAGACGCTGACATGGTCTTGAATTTTAAAGGTAAGTAAGACTCGGCTCTTACCTCAAACATTTCATAGTTGAGTGGGGGAACCACTTGTTTAATGTCACTGATTTTTTGGTCTGTTTTAGAAAGGTCATGAAACTACTACCTTTGAGCTTTTTCTTATTCCAACTCCCTTTTTTCCCCCCCGATAATGGAGAAAACTTCTTGCCCTAAAGAAACGCACCTTAAGGGATGGCATGGACTATTGTGGATCTTCATATGCTTGTGGGTTTTTTTTTTCTTTAAACTTATTTTGTTACTGGAGCTGTGTGATCTTTTCTTTGAGGTCAAATTCCACAAAAGGAGCTAAGATTGTATAATTATGTTTCACATCTATAGGGCCCCTCATGATCTATAAAATGCCTTCCATATACATTATTTGATTTGCTTCTAGAAGGGCAAATATTTGATCCCTGTTTCACAGTGGTACACTTAGGGGCCACTCAAGGGTATGTGATGAGCTGGACATGACCCTGAGTTCTCCCTGCCTGTGACATACCTCCCTTTCAATAAGAGGAAGAGGTGTTGCTGGCAGAAGCTTTCTGGAAGAATAGAAGGTGTATTAGAAGGAAATGTGGCTATGTGCATCCCTATTGGTGGGGAAATAGAAACTAATTGATGTACCTCACCAGGACAAATGGTTTGGCCAACTGGGGCCCAGAAACAAAGCAGGGGGAAGCCATAGAAGTCGGTGCCTGAATCAGCTAGGGCTGCCATAACGAAATACCACAGACTGGGTGGCTCATACAACAGACATTTATTTTCCCATAGTTCTGGAGGCCAAGAAGGCCAAGATCAAGGTGCCAGCCAATTTGGGTCTTGGTGAGGACCCACCTCCTGGCTTACAGACTTTTGCCTTCTAGTTGTGTCCTCCCATGGGGATGGGGTGGTTAGGGCAGACCAAGTTCCATGGTGCCCCTTCCTATATAGGGCACTAATCTCATCATGAGAGTCCTACTCTCCTGAACTCATCTAACCCTAATCACCTCCCAAAGGCACATCTCCAAATACCGTCACACTGGAGGTTAGGGCTTCACCATGAATTTTGTGGGGATACCATTCAGTACATAGCATAATGGTGGAGAGGTTAAAACATGTGGAGGAAGATCGCACTCCAGGATGGTCAGGGCAAGTGTGTGGGTGTTTAATTGTGGGCATAAAAGGCACAATCAACAAGGTTATAGAAAACAATGTCTCAGTGGTTTGTTTGGACTGCAAGTAAGAGGAAAGTGGGACTTGTGAATGCTTGGCATAACTCAGCTCTTCTCTCAACTCTTGGAAACTCACAGGGTAACCAGTCCCCCTGAGGACCAGGGAAGCTGTGACGGATGGGAGAGAGTGTTGTCCCCATTGCCATAAGCAGAATGCAGACGTGTTATTTATTTATTTTTGAGGCTATACGAATATCTGTTGTTTTGAAATATATTAGGTCCAAATTTGACCCCCTGGGAAAGTTTTCTGTCACTTGAGAGGATACTGCTTTATGTATGACCCCACTAGAAAGACTAATCCTTGGCTGGGCGCGGTGGCTCATGCCTGTGATCCCAGCACTTTGGGAGGCTGAGGCGGCCGGATCACAAGGTCCGGAGTTCAAGACCAGCCTGACCAATATGGTGAAACTCCGTCTCTTCTAAAAATACAAAAAAATTTAGCTGGGCCTGATGGTGAGTGCCTATAGTTCCAGCTACTTGGGAGGCTGAGGCAGGAGAATCACTTGAACTGGGAAGCAGAGGATGCAGTGAGCCAAGATCGTGCCACTGTGCTCCAGCCTGGGCGACAGAGCGAGACTCCATCTCACAAAGAAAGACCAATCTTTGTACTTTGGCCCAGGTGCATGGTGAAGTGTATGGTCTTGTGTTCTTTTGATATACTCACCTGATTGAGCAGAATCTCACACAAGTCTTCCCTTGCTTCCGAAGTTACAATGACTCAGTGACAGCTATAAAAGCCTTCTTTTCATGGTAATTATAATCAGACATCTGAATACATTTATGCATCTATAGCTTCTCAGTTTTACACGTAAATAGATGCCATCAGAAGTATTTTGAGGGCTGATTTAGCTCGAAGAGGGTCCATTTAAAACCTATTCTTGTGTTCCCATCATTTTCGGCAGCCAGGCAACTGAGGTCAGTGTGCTCATAAATGGCTTCGGGTGAGTGTGTGAATTAAAAGCTCCTCTCTGTGTGATGATAACAGGGTATTTTCTGCTCACAATTACAGAAGCATACATTTTGAAAGTAAATAGCCTCATAGTTGTTCTTTCAGGTACTAAAGAGCCAGTTTATCAAGAATTAAGGCCCACTGAGTTAGGGGGCATAAAAGCAGAGTGGACAGGGCAGCCTCACCAAGATGGAGCTTGAGCCAAGCGTGGTCCTCCTGGCCCCTTGTGGGCAGCCAGCAGGCTACTGACTCTGTGGTGCACTAAGGAGCTACCTTTTTGGACTGCATTACTTAAACATCAGAGGGTAAGTATTATGCACAAATCTGAGGAAGATTAAGGGATCTGGGTTGCTCTGTACCGTGAGAGATGAGATTAGCTTTCCCCAGCTGGCGAGACTGGAGACATTTTAAAAAGCATTTTAACCAGAGGGTTTTCTAAGTTCTCCTGGAATCCATTACCATCTATTAGCTTTGAAACACTGACTGCCAAAAAGATAGGGCAGTGACAGGGCGATTTGCTCTCCTTTCTGGTGAGGTTTGAATCCCAAGGTGCCAGATGAGACTGGAAGGGCTCTCCAGACCTGCCGATAGAGGTAGGGAGATATTACACAAAGCCTGCTTACAAATCGGGCAGCTCTACAGTCTCAAATATAAAATTCGGTCATTAGCTTACACTGTCACGTTTCTAGCTGAATGGCAAGAGGACTTAAGACCTTCTGTTTGGAAAGTCAGAAACTAATGTTTTTGCTTCAACTCTTAACTCACAATGATGTCGTCTCCTGTTGCTGCACAGTCCTGTGGAGAAAATCAGTCAGTATTCTTGTTTTCCTCTGGATGGAGGTGATTTTAGAGCCATTAGTGCTTCTAGAAGCTTCCCTCCCCTCTGGGTCCCTGAGGGGATTCTTTTGGTACAAGTAGACAGAGTTGTCAACAGGTGATCACGGACCTCTGAAAATAGTAGTAAAAGTAGCAATCATTATTCTGTGTGTCAGGCACTGTGCCATGGGCTTTTACTCTCCACCGTATTTAACACCTCAAAATATAATAGGAAAGCCCACCAACTTGGCATCCATTTTGGATATATTTTAAAACTAAATTTACACCCATACATTTATATTTTATAATTTTAGTATTTTTGATAATAAAATTTGTTTTTTTGATCACATAAAGTAAAAACTATTTGACATTTCATCTGTCTGTAATGACCACAAATAGCATTTTGGTGCTCATTCTTTCATATATCTCTCTCTCTTTCTGTCTCTCTCTACACATGCACTGGTGTGTGGCATGGGTATAAATAGATTTTCACAAATTATATTATATATTTTGTACTTATTGTACATAGCTTTTAAAAGTTATGTTTTGTTCCTTTCCTTCCGTTGATACTCACTCCCTGCTCACCACCATCAACCAGTGTTGAACAGCCTAGTTTGTAGATGTCCACATTTCTATCCATGTTTATGTATATATTTATGTTTTGTTTTCTACAAAAAGTCACCCTCCAAAGCGGTATTTGTCATGTGCCCAGGATCCATTATTCACAATTCAAAATGGTGGACAAGATATTCCAAAAAATGAGATTATTGAAACATATATTCTCTGTATGTTACTTTTCTCACTCAACAATACCTCATGGACTGCCCTTCCTGATGGTTTAGGGCTGACTCACTCTGTAATGGCCTTGGAATAGGATATGAGGTGGGAGACCAACCATTTTTTTTTTTTCCATTTGAGTAGTCAGTTGTGCATGTGCCATTTATCAATAAGCTGTTCTCTCCACCATGGATCACAAGACTCACCTTGTCACGTAGAAGCTTCTGTTGATACTGGAATTGATTTCTGAGTTCATCAGTCAGTTCTGTTGTTTGTTCCTATGCCATGTTTTCATTTTAGTGGATTTAAGTCTGGTATGATGCTCCCCTCATAATTCTTTTTCAAAAGTTTTCTGCCAATTTTTGGATATTTGATATTACCTAAAAATGTATTATATCCACATTAAAAATTTTGGGATTCTAATTAAATGTATATATGAATTTTGAATTTATATGCTTTATTTTTTCTTTTCCTTTTTAATGACAGTATAATGCTATTGTAAGTTTTTTCAATTTGCATTACAGATATTTTAAAAAGCCCTAAACTTTTCCAGCCACCTGATTAAATTCCTTCATTGATTCGAGTACTTTTTATTTTTAGAGTTGGTGTTCCTAGGAGTATGAATATATTATTAGCAAGAAGGGAAAATTTTGTCTTCTCATTTACTCTGTTTATAGTAACTATTTTTTCCCCTCAATTTGAATTATAATGATAACAGCAGGTATCCCATCTTATTCCTGGCATTTGATTGTTTGGAATGATGTTTGCAATTGATTTTTGATGAATCCATATTCAAGAGGTTTCTTTTATTCCTATTTTACTTGAAGTTTTATTAGAAATGGCTGTTGAATTTCACCAAATGCTTTTTTAGAACCTATTGATGTAACCAACCACTTTTACTCCGTGCATTTGTTGCTCTCATGAATGATGGTAATGGATTTGCTGATGTGAAAACTGCCTTTCTGGAGTTGTCCTTGTTTGATCATTGACAATATTCATTTGATATAGTTTTGGGTTTTACTTCATAATGTTTTATTTAGAATTTTAACGAATATTTACAAATGAGATTGCTCTGTAGTTTTCTTTTATTGTACTGCCTTTACCAGTTTTGGTTTTAAGGCCAAACCAGTTTAATGATATGGACTTAGGTGATTTTCCCTATGTTTCTATTGTTTTGAATAATTTAAATAACATTTCTTTCCTTTAAGTTATATAGAACTCTCTGTGAAATCAACTGTTTTTGCCCTCTGCTTTTTTTTTCCTCTTAGAAAATCACTTCTCCTATCTCTCCTGTGGTAACTGGTCTATTCAATTTTCTACTTGAGTCAGTTTTGTTCCTTTATATTTTGTGGAAAGTCACACCAAGAACTTCAGAATGCTCTTCTCTCTTCCCCTTCTGCCTGCAGCCCTGCTTCTTCCTAATGCCTATGTTTTCTTTTGTTCCTGAGTATTACTATACCCTTGAAGTTTGCCTCTTATTTCAGAAATCTTTAATATTTATTTACATGTTCTCAGTCATGGTATCATTATCCATTTAGATTTCATAGTGTATTTGCAAGATACCCTTCTCACCACTCTTTTCTCCTTTCCCCTCCCCTGTCCCTGGAGATCTCTGCTCTGATTTATTTTTGTTGCATTAGAGTCTTTCTTGGTGTTTTCCTCAGATGAAGCATGGGGTTGATTTACTATTGAAACTGCATTATTCCAAAGATTTTCTTTCTAACTGTATAATCTTGAGAATGTTATTTAACTTATCTGGGTCTCAGTCTCCTTAACTGTAAAATGGGAATTCTAAGAACAGAGACCTTACAGGAACTTTATGAAGATGAAATGAGTTAATATATGCATTCTGGTTATCTGTTGCTACATTGTCCTTCAGTAGCTGTGGGACACTGGTTCCAGGACACCCTCTGCCCTCCCATACCAAAATCCACAAGTGCTCAAGTCCCTTATATAAAATGGCTTATTATTTGCATATAACCTTTGCAGCTCTCCTATATACTTTAAATCATTTCTATATTATAATACCTAATACAATGTAAATGCTATGCAAACAGTTGTTATACTGTATTTTTTATGTTTTAAAAAATATATTCTATCTGTGGTTGGTTCACTTCATCGGTGTCGAACCTGTGGATATGGAGGGCCAGCAGTATATAATGAACTACCTTAAAACAGCAGTGTGACAACTATGTATTATTATCTCTCATAGGTCTATGAGTTGGCTGGGTTTAGCTGGGCAGTTCTTGCTTGGGGGCTGTCATGGTTGGAGTCAGATAGCAGCAGTGGCTGGAGTCATCTGAAGGTTCAGCTGGGCTGGGAGTCCCAGATGGCTTTTTTATTTATTGTTTCAGTGTTCCTCCATGAGGCCTCTGTCTCCATCAGAGTAGCCTGGATTTCTTACCTGCTAACTCAAGGTTCCCAGAGGCAGAAAACTGCTGGTCTTCATAATGTCTTGGCCCAGAACTGGTGTAGCAGTGCTTCAACCACATTCTATGAGGTGGAAGAATACACTCTACCTTGAGTTGGAGGAGTGGCACAAGTAGAGAGGGAGGGAAGGAATTAATGATAGCCACATTTATAGACAAACTACCACAATAAGTGAAGTGCTTAGACTAGAATCTGGCACTGAATGAGTGCTGTAGAATTATTAACTCAGTGATATTATTGCAGTTGTTAAATTACCTTCAGAATTTGCTTTTACTCTGAGAGCTGAATGATGTCTTGTATGAGTATAGAAGTCTAGGACTGTGGTTCTTTTCTGTAAGTAATGTGCAGATGAAGTGTGATGCCAGTCTAATGACTTTTCCTTTGTAGGCAAGCTGTTATTTTTATCTAGAAGCTTTCAGGATTTTTCAGTAAAAGCAGAAATAAGATAGTTATCACCACTTATTAACAGACCTTTGGAGGTTCTAGAAAATATAAGACAAGAAAAGGAAGAAGTAGATGTTGAAAAAAATAAAATATCCTCTCTGTGCTGATGATTATTTTTAGCAAGCCCAGGAAACTCCATTAAGAAAAAAAACAACTAACTAGAATTAAAGAGGGAACACGGTAAGATGAGACATTACAAGATAAACATGTAAACACAATAGCTTTTCTTTTTTTCTATTCTAGCAAGTACCATAGTTTGGATTGATAGAAGTCTTTTATAATATATTCTTAACCTGGTACTGGACGAGCTCTTTCAGTTCAGTTGGATGAGACTTCTTATGCCAACTGAAGTCTTTTAAAAAAGCAGGGATTTTTTTCTCTTTTATTTCTTCAGTTACTGTCTCTCTTCCATATACTCCTTTTTCTCTATTATTTGCTTGGCTGTGATATGACAATTGCCTTTTCATGGGAAGATTTGTTCTTTTGTTGTAAAGTTCTGTTTTTCCTATTGTAGAAGATTATCCTTTATGATATGATGGGAATAGCAAAGATGGCTTTGTGTGTGTGTGTGTGTGTGTGTGTGTGTGTGTGTATGTGTATGTGCACACTCGTTTTGTTGTTTTTGTCTCCTGGCTGTCCTGAAAGTGTTCCCAGCAGATTTTCAGAGGGATGCTGCTTTCCTTACTTTCCTGTTACTGAGGAGGCTAGAGTGGGGAAGGGATGGGGGTAGCAGAGAAGCTTTCCTGGAGACCTCCACAAAGGACAGGCAGCTAGACCTGCTCCAGCCCTAGCCCTCTCATGGGGTTGTTGCTGTTCACAGTTCCCAAACAGCTCGACCTGAATTGAACTCTGAGGGTGAATAGAACAATGAGAAGCCTGGAAACCAACATAAGGGGACTCAGCCACCAGAAAATAATAAGCAGAAGGTAAGTGGTGCAAGTCAAACAGAATGGATAGAGGAGAAGGTTTAATCCTAACAAAAAGGTATAAAATAATTCCATTGCAAAAAATGAAGTTTTCTAGAATTTAAACGAGTAGTTTAAAAATGAGACATTCAATATATGGAAAAGATACCCAAGAAATTGCTAAGAGATTACCTCCAGAGAGGAGGCAAAGGGATGGCTGGGGACCAAGGTGAGAAGATGACTTCCTTTATTCATTGACATTTGCCACTATGCCAAAATGATATATCATGTATATATGCAGTTATGTAGTTGAATGGAGAATGAAGAGGAAGGTGTTAAAAAAAAAATCAAGCAGTGGTGTTAGGCCAGGGTGGAAATTTCCTGTTTATGAATTATAGTAGAATACAACATTTAATTTGGAATTAAAAAAAATACATCTTTTTTTTATTTTCTTCTAATGAAACTGCAACAGTGTTATTAGTACCTGTAACTTTGTCAGCAATAGAAATCAAAAATATTTTCATATAATATTACAGTTGTTGCAGACATCTTGAATGTCATTTATGTTCATCAGAGCTTAAAGTTATAATTGTTCATAGTACCACCACTAGAGCTTGGTATTTAATGTCATAATAAAAGCACATGTTATTGAGTTTGTGTATTTTAGTATTTTGATACTTAAATAGGATTGGTTTCCTTAGTAATCCTATGGATTTCACTTTATACATTTAAACATATTATATTTGGGGTAGGGTCTCTAGCTTTCATTAGACTGCCAAAGGGATCATGCCCTCAAAAAGGTCAAGAAACCTATGGGATATAGGGACCATTGGAGTAAACTATTGGCCCAGAAGATCAAGTGGAAGAGCAAAAACATATAAAAATATAAAAATAAAAGTGGAAAAAAACCAAATAAAATATAAATAATAAATTATAAAATAAAATATATAAATTATAAGTATATGGATAAATAAAAATAAGTACATAATGAAATAAATAAAATCATTAGAGGGACATAAAGAGACTTGGAGGACAGTCTAACACACCCAAAATGGGAAGAACAGAATCCTTCATAATAAAAGGATAAATCTTCCCAACAAAGGATGGTGGTTGGGAACATTATGTCTAATAAGGCTTTTGTCCTTTGTTGTTGCTTTATTTGGATGCTCATTTTAAGAAAAACACAGCATTGGCAAAGCTTTGTTGGACCACACTTTTGCTGGTCCACAAAACCCTCCAGCTGACAACCCACAGATGCAGGGTGGAAAAGCCTGTGTGACTGTCGGAGGGGAGCAGCTGGGTCCTTCCCAGCACACTGCAGCTGGAGAGAGTGTCCTGGCAGTGGGAAGTCTCAGCACAATGGCCTGGTGCTTTTCCACCTGTGAGAACAGCTAGTGAGTGATGCGTGCGCTGCGTTGGCAGCAGCTGCAGTAGTGTGTCCACTGTCTGAGCACTTCTTGCCACTTATTCTACCCTCCTGGGTTACCCAGCTCTTACCATTCTTATAGGGGGTAATGAAGACATGGATTTGAGAACCCTTGAATTGTTTCCTGCTGATCGATAGGTCGCACATGGCTGTTTACCTAGCAAACGGAAAGCAACATCAGTTCTTGAGACTGGTGACTGTATGTGAGAAAACGATAAAAGGATGGGGGCAGGGTGTGTGTGTGAGTGAATGCCGCATTGGTGTGTTTACAGTTCAGTGTCTTTCCGGAGCATGAGAGACGAACAAGTATTGTTTAAACGAATGCTGTTTAAACCCTGGGATTATATAGTCATGTGAACTTTTTTGGAGGAAACTGCAAATGTTGCTAGCCATTGTAATTGTGTTAGTTCTTGACTAAATGTCGTATATAAACTTCCTGGTAACAATTTTAATAACGTTTGCTACTTAATTATAACAGCATTTTACAAAAGTGTCAGGGCATCCTTAATTTATGTTTTGATAAGAGTGAAAGATTCAGAAAGTTTGCTTTCAGTTATCTAAAACTTGGGGCCTTCTCCAGCATATGCAAACAAATAGTAATGCTTAAATGCACTGTGTGTATGAGATGGGTTTTTGTTTGTGTAAATCTAGATGGATCCTCACTCCGGGGGCTTAACTAAATTGGGATTTACTTTTCTCGGTAATATGAAGACTGGTAGTGGGTAGCTGAAAGCAGGTATGAAAGCTTTGGGGGATACCATTCTCATTTCATCTTTCCATACCTCGTGCTCCCCCAAATGACAACCATGCCTTTGGGCTTCTTATCTGTATTTCAGGCAGCTAGAAGGCTGAAGGACAAAGAAGGAAAAGCAAAAGTCCAGTGCAAAGCTTTCTTGGAAGGCCTGCTAGTGGCTTCCACTTACATCTCATTGATCAGGAATGCACCATATGTCCATCAGTATGGATCCATCTAGTGGCTTCCACTTACGTCTCATTGATCAGGAATGTACCACATGACCATCAGTATGGTTCCATCCAGTGGTTTCCACTTACATCTCATTGGTCAGGAATGCACCACATGACCACCTGTATGGAATTCTGGGAAGTGTATTTTGGGTCAGGCCGGTTGCCACCCTGAACAAAATTTTTCTATTCATAATGAAGAAGGAGTGATTGGATTTGGGATATGTAAGCAGAAGTGCCAGGCACAGGAGCCTTCACCATTCCCCTCTATCTTTGTTCCAGCTGATTTCTGCTCATCTGGAAGGCTCTGTCTGTGCCATCTCTTCCAGGAAGCCCTCTGTGAGCCCCAGGTGGGGTTAAGTGTCCATTCTTCGAGCATTGATGGTACTCTGTATCCACACATCTCATATTCCCTGTCTTTTTCCACATACACATTTTCTATATCTGGTGGAAATCTCTACTTTAGGAATATTACCTCATTATGCTTGTAAGTGCCTTGAGAGTAGGATTTGTGTCCAATGTTTATTCCCAGATCTTTTATTTTTAGTATTATTTTAATTTAAAATTTTTAAATCTCAATAGGTTTTTGGGGAACAGGTGGTGTTTGGTTACATGAATAAGTTCTTCAGTGGTGATTTCTGAGATTTTGGTGCACCCAACACCCGAGTAGTGTACACTGTACCCACTGCATAGTCTTTTATCCCTTGCCACCCCCCACCCCTTCCCCCGAATCCCCAAAGTTCAATGTATCATTCTTACGCCTTTGCATCCTCATAACTTAGCTCCAACATATGAGTGAGAACATGTGATGTTTGGTTTTCCACTTCTGAGTTACTTCACTTAGAATAATAGTCTCTGGATACCTAATTCATGAGAGGCTTAAAACCTAGATGACGGGTTGACAGGTGCAGCAAACCACCATGGCACATGTATACCTATGTAACAAACCTGCACGTTCTGCACGTGTATCCCAGAACTTAAAAAAAAAAAAGAATAATAGTCTCCAATTCCATCCAGGTTGCTGCAAATGCCATTATTTCATTCCTTTTTATGGCTGAATAGTATTCCATGGTGTGTGTTTGCGTGTGTGTGTGTGTGTGTGTGTGTGTATTACATTTCCTTTATCCACATGTTAACTGATGGGCATTTGGGCTGGTTCCATATTTTTACAATTACAAATTGTGCTCCTGTAAACATGCATGTGCAAATATCTTTTTCATATAATGACTTATTTTCCTCTGGGTAGATACCTAGCAGTGGGATTGCTGGATCAAATGGTAGATCTATTTTTAGTTCACTTAGGAATCTCCACACTGTTTTCCATAGTGGCTGCACTAGTTTACATTCCCACTAACAGTGTAGACGTTTTCCCTTTTCTCCTTGGCATCCATGCCAACATCTGTTATTTTTGATTATGGCCATTCTTGCAGGAGTGAGTTGGTATTATATTGTGGTTTTGATTTGCATTTCCCTGATGACTAGTGATGCTGAGCATTTTTCCATATACTTGTTGGCTGTTTGTGTATCTTCTTTTGAGAATTGTCTATTCATGTCCTTAGCCCACTTTTTTTTTATTTTTTTATTTTATTATAATTATACTTTAAGTTTTAGGGTACATGTGCACAACGTGCAGGTTTGTTACATATGTATACATGTGCCATGCTGGTGTGCTGCACCCATTAACTCGTCATTTAGCATTAGGTATATCTCCTAATGCTATCCCTCCCCCCTCCCCCAACCGCACAACAGTCCCCAAAGTGTGATGTTCCCCTTCCTGTGTCCATGTGTTCTCATTGTTCAATTCCCACCTATGAGTGAGAACATGCAGTGTTTGGTTTTTTGTCCTTATGATAGTTTACTGAGAATGATGATTTCCAATTTCATCCATGTCCCTACAAAGGACATGAACTCATCCTTTTTTATGGCTGCATAGTATTCCACGGTGTATATGTGCCACATTTTCTTAATCCAGTCTATCATTGTTGGACATTTGGGTTGGTTCCAAGTCTTTGCTATTGTGAATAGTGCCGCAGTAAACATATGTGTGCATGTGTCTTTATAGCAGCATGATTTGTAGTCCTTTGGGTATATACCCAGTAATGGGATGGCTGGGTCAAATGGTATTTCTAGTTCTAGATCCCTGAGGAATCGCCACACTGACTTCCACAATGGTTGAACTAGTTTACAGTCCCACCAACAGTGTAAAAGTGTTCCTATTTCTCCACATCCTTTCCAGCACCTGTTGTTTCCTGACTTTTTAATGATTGCCATTCTAACTGGTGTGAGATGGTATCTCATTGTGGTTTTGATTTGCATTTCTCTGATGGCCAGTGATGGTGAGCATTTTTTCATGTGTTTTTTGGCTGCATAAATGTCTTCTTTTGAGAAGTGTCTGTTCATGTCCTTCGCCCACTTTTTGATGGGGTTGTTTGTTTTTTTTCTTGTAAATTTGTTTGAGTTCATTGTAGATTCTGGATATTAGCCCTTTGTCAGATGAGTAGGTTGTGAAAATTTTCTCCCATTTTGTAGGTTGCCTGTTCACTCTGATGGTAGTTTCTCTTGCTGTGCAGAAGCTCTTTAGTTTAATTAGATCCCATTTGTCAATTTTGGCTTTTGTTGCCATTGCTTTTGGTGTTTTAGACATGAAGTCCTTGCCCCTGCCTATGTCCTGAATGGTAATGCCTAGGTTTTCTTCTAGGGTTTTTATGGTTTTAGGTCTAACGTTTAAGTCTCTAATCCATCTTGAATTAATTTTTGTATAAAGTGTAAGGAAGGGATCCAGTTTCAGCTTTCTACACATGGCTAACCAGTTTTCCCAGCACCATTTATTAAATAGGGAATCCTTTCCCTATTGCTTATTTTTCCCAGGTTTGTCAAAGATCACATAGTTGTAGATATGCGCCATTATTTCTGAAGGCTCTGTTCTGTTCCATTGATCTATATCTCTGTTTTGGTACCAGTACCATGCTGTTTTGGTTACTGTAGGCTTGTAGTATGGTTTGAAGTCAGGTGGCGTGATGCCTCCAGCTTTGTTCTTTTGGCTTAGGATTGACTTGGCGATGCGGGCTCTTTTTTGGTTCCATATGAACTTTAAAGTAGTTTTTTCCAATTCTGTGAAGAAAATCATTGTTAGCTTGATGGGGATGGCATTGAATCTATAAATTACCTTGGGCAGTATGGCCATTTTCACGATATTGATTCTTCCTACCCATGAGCATGGAATGTTCTTCCATTTGTTTGTATCCTCTTTTACTTCATTGAGCGGTGGTTTGTAGTTTTACTTGAAGAGGTCCTTCACATCCCTTGTAAGTTGGATTCCTAGGTATTGTATTCTCTTTGAAGCAGTTGTGAATGGGAGTTCACTCATGATTTGGCTCTCTGTTTGTCTGTTATTGGTGTATAAGAATGCTTGTGATTTTTGCACATTGATTTTGTATCCTGAGACTTTGCTGAAGTTGCTTATCAGCTTAAGGAGATTTTGGGCTGAGACAGTGGGGTTTTCTAGATATACAATCATGTCGTCTGCAAACAGGGACAATTTGACTTCCTCTTTTCGTATTTGAATACCCTTTATTTCCTTCTCCTGCCTAATTTCCCTGGCCAGAACTTCCCACACTATGTTGAATAGGAGTGGTGAGAGAGGGCATCCCTGTCTTGTGCCAGTTTTCAAAGGGAATGCTTCCAGTTTTTGCCCATTCAGTATGATATTGGCTGTGGGTTTGTCATAGATAGGTCTTATTATTTTGAGATACATCCCATCAATACCTAATTGATTGAGAGTTTTTAGCATGAAGCGTTGTTGAATTTTGTCAAAGGCCTTTTCTGCATCTATTGAGATAATCATGTGGTTTTTGTCTTTGGTTCTGTTTATATGCTGGATTACATTTATTAATTTGCGTATATTGAACCAGCCTTGCATCCCAGAGATGAAGCCCACTTGATCATGGTGGATAAGCTTTTTGATGTGCTGTTGGATTTGGTTTGCCAGTATTTTATTGAGGATTTTTGCATCAATGTTCATCAAGGCTATTGGTCTAAAATTCTCTTTTTTGGTTGTGTCTCTGCCAGGCTTTGGTATCAGGATGATGCTGGCCTCATAAAATGAGTTAGGGAGGATTCCCTCTTTTTCTATTGATTGGAATAGTTTCAGAAGCAATGGTACCAGTTCCTCCTTGTACCTCTGGTAGAATTTGGCTGTGAATCCATCTGGTCCTGGACCCTTTTTGGTTGGTAAGCTATTGATTATTGCCACAATTTCAGAGCCTGTTATTGGTCTATTCAGGGATTCAACTTCTTCCTGGTTTAGTCTTGGGAGGGTGTATGTGTCAAGGAATTTATCCATTTCTTCTAGATTTTCTAGTTTATTTGCATAGAGGTGTTTGTAGTATCCTGTGATGGTAGTTTGTATTTCTGTGGGATTGGTGGTGATATCCGCTTTATCATTTTTTATTGGTCTATTTGATTCTTCTCTGTTTTCTTCTTTATTAGTCTTGCTAGTGGTCTATCAATTTTGTTGATCCTTTCACAAAACCAGCTCCTGGATTCATTAATTGTTTGAAGGGTTTTTTGTGTCTCTATTTCCTTCAGTTCTGCTCTGATTTTAGTTATTTCTTGCCTTCTGCTAGCTTTTGAATGTGTTTGCTCTTGCTTTTCTAGTTCTTTTAATTGTGATGTTAGGGTGTCAGTTTTGGATCTTTCCTGCTTTCTCTTGTGGGCATTTAGTGCTATAAATTTCCCTCTACACACTGCTTTGAATGTGTCCCAGAGATTCTGGTATGTTGTGTCTTTGTTCTCATTGGTTTCAAAGAACATCTTTATTTCTGCCTTCATTTCGTTATGTACCCAGTAGTCATTCAGGAGCAGGTTGTTCAGTTTCCATGTAGTTGAGCGGTTTTGAGTGAGTTTCTTAATCCTGAGTTCTAGTTTGATTGCACTGTGGTCTGAGAGACAGTTTGTTATAATCTCTGTTCTTTTACATTTGCTGAGGAGAGCTTTACTTCCAAGTATGTGGTCAATTTTGGAATAGGTGTGGTGTGGTGCTGAAAAAAATGTATATTCTGTTGATTTGGGGTGGAGAGTTCTGTAGATGTCTATTAGGTCCACTTGGTGCAGAGCTGAGTTCAATTCCTGGGTATCTTGTTAACTTTCTGTCTCGTTGATCTGTCTAATGTTGACAGTGGGGTGTTAAAGTCTCCCATTATTATTGTGTGGGAGTCTAAGTCTCTTTGTAGGTCACTCAGGACTTGCTTTATGAATCTGGGTGCTCCTGTATTGGGTGCATATATATTTAGGATAGTTAGCTCTTCTTGTTGAATTGATCCCTTTACCATTATGTAATGGCCTCCTTTGTCTCTTTTGATCTTTGTTGGTTTAAAGTCTGTTTTATCAGAGACTAGGATTGCAACCCCTGCCTTATTTGTTTTCCATTTGCTTGATAGATCTTCCTCCATCCTTTTATTTTGAGCCTATGTGTGTCTCTGCACGTGAGATGGGTTTCCTGAATACAGCACACTGATTTGTCTTGACTCTTTATCCAATTTGCCAGTCTGTGTCTTTTAATTGGAGCATTTAGTCCATTTACATTTAAAGTTAATATTGTTATGTGTGAATTTGATCCTGTCATTATGATGTTAGCTGGTTATTTTGCTCGTTAGTTGATGCAGTTTCTTCCTAGCCTCAATGGTCTTTACAATTTGGCATGATTTTGCAGTGGCTGGTATCAGTTGTTCCTTTCCATGTTTAGTGCTTCCTTCAGGAGCTCTTTTAGGGCAGGCCTGGTGGTGACAAAATCTCTCAGCATTTGCTTGTCTGTAAAGTATTTTATTTCTCCTTCACTTATGAAGCTTAGTTTGGCTGGATATGAAATTCTGGGTTGAAAATTCTTTTCTTTAAGAATGTTGAATATTGGCCCCCACTCTCTTCTGGCTTGTAGAGTTTCTGCCGAGAGATCCACTGTTAGTCTGATGGGCTTCCCTTTGTGGTTAACCCGACCGTTCTCTCTGGCTGCCCTTAACAGTTTTTCCTTCATTTCAGCTTTGGTGAATCTGACAATTATGTGTCTTGGAGTTGCTCTTCTGGAGGAGTATCTTTGTGGCGTTCTCTGTATTTCCTGAATCTGAATTTTGGCCTGCCTTGCCAGATTGGGGAAGTTCTCCTGGATAATATCCTGCAGAGTGTTTTCCAACTTGGTTCCATCCTCCCCATCACTTTCAGGTATACCAATCAGACGTAGATTTGGTCTTTTCACATAGTCGCATATTTCTTGGAGGCTTTGTTCGTTTCTTTTTATTCTTTTTTCTCTAAACTTCCCTTCTCGCTTCATTTCATTCATTTGATCTTCCATCACTGATACCCTTTCTTCCAGTTGATCGCGTCGGCTCCTGAAGCTTCTGCATTCTTTGCGTAGTTCTGGAGCCTTGGCTTTCGGCTCCATCAGCTCCTTTAAGCACTTCTCTGTATTGGTTATTCTAGTTATACATTCGTCTAAATTTTTTTCAAACTTTTCAACTTCTTTGCCTTTGGTTTGAATTTCCTCCTGTAGCTCGGAGTAGTTTGATCATCTGAAGCCTTCTTCTCTCAACTTGTGAAAGTCATCCTCCTTCCAGCTTTGTTGCATTGCTGGTGAGGAACTGCATTCCTTTGGAGGAGGAGAGGCACTCTGGTTTTTAGAGTTTCCAGTTTTTCTGCTCTGTTTTTTCCCCATCTTTGTGGTTTTATCTACTTTTGGTCTTTGATGATGGTGACGTACAGATGGGTTTTTGGTGTGGATGTCCTTTCTGTTTGTTAGTTTTCCTTCTAACAGACAGGACCTTCAGCTGCAGGTCTGTTGGAGTTTGCTAGAGGTCCACTCCAGACCCTGTTTGCCTGGGTATCAGCAGCGGTGTTTGCAAAACCGCGGATTTTCGTGATCTGCGAATGCTGCTGTCTGATCGTTCCTCTAGAAGTTTTGTCTCAGAGGAGTACCCGGCCGTGTGAGTTGTCAGTCTGCCCCTACTTGGGGGTGCCTCCCAGTTAGGCTGCTCGGGGGTCAGGGGTCAGGGACCCACTTGAGGAGGCAGTCTGCCCGTTCTCAGATCTCCAGCTGCGTGCTGGGAGAACCACTGTTCTCCTCAAAGCTGTCAGACAGGGACATTTTCAATATGTTTTTCTTTATAGGTTACCTGATACTTTTGCCTCACAGCTCTTAAGATTCGTTCCTTCGTCTTGACTTTAGGTAAGCTGAGGACTATGTGCTTAGGCAATGATCTTTTTGCATTGAATTTCCCAGGTGTTCTTTGAGTTTCTTCTATTTGAATATCTAGATCTCTAGCAAGGCTGGGGAGGTTTTCCTTGATTATTTCGTCAAATATATTTTCCAAACTTTTAGACTTCTCTTCTTCCTTGGGAACGCCTATTACTCTTAGAGTTGGACATTTAACAGAGTCCCAAACTTCTTGGAGGATTTTTTCATTTTTTAAAATTTTTTCTTTGTCTTTGACAGATTGGGTTAATTTGAAAGCCTTGTCTTCAAGCTCTGAAGTTCTTTCTTCTGCTCGTTTGATACTGTTGTGAAGACTTCCCAGTGCATTTTGCTTTTCTCTAAGTGTGTCCTTGATTTACAGAAGGTGTGATTGTTTTTTATTTATGCTCTTCAATTTCACTGAAGAATTTTCCTTTTATATCCCGTACCATGTTTTTGATGAATTTAAGTGGGACTTTGCCTTTCTCTGTTGCCTCCTTGATTAGCTTAATAGTCGACTTTCTGAATTCTTTTTCTGGTAATTCAGAGATTTTGTCTTGTTTTGGATTAATTGCTGGTGAGCTGGTATGATCTTTTGGGGGTGTTAACCTTGTTTTGTCATATTACCAGAATTGTTTTTCTGGTTCTTTCTCATTTGAGTAGATGATGTCATAAGGAAGATGTGTGATTCAAGGGCTGCTGTTCAGATTCTTTTGGCCCATGGGGTGCTCCCTTGATGTGGTGCTCTCTCCTTTCCCCTAGGAATGGGCCTTCCTGAGAGCTAAACTGTAGTAAATGTTTTTTCTCTTCTTGGTCTAGCCACCTAGCAGAGCTACCAGGCTCCGGGCTGGTACTGTGTAGTGTCTGCAGAGTCCTGTGATGTATCTCATCTTCAGGTCTTGCAGCCGTGGATACCAGCACCTGCTCTGGTGGAGGTAGCAGGGGAGTGATGTGGACTCTGAGGGTCCTTGGTTGTGTTTTTGTTTAGAGCACTGATTTTGTGTTGGTTAGCCTCCAGTCAGGAGGTGGAGCTTTCAAGAGCGCATCAGCTGCAGTCCTATAGGGAGGATGCACACTTGCCCTAGGGACACCTGGTTAAGCATTCAGGTTTCTCAGGTGGTGAGCAGGGCCATAGAACTCCCAAGAGATTATGGCCTTTGTCTTTGGTTACCAGGGCAGGTAGGGAAAGACCACCAGGTTGGGGCAGGGATAGGCATGTCTGAGCTCAGCATCTCTTTGGGTGGGGCTTGTTGCAGCTGTTGTGGGGGTTGGGAGTATGGTTCCCAGTCCAGTGGAGTTATATTCCCAGGGGGATTATGGCTGCCTCTTTTGAGTCACATAGGTTGCCAGGGAAGTGGGAGAAAGCTGGCAGTCACTGGCTTCGTCCTGCTTCCACACAGCTGGCAGTCCTAAAGGCTGGTCTCACTCCTACCGTGAGTAGGAGGGCTCACTACCAGGGCTGAGAACTTGCCCCAGACCATGAGCCATCGAGAAAAGAAGCAGCAGAATCACAGTTTTTCAGCATCTTAGGGGGCCTGCAGCAGTGATTCAGTTCCTTCTAAGGGCCTGTGGATTCTCTCAGCTTTCCTGGTGTGTTCCTGTGGTAGTTCTTGGAGCAAAAGGTCATGATGTGCATCTCCACACACTGCTCTGTCCCTCTGAGCAGGAGCTGCAAGCTAGTCCTGCCTTCTATCTGCCATCTTAATCCCCAGTTCCCAGCTCTTAACTCAACACTTGGCATATAGTAGGTGCTCAGTTGAAGTTTGTTGACTTGAACTGTCAAAAACTAGTAAAATTTACTGAAATTTAGGGGTCTCAGAGTACTTCTAATTTTTATAAAAATTCCTTTTTTATTTTTCTCTTTTTTGAGTATAATGCATACGTTTGTAAGTGCATCTGTTGGATACATTTTTAGTTGTTTTTAATCTTGTAAAACATGCTGGTGGTTTGTGCCAGTATACGTGAATATTTGTATGTGTTTGTGATTTGTATCTAGGTGCAGTTGTTAAATACATGAGCCATTTCCTATGGCATCAAGTACTTTTGACAAGTGTGAACCAAGTCGGAGTTAGAAATGGTGGTCTCAGACATAGGATTCTAGTGCTGTGACTAAGGTGCAGTTTACCCCTCAGGGATGTTGGAAAACAAATGAGGTTGTTTACCTGAAAAGTAACTCTTGCTTCTCCAGTGAAAAGTCCTATGCTAATTTCTGGTACAGTTAATCCTCTATTCCCCATGTCAATAGAAAAAAAAAAGAGTGCAGATTGTCTAAAGTCGTTGATTCCTGATTTTGAATTGAATTATAATGTATTTTGGATGCTGGCAGGAAACCAGCCTTCTGTGTGGATAAAACAAGGCTATTGTTCATGCGAGTCAGTATTCAATAAATCTGTATTATGAGCTCTTGTCTAAGCCCTATCAGGGGCAGGTGATGTGTAATACATTTGCATTATGAAGGGCCCAGGCAAGTACAATACATCTGAATGTATGGGTGTACTCAAGTTCCATCTGTGTTTTCTATTTAGATCATAGGAAAGTTATGTGGCCTCATTAGGTTTGTAAATGCTTTCACCATGTTACATTTCATTGTTTTACTGAAATGCTTATGTGAAGAGTATCTCCAGATCTTCAGCAGAACTACTGATGAAGTCATCGACCATTAGGATTAGTACAGTGGAATGGTTGGTCTAAGGTCCAAAGTGTGGTGCCAGATCAGCAACATCAGCATCATCTAGGAAACTGTTAGAAATGTAGTCTCAAGCTCCATTCCACAGACCTAATGACTCAAATGGGAGTGGGGTCCAGCAGTCTGTTTTAACAAGCCTTCTGACGCAGCGTCAAGTTTAGGAACCACTGGCTAAGCCGTAAAATCAAGATGTTTTCAGTGTCTTGCATAACATCTCAGAATTCATCATCTGGTAAAAATGTGTGTGTATTTTTTTTTTTTATAAACAGGTATGAAGTCTTTCTCCAGACAACAAGAGTGACATCACTCGTCATGTTTCCATTTCTGCCTTTTCCTTCAGGAAACTTGGAGCTGTGCTTATTGCTTAATCATAGGCATTCCATTTACTCCATTTGCCTGGGCTTTTTATTTCCTCTTCCTTTCCATGAATTTTATTTGCTTGTTTTATTTAACAGCCTTTCTATGAATCTTTTATTATAGGCCTTCTCAAATCCATTTTGCTAGTTAGTGGGTTGGCAGTGTGGGGTGCGATATAATTTGAAACAAATTGACTCACTCACATGATATGATTGACAGTGGAAGTATTTGACAAAGAAATGATAGTAGGGGAAGCTAGCATGGAATTAAGCATATTTTGCAGAATACCATGTATGCCCTTGAATACTTACACATGGTAAGACAATTCAAACAGTATAGAGAAATATAAAATGAAAAGTTTAAAACCTCCCTCACTCCCTTAGTGATGGCTCTTTCCCCAAAGATAATCATTAACACAGTTTAGAAAATAAAGGTTAGACATAGAGCCCACATATATATGTATATGTATTTATGCATTTGCTTTTTAAAAATCACAAAAAGGACCTAGTGTACATTCTTGTTTGCATCTTTTTTTCTCGTAATATAGCATATGGTCTTCTTATTAAAGTCTGTACGATATTCTTTTGTATGATTGTACTTTATAAACCTACCTCCTATTATCAGGTATTTAGATTATGTGCATTCTCGCCTATATTATCTTGACACACTTTTGAAATTTATCAGCTAGGAAAATTCTTGGAAATGGAATTTTGGGATTAAAGAGTATATACATTTAAAAAATGAATAGGTACTGCCTAGTAACTTTCCAGAAAATATAAATTAATTTGCTTTTCAAATGAGACTCTCTTTTCCCATAGGATATTATCAAATGAAAACCTTTTTACCAATTTTATGGGTGTAGAAATCGAATCTAATTGTTTTGATTCACATTTCTTTAACTCTGATAAGGTTGAGCATTTAAAAAAGATTTATTAGCTAATTTTATTTCTTTTTTTTTTTTGTGGACTGGTGTTTAGAGATGACACTTATCTATGTTTTTCATGATCTAATCTTCAAGTTCCCATACCTGGAAATCCTTAGAATCCATCAGAGAAGCTATTTTTGTTAATTTTTTTTAATACAGATTTTCTGATTCTACTCTAGAGTTCTCGAGTCTGTTTCTCAACTCTTAATAGCCTGCTTTTACAGATTCTGTTGCCAATCAGTCAGGTGTAGGCTGTGGTCCAAGAGCAGCATAAACATAGCATCTAAGGGAGCTTTCTCACACCAGCAGTGTCTCTGCTGTCTATATCCAATTGACTAGAAATCAGTTTTCAATATTGCATTGTGAGCAATATTATCGTTGGAAGCCAAAGTACTGTGTCAACTTTTTTTAAGCAAAAAAAGTATATGTAAAAAGTAATATCATATTAGGATCCAAACTGCCTTTTGTGGCAGAAATGAAAATGGAATATAGAGAATAATTTTTTCTAGGAGAATTCCCATTTGTGAATGATGTGCTAGTTCAGTGTTTTCCTTTCATAATCATTAACTCATCATGCTCTCCATACTACCTTTTGAGCCTAGAAGCCCAGAGCTGAATTTTAAGACCAATCATAGCAACTGTATTTTGCTAGGTTTCTGATATTTATATTTTTTTCCGAATTTCTATTGTTTTTGAGAATGTTACACTCATCTCCAAAACTCTCCCAGGGCTTGTGTTTTCCCTTCTTCTTGACTTTATAAAGGATCAACACATCTTTAAGTACCATCTGCAGTTGGCCTTTTCCTCACCCAAGGGAAACTGAGGATATTTGGGAGTCCCGAACTGGGTCCTCCAGACACCCTCTGTTACTCAGTAATTATGGCGCCAACATCCGGCCAGGCAGCTGTTCCTTGCCCAGGAGAGACTAAGATGGGGGAAAGAGGAGGTTGAGTTTGTGAGTTACTGGGTACATTTTCTACCTTCTGATTTACTGCAACATGATACAGAAACATGGATAAATAAACCAGCCCAAATTTTCTCATGTGTAAAGAAAAGTGAAATGACGAGATAGAGAGAGAGAGAGATTAGAAAAAAGAAGAATTTCATCTTTCTACTATGTTACAGACTTACCACACTACAGTTTATCTGGCCCGAAATTCTTTTAGTTGTTCATCTCCCACTTATTTTATTCTCCTTTCCACCTCATTTCTGTGAGATTTGCACTTTCCACTTATTCTTGAAATCAGTTAACAGTTAATCTATTCCCTGGCATTAGCACTTCCCCTGGGGACTTACCTATTGATTGGCCTTTTAATCTAGTTGTTAAAATTCTCCCAATACTCACTGACATGGAGCAGTTTCAATTTGTGTGTTTTAAAGTGTTGGCCAGGGTCATTAGAAAAGTGAAGTTCACATATCTACTTTGTGGCACAAGGACAGTACCTGGCAATTGATTTGCTATGTGACTGTGGGTTTTGGGGAAGAAGAAGGGAAGAGGTATAGAGAACAATTACCAAGTCTACTCTAATTCTGGGGTCCATCCGCATTCTGCACCATACAGCGTGATCAATAAGAACATATCTTATAACCTTTACAGGTTATTGAAAATGTGCATAAGTTAGGGATACTGGCCAAAGGGTGGCCACTTGCATCTTTAAAATGTGTAGGTGGTTCTTTAGCAATCTCAGAATCTATGGCCACTTTTCCCTAGAACTAGTTGGTGTTGTGTTTGTATATTTTTACAAATTTATGTAATTAGAAATAGGACTTGATAAGCAATAGAACTTTGATAGATGTTCAGTTAAAGAACTTGTACCTTTTTTCTTCCCTCAGATTAATTTGTGTTTTATGCCACTATTCAGAAAAAGAAATTTCAGAGTATTAGAATAAGATATAATTTTAAAGTGATTTTATTAAAGCATTTGTTAAAACATTTACTAAATGGTCCCTAATGTATTTTTAATACTCACTGTTAATATTTCTTAAATTCTCACATTCTACAGTTTTGTAATGACAAACTTTCTCATCCATTAAAATCTTTCTTTGGAAATAGCTTATGGTTTAAAGGTGTTTCTAAAAAAATAGTATTTTTAAATTTGCGTTATATTTTTGTTTGAAAGATGGTACTATTCTTTGAAAAATCAAAACATTGGCCTTTAGTAGAGAATATATATATTAAAATCGCCTCAAATAATATAAAATTATACTTTTAACATTTCTGTCTTTCCTATTAAATTATGATTTTCTGGAGGATAAGGATCAACTCTTATACAAATCTGAACCTTCATAACTAGCACAGGGCTTGGCCCGTATTGAATTCTCAGAAAATACTTCTTGAATAAGACAATAAATTAATTGCCTCTTTGGTGAAGTTAATATATTCTGTAGTACCCTGGGGTTATGAAATACCCCATGAACTGAAAGGACAAAATCCAAAATATAATGACTTAGTTTCTTAAAATGGTGACAGTTTAGCTTCTTAAGAGGCATTCTGTGGAGGTCATGTTGAGGCTGTTGGAGCATTTAGAATGGTGGACACCAGCTGGCAGGCAGGAACCAAAACAGTCATGGGGTGCGTTTGTCCTCCTGTTACGTTTTGTTCATTTTGAACCAGTTTACAACATTAAAAATGCAGTGATCTTACAATAAAAGTACAGACTTCTGAGGTTTCTTAAAAACTCAGCAGAGCTAACCTCACTAGCCCTTGTGGCAACATTCAGCCAGAGCTGGTAGTGGGTGTTCCTTATAGATGGACACACACTCTAGATTTTATCACTGTCCAATGGGAAAGAGACATTCTGTGGGATGCATGCTGTGTAGTATAAATATATGGAACCCTACAACTTGGTGTAGGATGTGGAGGAATCTGTGCTCCACAGTCAGGCAGATCCTTTTGAACTGGCCATGCAAAAACAAATAGGGAAAGCAGGGCCAGAATCAACTCTCGTCCTTAGACTGGCTGCCAAACCTCAGTTCCTGGAGAGAGAGCAGAGGGAGTAGTATAGATCCCCCTCTGCCTGGCTGAAAAAGGAGGATGGCTCTTTAGTGTGGAGTCTGTGAAGCACATGGCAGAAGGCAGGGGGCTTGCTAGGGGCAAAGAAGGGGGCTAAGCCTAGAGATGGTACAGGCACATTAGAAAGGACTGAAGCAGATGCTGAGAGCAACTGACCGGGAGAAATATCTCTAAGGGAAATGGTGCTGGAGCTGGGGAAGGCTTGGAGAGCTATCAGACTGCAATGCAGGTCTCACCCTTAACGAAGGAGAGAGAGAAGGGAGGAAGGAAGGAAGGAAAGAAAGAAGGAAGGGCTGGGTAGGCCTTACACTAAACTGTAATTCTTTTTTTCTTGGAGACAGGGTTTCACATCGTCCCCCAGGCTGGGGTGCAGTGGCATGATCACGGCTCACTGCAGCGTCAACCTCCTGGGCTCAAGTGATCCTCCCACCCCAGCCTCCTGAGAAGCTGGGACTACAGGCGCACACCACTGTGCCAGGCTAATTTTTGTAATTTTTTTTTGTATTTTTTGTAGAGATGGGGTTTCTCTTCATGTTGCCCAGGCTGGTCTTGAACTCCTGGGCTCAAGCCATCTGCCCACCTTGGTCTCTCAAAGTGCTAGGATTATAGGCAGGAGTCACCATGCCCAGCCTAACCTGTAATTCTAAGAAAGTTTGACAAAGCTAACAATCCCGAGTCAAAGTTGCCACAGTTGTGCCTTACAGACCTCTTTTTCTACTCAAGTTTGAAGAGCAGTGCCTCCGTGACTTCCATGGGCTGCTTTTCCTGAGAGAGAACTCAGAAGAGGAAGGTTAGCATGACAAACTATATGCCTTCCTCACCACAGTTAATTTGGGGTCTGCAGTGGGTACTCATCTTCTCCTTCCTGAGCTGCCCACTCTGAGTTCTCCATATCCCTAATTATCACCTTGGTGGGTCTTGCTGGCTTACTTAATGATGTGACCCAAATCCTCTTTCCTGGGGGAATGAAACCTTTGTAGTCATGCCCTTCAGAGGCTGGGATTGCTGCATGTGTCTGTTCAGTTATAGTGGGGTAAGGGAGTATCAGGAGGCACCCACATGGGTTGCCTCGGTTTCATATGTATTCCTCTCTGCCTTACCTGGGTAAAAACAGCCCTGCCTCTTCCTGCCAATTAGGGTCAGTTATCTCTGCCATTTGGTCCCTGGACACAAAGAATCCAGGGTGCCCTCGTGGCAGCTATAACTGTAGTTCAGTGGGACCCTTGCTAAGTTCTTTGGCAAGAGGGTAAGGAGCCCAGGACCTCCCTTACAACGCCCAGAGTTTTGTGAAGGAGAAGCATAGAATCCCCTGGTGAGTTATCAGGAGTGCTAATAAGCGGGGCTACTCCTGTTCTTGGTTTTGGGGCCCATGCCATCTTCCTATTGGAGACAGCACCCCGTGGAGGACTCTGATGCAGTGCGTATGCTGCATCCTGAAGGACAGCACCACATCCTTTCAGAAGATCGCCTCCTAGCTGGTGCTTCACCTGCACATTTAGAAGGCAGTTCTAGTGTTCTGTGAGGCCTGCTGCTTATGAGTGGTGCGATATGTGATACAACACTGGATTCCATGGTCTTGGGCCCAATCTTGCATCTCTTTTCTGTGACAGCATGGGAAGATGTTATGCTGTACAGGATCTCGTGCCTATGGACCAGCCAGTCCACAAGCCCCCAGGTAGCAATGCTGGCTGGGGCTCTGCTGGGTGTGAGTGCCTTTATGACTGGGCATGCCCAATAGAACCCAGCTCATGATGGGTAGTTCCAGATTCAGGATCACTCATTATCACATGGGCAACACTCCATTGTTAGCAGGAATCAGTAACATGCCAAGGGCAATTTCTTAAAAGGGCTTTACTCTTCTACTGCAGATGACATGGACTTGCTCCAGAATCCCAAGGCCTATTTTATGATTCTCCCACTGGGGCTCGCCATAAGCTCTATACTGCCTTGTATATACTGATAAAGCATTTAGACTTTATCCTGTGAGCAGTGGGGAACCATTGACAGTTTCTAACTGTGGACCTATATTATTAGATCTTTTAGAAAACTGTAATACAGAATGTTTGGAAAGAAAAGAAACAGTCAGACCAGCAAAAATTAAGCGTCTGAACTAAAATTTAGGCCATAGGCATGATGAAGAAAGGGGAAGTGATTTGAAGAGTATCTAGAAAGTAGGATCAGTAAAATGGGGAGACTGCATGTTGGGAGGGAAAAACTGTCTAGAACAATTCTGGGGTTTGGGGGTCTGCAAAGTAACCAGAAAGGATTTCATGTGTTAAATTTTTGATGCTGCATTTTAGAGTAAAGAGTTCCCAAGGACTATACCACTAAAAGAAACTTGACCTGTGTTGAGCTATATTTAATCAGCTGGATTTTTAAGTGAATCCCAATATTAATTCATATTGAATTAATTTTTTTCTTCCAAAAAATACTGAGCTGGGATAAACTAGAAATATAATGAACCAGAATATCAATATTGTTTTCATCTGTTTTGTTTTCTTTGTAACACCAGAACCTAGAGTAGTACCTAATACATATTAGACACAGTAAATATTTATTAAATGAATGAATTTTCCCAACTAAATCAATAATCTGAAATTTGTGATTCATTTTTGCCATGAGCATTGAGTTACTACTGGGAGATGTTGAACTTGCAGTGTAATAAATATTGGAGGAGAAATGCTTTGTTCACTCGTCTTGTGGTAAGCAGGACTGATTGTATTAAATTACAGACAATTCGGATGTTTTCTGATTTTGCATGGGCTCGATCTCTATGGCCTCATCAAATCTTCACAGCAGGAAGGCATCAAGAGAGATCCTCTTTTTTCTCCTGTTGATTATAAGCCAAAGGGAACAAAGATTTCCAGGCAATATGGAAATTCCTTTGTGACACAATTGTAGGGGAAGGGAAACCCCCACATTCTTACTGGTCCAACCAGTGCAAGCTGCGATTCGATCATTTCCTTTTTTTCCCTCATGTCTAGGAGTTTATTCTAAGAAAATAATGGGGCATAGACCATATAATGTAGTAGCAAGGATGTTGCTCACGCATTATCTAGAACATAAAAATTTGGAACTCCCTGAAATGAGTAATAATAAGAAGTTGAAATGGGGGACATGGCCCTTTAAAATAACCTACATTTTGATCTGTATTGATAAGATTTTATAGTTAAAGCAAACTGGGTTAAAGAGAAACCAACTTCTAACATATGGAAACACTTCTTTCCTCTAATTCTCTCGAGACCTTGCGCTATTTCTCAGATACCTGTCCACAATTTTCCCATTGACTTTAATAGCTTGAGGAGAAGCTAGCAGATTCAGAGAAGGCCTAGAGCATTTGGCCAGTTGGCAAAGTGCGAGTACCCCAGAGCCCCAGGTTTCAATGTTTGCTTCCTTCTCTTCACCCTTCTTCAGCACCCAGCTTTCACATGCTTGCTTTATACTTCTTAAAACCTAAATGACCACTTTCCCCTACAGTGACACATTCTTAGCATGTCCAGGATACATTGAGCAAGCCAGCCTCTCTCAAAGGCAGTTCTTTTGTTCACCTTATCTTCTAACTGGCTGAAGACTTTTAAAACCTGGCATATGAAACCAGGCTGCTTCAATTCAAATTTTGAGTCTGCCACTTTCTATAATACAATTATAGGTGACAATTGATCTTCCTTAGCTTACTCATCTGTAAAAACTGGGATTAAGATAATAACCTACCTCAGAGGGTAATTGACGGAGTCAAATGTAAAGCATGGAATGATTCTTTTCAAATAATATATCATTTTCAGCCATCAACTACAAAAGAAAGGTGAGGGTGGAGTGTTTCTTTGTAGTACTTCTGCAGGTATGATGCCTGGTCTATTTCATTTCCTTTTGATCCCCTTTTACTGGGCTCTAATGATCAGGCCCAGAATATCTCCCATAGAAGCAGCTGTGTTATATTTTCTTATTTAATTAACGTTGATGTGTTGGTATTTCACTGGGTAATACTCATTCTTCTTCACCCTACTCCTAATTGGTTCTGAGGTCACAGCTTTAAGTGATTGGATTTTATTCATTTATCATTAATTAAGAACTCTACTGTCCAGTACTGTAGCCACTGGCCACATGTGACTATTTAACTTAAATTTCAATTAAATACAATTAAATTCAGTGCCTCAGTCACACATTTCAGTTGTGGCTAGTGGCTCCCAAATCGGACAGCATTGACATAGAACATTTCCGTCATTACAGAAAGTCTTATTGGACAGCTGACTTAGACCCTTCCTTTTGCTACCCTTGTTATAGAGAATCACTGTAGCATTTATCCTCACTACCTGCGTGCTCTCATGCACAGACAAGCTGGCAGAAAGCTTCAGATCCCTATAAGCATAAAAACAGGAATTAGAACAACCAGTTATCTCATATCAAATGCTGATCCTTCAAAGACTTTTGATCAAATTCCTTTGCCTCTTGTAGGATAATTCTCTACAATATGTGCTCAGGGTGTGTGTGTGTGTGTGTGTGTCTGTGTTTCTTTCTGCTCATAAGGAAAAAGACCTTGCAGGATACAGTGTAACTACAGAAATTGTATGGTTTTGATATTGGAACTATGTTATTCTACGTTACAGAGTGAAATCAGAATGAATGTATCATTAGCTTTCCTGTTGATTCCTGACTACATTACTTGTATTTATTCCCTTTTGCCTGAATCCCAGGCCTGCCTGCTTTTCCGCTATGAATAACATCAGAATAAGTGACTAGAAAGAGAGGCCAGAAAGTATGCCACCTTTAGAGAGGGGTCATGTAATCAAGGCTTAGTTCTCACAAGCATAGTTACTCACAGTCCAGATGTCAGGGCGGGGGTCCCAGTGAGCTGAAGGCATCTCAGTGTGCCACTGCAAACGAGGACATTGAACTGCAGGGAAGTTTTATTGCTCAAGTTCACCCTGCTCTTTGTAGCAGAGCAGGAGTCAAAGTTCAAGTTTGCAGTCTGCAAAAGCTGTTCTTTTCTGGTTGCTCCATGCTGCCTCTGAAAATGTTGGTGTCTGTGTGTGTTTCATTTCTCAAAATGTGACCGTCCCGCTGGCTACCTTTAGAGTAATAGGTGTGAGTGTATGTTCGTCCCTGGAGAGGCCTCAAGACATTTTCTCTTTTGTTGTCATAAAAATCGAGTGTGCTTGGCTGGAAAGGTAGAGTGTACTTCACCTGGAGTATTTCAAGGGTAACACCAGACAACCACTTCCATCAAGAGGGTGAAAAACACTTTAGGGAAGTTACTGCCAAAGAAGTGAAGAGAATCCCATCAGGTTTAGGGCTGAGCATTGTAGAAACCAGGAAAGATGCCATGGTAGTTTCATAGGTCAGGGCCTGCCTACTTCCTTTCCCCAAAGACTCGGAAGACCCACAGGCAGGATAGAGAGAGGAGACCTGGTGGAATACATCGTACTGTGATTATGCGGGACTGCTAAGAGCCCCTTAACTGAGCCGTGTGGAGAACTTCTCAGTGCTGTTTGCTGCAGCCTGTGGAATAACAGAATACATTTCGGGCTGTTTCTTCCCGCTGGCAACTTTGCAGAAGCATTATAAGGTTTCCCAAACTGTGTTGCAAGTTAGAATCACCTGGAGGATTCTTAAAATCCCAGTGTCAAGGTCGCATCCCATAGCAGTGAAATGGTAATGGGTGAGAGCCATCATGAGGAGTTTTTCAGGATCCCCAGGGGATTCCAATGTGTAGCAAATTTGGAAACCTTGGCCCTTTTTGATACCCTCTTTCTTTAATCCCAGCACTTTTCTTTAATCCCACCACTTTCTTTAATCCCAGCACTTTGGGAGGCCAAGGCGGGCAGATCACTTGAAGTCAGGAGTTTGAGACCAGCCTGGCCAACAACCCTGTCTCTATTAAAAATACAAAACATTAGCCCGGCCTGGTGGCGCATGCCTGTAATCCCAGCTATTTGGGAGGCTGAGGCAAGAGAATTGCTTGAACTTGGGAGACAGAAGTTGCAGTGAGCTGAGATCATACCACTGCACTCCAGCCTGGGTGACAGAGCAAGACTCCATCTCAAAAAAAAAAAAAAAAAAAAAAGTGTGTTTTTATTTCTTGATGTCCCAGTTTCTGTATCTGTAAAATGGAGTAATAATAATTACCCCTACTACACTGAGTGTTGTGGGGATTACAGAAAGCACCTATGGAAGCACCTTGCACCTACTAGGTTGAGCCATATGAAGTTGCTGTTTTTGTAGGTCGAAAATGATGGGATAGTGGCAATCTAATACTATTCAGTCCTATAGTAAGTGCTCAATAAACGTTAATTGTTGCTGTTATTTTCCATGTAACCAATGTATTTTATTTGAATATAATATTTATATTTGGCAATTTTTATTTAGTTTTAAAGCCATATATGGACTTTAAAGCTTAATATCAGTTTTCTGTCTGTATTCATAAGTAGTATCATAATTAACATTCATTAGTTAACGGAATGGGTGAGGTTCTGTCTGTGAAACCGTTTTCTCCTTTTATAGGAGAAAACACTTTTCAAATTTGAGAAGGTCTGCCCCAGACCTTCCCTAACTAATTTGCTTCACTTCTGCCTGTGTTTTTATCCTCACCACAAGATGCTGATCTTAGCTTGGGATCAGCTAGAAAGTCTGACAGGTGGTGACCCAGGCTTTTGACTTCTTATAATAGAGCTTGGCATGCTATGGCGCCTCTTGGAAGACCTTTCAAAGGTCTTTCTGAATGGAAAGCAAACGTTCCTGGGCAGTGTCTTGACCCAGATGAGTAACCAGGTGCCTTCTTCACCTACTGTGAGCTGATTTTAAGGACTATGTTAGCTAGCAAGCATGTGCTAGCATTGTTCAAAGTGTACTATCTCCTTTAAACCTCCTAAGAGCCCTTTAAACTAGAGGTTTTAATTTCCCTATTTTGCAATTGAGGAAACTAAGGCACAGAGAGGTTAAGCAACCTTCCCAGGAGCAGTCAGCGTGCTAGGCTGAGCTGGCCCACTCCAGAGCCTGTGCTCCTGGACTGTACCACACTGCTTTCGATGCATTACATATTCTCCTTCACAGTAAGCCTAGCAAGTGGGTAATGGGGCCTGGGGTCTCTCTGCTCTGGAGCCCAGCACTTCATGTCCTTGCTGTAGTGGTTCCTGGTCAGCCTGCTTGTGGCTGTTGGGTGTGGCTGCCACACCCATTTGAAATATGTGTACATTGTGAAATGATTAAATCAGGCTAATTAACTTATCAATCACTTCACATACTTAAGATTTTTTAGTGATGAGAGCATTTAAGAACTATTCTCTTAGCAAGTTTCAAGTATATGATACACTGTTATTAACTCTAGTCACCATGCTGTACAACAGATCCCCAGAACTTATTCCTCTTATCTCACTGACATTTTATACCCTTTGACCAACGTCTCCCATCTATCTGTCTTCCCCCATCATCTCCTGACAAGCATCATTCTACTCTTCCTCTGTGAGTTCAACTTTTTTAGGTCCTACATATAGTGAGATCATAGAATACAATGTTTGTCTTTCTGTGCCTGGCTTATTTCACTTAGCATAATGTCCTCTAGGTTCATCCATGTTGCTGCAATTGAATTTTAACAGCTTTTTCTCTAAGCCCTTTTATTTCCAGTGCCCAATAATCAAATAAGTATACCCCTTGTATACTTATTTGATTATTGGAATGAACATAGAGGTTTATCTGATCTTTATAAAATGTAATGGATCCTGAGCTGGGTTGGCAGTTGGAGGCAACACCAAGACAGATAACCATCTGCCCCCACAGGGCAAGGAGGTACAGGGTGACCTCATATGTACCTGGAGGATCAGCTGGACTGCCCTGCCCACCTCCCAGCCTCTGCCTTCCTCTTTCATCAGCACTGTGGGGGCAGCTGTATCTCAGGTGGGATGTGGAGGTCAAGGAATTAGATTGGCCTGAAGCATTCAATAAAGGAAGGTTCTCTTAAAGTAAGCTTCTGGGTTATTTGAATTTTAAAAGAAAACATTTGTGAACCTTAAATACATTTCCAGTTCGTGATGGTATCAGGCTGCATGATGAAGGGGGGAAATTTTGATAGGTGGGATGCAGATTTGGGGTAGATTTTAACCACCCTGTACATTGCAAAATGAGACGATTGCCTACTTTCTCTGTTGAAATTAAGCAAGGTTTAGAGTTGCTATGTTTCTGCTGACTGTGACATGGCACACTGGGCTGAAAAGTGTCCTAGCCAGGGTGGCAGGAAAACGAGGCTGCCCTTGAAGCTCTAATTGTTTACCAGCTTTTTTCTGCGGATAGATACCTGAAATACTCTATGCCTCAATTCCTTCATGTATAAAATAACACACTTTGAATAGGACATTGGTTCCCCAAACTACTCCTCAGAAAACTAGACTAGTTAATAGACGTTCATTAAAAAATAAGCTCTCTGCCGGGGCGGGGGGTGGGGGGTGTCACTGTTCAAATAAGTGTGGGGAAAATGCTGACTTAAGCAAAACCAAAGAGATTTCTTCACTGCAGCACATTTCAGAGCCTTTAATATGCTTATGTGTATTCTGACTCTTAATGCACAGTATTTCCCATGGATGCCTCTGAGTAAGCTTGATTTGGGAGATGTGGGACAGAACCCTTTGCTGGTCCAATCCAGCCCTGATAAAAGTATTACTCAAAGACTTGAAGATTTCCCCGAAAGATGCCATCGTCTCAAGATGGCTTTATCTTCTCACCCTCCTCACCAGAAACACCCCAAATTCTTTTCTTCTTCCAAGTTCCTGTAGCATGCGTACACATGTCAATATGCACACAACACACACACACATCCCTCTGTTATAAAAGCAGTTATTATGATTACTTCTATATCAAATCAACAAATCGCTATCAGAGACCTCCTGTGTCATAGGGGTTGGGGACCTAAGGATAAATCAGATGATGTCCATAAAATTTACGCCCTTAAGGAGCTCAAAATTTAGTAAAAAGTATGTCATCTTAACAGTTCTACTACATGTTGGCAATCATAATAACTAATGAAAGCTATATGTGGTATATTAATTCGTATCTTGTCCCTACGGCATAGAAGCTATCGGTCTCATTTTAGAGATGAGGAAAGAAAAAGTAACCTGTCCAAGGTCATAGACCTAATAAGTGGCAAAGCTGGGACTTGAGCCCAAATCTGTCAAAATACAAAGCCCATTCATTGTCCTTACGAAATAAGGCCTGTAGCCACCTTAGATAGGTAGAGGCCAAAACAGGAGCAGAGAAGGTGGTTTCTAATTGATCTGGTGTGAGGAGAGGGGATGGGAGGCTTTCTAAAGGAAGTGAACTGAGACTTCAGTAGTGAATTGAAGGAAACCAAGGATGACAGCAGGAGCCAAGGCACTGAATGAGAAGCAGCGTGGTGCACTAGACACCTATTCATAGTGGCGCTGTCAATTGAGCTGGAATGTCAAGGGGCAAGTGGTAGGCAGGCACCAGATCATGGGAAGGCTTGTAGACTTCCCCTTCTACCCAGAACCGATGCTTCTCATTGCTGCTGGAGCTCCCACTTTACTTCCTCCCCAAAGGTTCGTCTTAGGGTTGTTTTGAAGACAGAATTGGGCCCTAGTTGCCAGTCTGGTTGGAGACTGGAAAGCTTCAATGGGATCACCTTGGATCAGGGAGTCCAGGGCATTCCACAGCTCGCACCTGCCCCTCAGGTTGTGTGTCATCCCTGTCTCTCTCCATTTTTTCCTTCCTTTTTTCTTCCAGATAAGCTGCCCTAGTTGGAAGGAAGGATTATGGATGTCTTATTGGTTTTCATGGATAATGCCTGTGTAGGGTTGATGCAGTCATGTCACCTGGATCCTCTTCCTGCGTCTCACATGTGTGTGGCCTTGGTTCTAAGGATGGCACATCAACATCACACCATGCTCACTATTCACTAAGTGACTGAAGCCAGCATTTCTTCACATGCTCTTAGCAGTCTTTATGGGGACTTTTATTTTAAGAATAACATTAATGATTTTACTAAGAGAGCTCAAGAATTTGAGTATTATGCTAGAACTATTAACAATAATGTATATAACAGATACTGTTATCTATGCCTGCCTTGTAGAGCATGATGAGTGGGTGAATGAGTGAACATGTAAAATAGAAAACAAGGAGGACAATTTTCTTATCCATAGGAGGCTACTCAGTACTTTTTTCTCTAAGAAAGAAATTAATTTAGATGCAAAAACAAAAATGTTCTATTATCAAGGACAACGCTCTTTTATTAATAACCCCTGTATCCTTTTCTACCTGAGTGAATGCTATGTAAAATCTTATTATATTCTGCTTTGCTACAATAATACACTTCTTCAATTATCATTATTTATAGAGACTTATAAATGAAGATGGTGCATTAAAAGGAAGAATTCCTGCCTCAGTGATACAGAGTTGGGAGCTTATTTGATACATTTTTTTGCCTTCAAATGCAGGATGAGGAAATCCTTCTTTCCTCTAACTAAGTGTGCTAATTAGTTAAATGTGTTTGAAAAGTCAAATTATAGTTTAGGTTGATTTAGCCAATCTTATACCCTTTCACAAAAATAAAACTGCGATGGTCTTTGAGCTGTCAGGATACATACTGTGTGTAGCTGAAGGTATTAATCACAGATTTGGAGGATATGTACACACATAGATTTGTTTTTAAAACATTCATTATCAAGTGAGAAATATTGGTTAAGATTTAGAAGTTGGCTGCTAATGAACCCAGTGGTTTGCAAATAGGGTTAGCCATAGGGTTTTTACCTAAGTCATTGTTTTGTTGTTGGCTGTTTGAATTTTTTTTCTTTTTCCTACAAGAAAAGAGAGCACAGGCTGGCTCTTCTCTGCTGTGAGAAATTCTGGAAGAACTCTCCACACCTACCAGATTAGTAATTACAGCTCTTTCTTGAACTTAAATTATTTCAAAGGCCAAATGGAAACAACTCTCACGGTTTTTGGACAAATATTTGGTCAGGATTCTTGGAACCATGGGAAAAACCCTACTCCATGCCAGGTAGGACACAAGATTCAGTATGAGTTGGTTCTTCCCAGTCTTGAGTGGGAATCAAGATGAGGCTAAGTGCTTGTTAATGGTTGAAGGTGAGCCATATTCTTCACGTTCTCTAACCCTTTCTTGACAGCTAGCTACAAGGGCAGATGGTTTAGGCTTTGTGGTAAGGAGGAGAATTTGTGTAGAAAGAAAGGGCATGATTTGTAAATTATGGTGGGAGGGAGAATTCTGGCTTCCTCCTGTCCCCAGAATCCATGGGACTTGGAAGAGTGAGTACTCTGTACTGGAAATAGCTCAAAAGGAAGTAGCAGTTTTTTGCTGTGAGCTGGGCTTCTCTCAACACAAAGCAATGGAAGAAACATTTCATGAAGAGGTTAAAGATTTCAGAGTGGTTTGTTTACATTTGGCTTTCAGACAATGTGGTGAGGGGTGTCAGGAAGGGCAGAAAACCCTTAATAATGTGGGTAAGCAGGGCAGTGCCAAAGACATTGGGTGGGGTGGGAGAATGAACTGATCTCAAAGCCTCAAACAGAATCTTCATGCCAGCCCTCTAAAATGATGACAGAGTGGCCCAAAACACCTTCCAGTGGGCACTGCCAATAAAACTCAGTTCAAATAGTGCAGAATATCTCCACGGGTGCATAGCAGGCAGCATCTGCTTTATAACTGATTACTAGTACTTCTTGTTTCTGAAGATTTGGAAACATGAATAAAAGAAAGGTAAATGCATCACTCCAAATACAGAAATGACTACCTCTATATAGTGCCAAGGTAACTCTTTTTTTGATTAAAGGATATAAAGCATATGCCTCATAATCTAATGTTAGATTTGGAACCAGGTTATTTTGAATGTAAGAACAGACCTGGCTGCAATTTAGTTCACTTAGAACTACTATATTGTTTCTGAGTACATTTTACACTTCCGCATTTTTGGAATATCTCTAGGGTAAAAATTCCTGGAAAAAATAAAATGAAAAATGGCATTCTGAAACATAAGAAGAGTTTAATGAAAGACACTAAAGGCAAAAATTTCTTCAGACCACCACCCCCTCCCAATAAATAAAAAATGACAAGCTGTAACTGAAATGTACCTAGTGTTCCATTCCTGCCTGGGAGTTCCTTGACTCCTTTCCCTTCTGGCTGTTTGCACTTGAAAATGCCTTCTTGTCAGTTCTCAAGAACCTTCAGATTGATGGAGAAAGCAAACAAGCACACAGCCAACAAGCTGAATAGCTCCTAGAGTAAATACATCCTTTAGAATTGTGAATACAGTCATGCATATGCATAATGACCGCATAATGACATTTTGGTCAACAGTGGACTGCGTGTCCAACAGTAATCCCATACGATTATAATGGCTATACTCAATAGCCTAGGTGTATAGTAGGCTATACCATCTGGGCTTGTATAAGTACACTCTATGATGTTCACACAACACCAAAATCACCTAACAATGCATTTCTCAGAGCGTATCCTCGTTGTTAAATGATGTATGATTGTATATTACTAGACATACACAACAAGACATCATTTGCCCTTCAGGAATTGAAGTATTTTGATGCAATTGAACTTTAAATCAAATTGGGGCAAGACAGCTTTTCCCTATAACTCTAGCCTTGCCAAGGGGCTCCAGAAAGAGAAATGAACTTTTTTAAAAAACATTGATTTTTATGCAAATAGATTCGCAGTTAAGATTGGGTATGCATGAATAACTTTCTCCCTCTAGGTGTAGAATAAAGTATCAGTGTCTATGAAGTCCAAGAGAGATCATCTCTGGCTAGTTCTCTATTATTGACATTTTTAAAACCACCTTTAACCTTTAGCTGATAAGGCTTAAAGAAATATTAATGTAAAAAGCATATTTATTTACAAAACAAAATTTAAGCTAGTGGCTGGATCCTTTTGGAGGACTCTTTTGGAGCCAGAGTTCCTGGCTGCAAGGGACAGAATGCCAGCTCAAACTAGCTTGGGCAAAGGGAGATTTATTGGATGGATATTAAGGCTTCTATAATAATTAAAGGAAGAGTTAAAAACTGGCCAGAAATGCAAGGGTTGAACACAGTTGGGGCTTTTTTGACTCTCTCTCATCACCGTTTCTCTTAGCCAGCAAGTTTCATTCTCTTCTTCCTCCTCCATGATGGGAGGAACATGGCATACACATGTTTCTGCGTGTCACACCTTGGGGGCTCCTGTACCAGAGAAGACTGGTTTATTTTTCCATTCTCACTTGAAAAATATTCAGGAAGACTTCTAATTGGCCAGACTTGGTGAAAATGTCCAACACTGACCCAAATAACAGTAGCCAGTAGGCTTAGCCATGTAAGAATGTGAAACTCTTCAATAGTTACACATGATTGGTGTTAGCAGAAGACCCGTTCCCGTAAGAAGGGGGAAGTATAGAGCAGAATGCATTGCGAATGCCCCCTAGAACTTTGGTTTTATTGTTTCAACCTTGTATTTTGATTTGAAAAGTTGTAATGGAGTGGTATTCAATTTTTAGAGAAGAAAATAGGTAACGTTCCTACTTGTCAATAGGTAACATGTCAGTGAGGAACACTGCTGTCTTCTGGTATTTGCAGAAATATTCACCAGAGCAACCTTTAGCTTCATTTTGCATGCCTAGGCTAATGAGGTTATTCAAACTCTGTGTTGTTGTTGTAGTGGTCATCTGTGGTTTTGCTCTCCCAGCATCTAGTCAGTCCTTCTGCTTCAGCTTGAAACACCTAGGTTTTCCTGTGGGAAACCAATACCTCCCACATTCTCATACCTTGTGATTTCAATAAAAATGACACTTTTGCTCTGGTTTCAGCTACATGCTAGTGACGCAGCCCTGGGCAAGTGGAATGGCACATTACTCTGGCCAATTCTTGGTCCAAAGATGGACCTCCCTCCTTTCTTAGAGCTTTTCTTGAAACATTTTGAAAAGAGACTTCTGGAGAATGCCTTTGGAACTGCTGGTGGCTGTAGTTTGGGAGGACCTGATGAGAATAAAAGTAAAAGAGAGGGCAGAGCAAAGTTGAGGGATGAAAATTCCTGAAAACAAGGTTAAAAGTCCAGCCATGTCTAAACTGGATGGTTAGGTGAGACAGTAAAATGCTTCCCCTTCCTTCCCAGTTGCAGTTTTAGTTACAGCCTATTTGATTGGGATTTCTGTACCTTACAACCAATGTGTTCTTAAAAATGCTACTATCTTCATGAGCTGAACTGTAATTTCTAGTTAGCTCTTTAGCTCCACTTCCTTGTGTTTAGGTATCTGTAGCTGCTTTGCAAGTCACCACAGACCTTGGTGGCTGGAAGCCAGTAACAATCATTTTATTTTCTCTCATGATTTCTGTGGGTCGGGAATGTAAGAAGGGCTCAGCTAGGCTTTTCTGGAAGTTTCTGTGCTGTTGCAAGGTAACTGTGGCTATGGAATAGAAGGGAGGAGCTGGGATTGGAGCCCCTGGGGGTTGGCTGGGCAGCTCTCTTTTTTATGAAGTCTCAGTAGCTCCTTGTGGACTACTTGGGCTTCCTTATAGCATGGCAGTCTCAAGGCACTTAGGCTGCTAACATGGTGTCTCAGAGTTTCAGCACAATTATTCCAGAGTACCAGGTGTAAGTTGCATCATGCTCTATGACCTAGCTTTGGAAATCACAAAGCATCATTTATACCACACTCTGGTCAACTAGTTAGTAAAGTTGGCCCAGAGTCAAAATGACAAGATGTAGACCTCACATCTCAATGGAGACATGTGAAAGAATTCGCAATTGTATTTATTTATTTATTTATTTGAGATGAAGTCTCACTCTGTCACCCAAGCTGGAGTGCGTTGGCGTGATCTCGGCTCACTGCAACCTCCGCCTCCCGGGTTCAAGCAGTTCTCCTGCCTCAGCATCTGGAGTAGCTGGGATTACAGGTGCCCGCCGCCATGCCCAGCTAATTTTTGTGTTTTTAGTAGAGATGGGGTTTTACCATGTTGGCCAGACTGGTCTCAAACTCCTGACCTCAGTTGATCCTCCTGCCTCAGCCTCCCAAAGTGCTGGGATTACAGGCGTGAGCTGCTGCACCTAGCCCCCAGACAAGTTTTTAAAGCAGGGCATATCTTGAGCAATTCCCAAATTGCATGAAAGGTGCCTGTGGTCAGCGTGATATATTTAAAGAGACTTAGCTTTTGAAAGACCTACCTTTAGTTTATACTTTTGGAAACTGTATTAACTTTTTCAGGCACCTAAGATACCACCATATTAAAAATTAAATCAAGATTGATTGTGATCTTTGAGGCTTCAGAATTCCATTCTGCTCTTGTATTAGGCATTTTTAAATTTCTGTTTGAATAGCATTGAAATATTTAGATTTGTATTTGTTTGCCACTTTATAATTGCGTATATACTGACTTAGTCCTGAGATTTTGTAATTTAGTACTTGGTTCTTAAGATAGCTTCCAAAGTGCTTAATTTTCATCTAGTGACCAGTTTAAGTGGAAGTATCTCATTTTATAGACTGTACATGAAATAGTAATTAGGATGTAGACTTGTAAAACTTGACCTGGCTTATGGTCCTAGCACTTTGCCTCTGACTGATGTAGAAATCCTCCTTTATATTGTCTAGTACCATCCACACAGTGAAGGTTCAGAGTGCACCTCTTCTCAACTTTCTCCCAAGTGGAGGAAGTCCAATAGATCTTGAACTAATTTTTTTTTTTCTGTTTTGGAATGTAGCAAGTAATCCATTGGAATAAAACCAGCAGTTGAGTAACTCATGCAAAGGTAATTTAGAGCACAAATTAAATCTGTCAGAGCGGTATTAGATTTGCAAAAGCTCATAAATAACAAATGAAAGGTCACAGAACTGTGAAAATGAGAGTGTACTTCTTCATAAAGAGAACCGTATTCAGGGACACGATCTGCAGTGCATATTCAAATAGCAGCATCATAAAATGGAAACACAATGTCTTTTCTAAATGTCTAATACAGTACAAAGGCACTGCAGATTCTGTGGAAAAGCATCAAAGTCCCAGGAAAGACTTCATATCATCTGAACATGTCCAGCGTCACATTTGTGAGGTTTGTGGATTAAAGCTCCATCAACTACTGAGAATCTATGAGGAAAAGATACATCCCCTGAGCAGTGTTTGTATTTCAGTAGCTGTTAGGTTAATTGTGAATGCATGCCACTCATTTTTCATTTTTCAGTTCCTAGAAAATACTAATAGAGTGAGTGGTGCTTCATGATTTACTGCAGGAATGTAAACAGTCGGTGATATGAATAAACAGTCCTGCCCATCCTGTTTTTCTCATGGAAAAGAGAGGTGGAAAATACAGCCTTGTCTACTATAAAGTAGACAAGTTATTTTACTGTGCATTGTATGCATTTTTTTTAGTCCTGTGTCGGTTGTGATTTTTATAAGGGAACAAAATCTGTTTATAAAAAATAATGTGTGGGCTCTATCAAAATTAAAAACTTTTGTAGATCAAAGGACTCCATCAAGAAAGTAAAAGACAACAAAGAATGGGAGAGGATATTTGCAAACATTTATCTGAAAAGGATCTAGAATCCAGAATATAGAACTCTTACAACTCAAAAATAATTAGATAATATTCAGGCAAAATATTGGGCAAAGGATTTGAATAGACATCACTCCAAAGAAGATATACAAATGGCTAATAAGCACATGAAAAGATGTTCAACATCACTGATTGCTTGGGAAATACAAGTCAAAATCAGCGTGAGATATACTTCACAGCCACTAGGATGGCTATAATTTTTTTAAAAAAGAAAAGAAAAGTGTTGGTGAGGATGTGGGGAAATTGAAACACATATATTGCTGATGAGAATGTAAAATGGTGCAGCTTCAGTGCAAAACTGGCAGTTCCTCCAAAAGTAAAACGTAAGACCACAAGACCCAGCAGTTCCACTCCTGCATATATACCCAAGAAAAACAGAATGCATATGTCCACACACAAACATGTACATGAATGTTAGCAGCAGTATTCACAATAGCCAAAAAGTGAAAATCACCCAATGTCTATCATCTGATAATGGATAAACATAGTATGTTCATACAATAAAAGAAACCTCAGATTTCTGTGCCAGGTGCTTTCTTTCTGTTTCCTGATCAGAGGTCCGTCCACACTGGGTTATGGCCCTCCATTCTGGCTGCTGAAGCGTAGGGGAGGGAGGGAGTTCCTTGTGGAGTGAAGCTTGATCAGTGGTGATCAAGCAGGAAGGAACCAGGTAGATGACTTGTCTCTTTCTCCTTCCATGGGCTACACCAAGGTGCAGGCCTTCCTCTTAATCTTCTACCGTTGTGGTGTCATTTGAGGTGGTGAGCAGCATAGTACCCTATGAGCACGTTGCCTCCTGTTTTCTAGATTTATTTCCATCTCTCTTTTCCCCCTTTCCCTCATTGTCTTAGGCTTGCATCTTCCAAATAGTGTTAGGACACCAGGGGAGGGCATGGTAAGAGATGAGAAGAGAGAACATTCTGTTTCATATTGAATCTATTATTTTAGAAGACATGACTATTTTGAGGTTATGTTCATTGGTTTTAGGTGAAAAGCTGACTGACTTGTGCATAAAAAGTAAGTCTGTCAAACTCATTCTTTGAAAAATGTTATTAAAAGTTTTTCTCTATAAAATAATACATGCTCATTAAGATGTTTTGAATATGTAAATGAATATTAAAACACTCCTTAAGTCCTACATTATTTTGGTGTCTATCCTTTCAGTCCTTTTACTAACTACACATAAACCTAGAAAAGACATACTCTTTTTTTTCCAAAGAAGAAATGATTTCACAAGTAAAATGTATTGTGAGAATTAAAATTCAACTACTTTAAGAATTTGGAAATTCAGCATTAAACACATGAAATTCATGGTTAAAAAATTATTTGAATCCCCCAAATTTGAAAACTTGTGCTAAAGAAATCAGGCCTAATGAATTCAGCTTGCTCTTTCCTGTGATGAGTAGAGGTGGATATCTTGTAATGAATGAAATAGTTGCTTAATTTCATCCACGCTGATCCACCATCCTGTGCACACACAGGACATGGCCTTGGAAGGTGATACAAGGCAATGTGCTCCTGACCTCCATCAGCATCTTTTATACAAGTAAAAATTCTTTTTCTTTGGTATGGAGATATTGCCATACAGTCAGGAAAGCTGTGGGGGACTTGGTTTAGTTCCTGGCTGCAAAGCAGGAACTTTGATTGTTTTCTCATGAGGCACCCTGCTTGTTATGAGGCATAGCTTCAAGCAGCAATTGTAGCCATTTGGGGTTTTTGGCCATTTGGGTTTTTTAGCTTCTATGAGCAGAGTGCTGTACTCCAGTCCCTAGTTTTATGCTGTGAGCCTGGTTTTAGTTCCCTATCTCACATGAAGACATGTAAGACTATTCTCCACAGAGGCCAAGTTCCTGCAGCCACATCCCTGCTACTGGGTCCATTTCCCAGCAGCCCTATGGCATTTTCCCCATGTTGTATATGTACTCTGTGTCTAGTCTGTAAAAATATCCATCTCCTTTTTGACCTGAGCCTTGGCTTTTTGGTATTGTCCTTTAATATATCATTAGCATTAGTGTATAATTTTATCAGAAAGGATGTGGAATCATGATATATTGTGAAGACATCTCCCACCATTTCTTTTTATTATTATTATTATACTTTAAATTCTGGGATACATGGGTAGAACGTGCAGATTTGTTACATAGGTATACATGTGCCATGGTGGTTTGCTGCACCTGTCAGCCCGTCATCTATGTTAGGCACCATGGAGGTACCATGATCACTCTTAGTTCTGCACATAGACATTTGCAAACCAATTAGACGATAAATAAGTAGTATGATGGAGGGAGGGGGGAAGCATGTTTGACAATTTAAACACACTATTAAAGGCAACAAAACAAAAATGGAAAATGCTGCATAAGGTTACATGGAAGAGTAAGTTAAAAATTGAAGTGATGCCACATAGTTTTGTAAGTCGTTACTTTTTTCCAAAAAGTAACCAGAACAAAAGTTCTGCTATACTTAATCCTCATCGATTTAAACTTTGCCATGAGTTTGCTTTACTGTGTACTTTACTATGAATATAATTTTTCATATTCTTGATATTGTGAATTTTTAACTATCCCTTCAAGACATTTCTCACTCCCATCTGCTCATATTTTTGGTCATAAAAGATATAGTATACATGACTTCAAATTAAGTCTTTTTCTATAGCATGGATCTGGATTTTTATTTTTAGCAGATGTGATGATGTTTTTATCACTCATCTCTTATGGCAAAACAAAGGATGAGTTGACGAAGAAAGGGAGTGGAGGGCAAGAGGCCAACCCTGAGGTATTAGAATAGTCTGACATAAATGTTCCCATCCACTCCCACAGAGGCTCTCAGAACCCTCTCTGTGGCCAGGGTCTGAGGCAGGGAAAGTAAGGATAATCACGGCAAGTTCCTGTCCTGAGGAGCTCATGGTCCTATAACCTGGGAAGGAGTTTACAGTACTCTGTGTCACCTCAGATCAATTATACTCTTTTAAAATTATGAAACATCATCATCACTGGGACATGTCTTGTGGGAGGAAATGTTACCTAAAAAACAAAACAACAACAACAGAAAACATGCAGTGGGCTGAAATGTGTGCCCCCAAAATTCATATGTTGAAGCCTAACCCCTGGTATCTTGGATTGTGACTATATTTGGAGATTGAGCCTTTAAGGAGGTAATTAAGGCTGAGGCCATAAAGCTGAGACCCTAATCCAATCTGACTGGGTTCTTATGAGTAGAGGAAGTGACACCAGGACTATGCATGTAGGGCAAAGCCATCAGCAAGCCAAGAAGAGAGGCCTCAGGAGACAGCAGCCTTGCCGACACCTTGATCTTGGACTTCCTAGCTTCCAGAACTGTGAGAAATCTCTGTTGTATAAGCCCCCCAGTCTATGGTATTTTGTTACGGCAGCCTGGGCTAACTCATACACCATGGATTTACTATCTTAATTTTGTATTTTCCTCTCCAGTCTTTTGTCTGTGCATTTGTTCACATTTATGTTTACAGTTACACACATAATGTTCATTCCATTTTGATCTCTGACTCTCAAACTGAGCCCTGCTACGTACAGATTGGGAGGAGATGGGGGTATTGGCCATAGTGCTGCCAGGTATCCATGGGATGCTGTGCAGACCTGTCCCAGAGGTGCAGCCTCACCTTACCAACCTCACCATGCTGGCAGAGAAAAGCCAGATGGATGTGGAAAGAAGCACTGTTGAATTCATTCAAGATGAAGTGATGTTTGTCTCTGTCACTTGGCTGCTGACTTGCAAGGGAAAGATACTGGTGGATACTTGTTTTTTCATCATGTTGTTCAACCAAGTGCCCAGCACAGTGCCTGGCAGTCACATTTATTAAGTGATTGAGTGGCCCATTCTCTTCCTGAATGCCAGGTTTGCTTGGGGAATTAAATTGTAAACAGAAGATGGCGTAGTGAGCATGAAATTAGCAAGGTTGGCATTATCAAGCTGTTACAAGTGATAAGAGAGCTCTACTCTGTTGTCTAACAATTTGCCAATTAAAAAAGAATAATCACATCTGGAAGTAATTTAGCATGTTATGCATTTTATGGTTTCAGCTATTTAAAAAAATATTTTAAAAAGTTATAATACTATTCACTTAATGTGGTCCCATTCTGTAATTTTGAACAATTGCTTGCACCCTATAAACAATTGGGTCTGTTGGGCTCCTTAGAGTGTTCTACTTTGTAAGTTCATTTTTATACCTTCTATCATTGTGTTTTGATTAATTTTGCTTTGTAGTATATTCTAGATCTGATTGGGTCGTATTGATTTTCTGTACTGAGTTTCTGTTTCATAATATATTTCCTTGCCTATGTATTTTTACAAAGTAATTATGCTATTTAAAAAATCTTGTTGAACATTTATATTAAACAAAATATCAAAACTGTTTGTTTTCAGCTAGGTTAAAATAAAATGAGTAACCTTGACTCCTTGCAGAGCAATAGAGATAATGGTACTTGGAAAAGTAGTAGAACATGAGGAATAAGCTTTATAGGAAACCAAGAAGATAGCAAGAGAATAGCACCTATATAAAAATTAAGACAGATCTCTGCATTCCCAGTAAGCAGAGCAATTCAGGCTTATTACAGATTTGTCTTTTCCTTAATTTTGAGTGAAAAGGACAATCAGAATAAAGGACACAGTAGATAGTAATCACTTAGTGCTATAGCGATAACACAATCTTATCAGTTTGGTTTTTTTTTTCTGAGATGGAGTTTCACTCTTGTTGCCCAGGCTGGAGTGCAATGGCACAAAGTCAGCTCACTGCAACCTCTGCCTCCCAGGTTTAAGCGATTCTCCTGCCTCACCCTCCCGAGAGTAGCTGAGATTACAGGTGCCTGCCACCACACCCAACTAATTTTTTGTGTTTTTAGTAGAGACAGGGTTTCACTGTATTGGCCAGGCTGGTCTCGATCTCCCAACCTCAGGCGATCCAGGCCTTGGCCTCCCAAAGTGCTGGGATTACAGGCATGAGCCACTACGCCCATCCAATCCGTTTTTTAAATACACCTTAAGTCAGTCTTAAGAACAAAGAATTGCCTAGTGTTTAACTGTGCAGACTCCAAAGCCACATTGCCTGGGTTAGAGTCAGATCTGCTACTTATTTGCTGAACCCCAGTTTACCCAAAATGGGTTAATAATTATGCCTACCTCATACGGTTGCTGGGAGAATAAATGGATATACATAAAGGACTTCAGTAGTACCTGGCCAACAAATATTAGTTACATTAAGGAGATTTTGTGTTACGGAGGCACTTTTTAATTTTGGAGAGGTCAGCTTTCCTGTATTTGTTTGTTTTCCTAAATCTGAAAGTCTGCCCTGTACAGGTTTGCATGGACACCCGTGGCCCAGTATGGCTGAACTCCCTATCTGACCTGCACCATTCTCAGGGAAATGCTTCTGAGCTTTTGCTCCTGACTTCTTTATCGTACTCTGGCAGCCATCCCCTGGCCTCCTAGCAAAAAATAGCTGGATTTTGTTAAAATTCAGTCTCTCTTGATACCATCTCTGCTGGATATGAGAGGGGATGGCTACCAGTGGAGCCTTAGCAACCTGATTAAGACTAGATCTGGGCTGGAATGTTCTCAGTGCTCTAAAATTACTGTTGATAAAGTTTCTCTCCATGTCTACCCACTTCCTTGTGCCCTGTTGCTCTCCATCCCATCTTACCAGCATGGGAGCTCAGCCAAGCCTCCTGTGGCTTTCTCCAGTCGATCACTGAGATGATTCTTTCTTCATTTTTCAGGTGCAAGTTCTCTCCTGTTGCCCTGAGTGCCCACTCCCAGGCCCTCTGTATGAGTGACACTTCAGTCTGCCATGGAACCTGGCCCTGCTCTGGCCTGGCTCCTGCTCCTGAGCCTGCTGGCGGATTGTCTGAAAGCTGCTCAGTCCCGAGACTTCACAGTGAAAGACATTATCTACCTCCATCCTTCAAGTAAGACTGTTCTCTTTGCTGCAGAAATATCACTTTATTTCAAATAAGAAGTGGTTCAAAAACTGGCCAGGAAAAGGCATCCTTCAGTATAGTGAAAACCTCCCGTGATTTAACTGGGGTGGTGCGGTAATTTACAAAAGATGTTTTATGCTTTACCCTCACCTTTTCACAAGAAGATTTTTGGTGGTGTTAAGGCAAATTATTGGGCTTGTTTTCTCTGTTCCCTACACAATCACTCTGATTCTGAACACTCTTCCCCTTGTACTCATGCCAGTCCTAAGTCAGCTTTTAAAGTGAACCACCATATCCCAGAAGGAGGATTGTTTGTAAAAGATCAATCCTTTATACGTAAGATAATAGCTGGTCTTCCTCTCTGTGCATCTAATTCTCAATTTCAGTGTAATTTCCTCCCACAACTTCCAATGTCCTGTGCCTCCTTTTGGTTTCCTATATTTAAGAATTATCTAGGGAATGCTTAATAACATAGATGCCCAGATCCCTGCCCTAGAGTTTCTGATTTGCATGTATCTCAGGCTGTACCTGTGCATTTTTGCATTCAGCAAGAACTTCAAGTACTTCTGCTGCAGACATTCTAAGGATCACGCTTTAGGAAACACAGCAGTTTGACTTCCTCTTTTGGTCTCTATCTTTGTATTTATTGTCTCTTTGTATGAATCCTCTTCTGTATTGCCCCTGTTGAGGTGAGAGCTGGTTGTATTGTGTATATTCTGACCTTCGGCTTTTGCCCCAAGGTGCATTACTCTTTTGAAATGCTCTGTTTAACAAATATAGTTTGAGTGTCCACTGTGTGTCAAGGATTGTGATAGGCTTGAAAGCATAAAGGCAAATCAAACACAGTCCTTGCTTTTGAGGATCACATAGTCTACAAAGTGAAGGCAGCCATGTGGACTCCTTCAATCCACGTGGTTGGAATATTTAATGTCTGCTTGTTCTGGGTTAGCTGAGAGGTGGTATGCAGAATGCCCTGGGGCTTGGAGTCCACCTGACCTAGGGTCAGCAACTAGCTCAGCTGCTTTGTGGCCTTTTGACTTAAAATAAATTCCCTATCATTGTGAAGATTAAATTAAAAATGTGTATGAAGCACTTAGCACTGAGTGTGAGACATAGGAAATGCTCAATCAATGTTAGGAGAATTCTTTGTGTTAATTTTGTCTTTTCTAAAGTGGTAAAGTAATATAATACATACTCGTTAGCATTATTTTATGGAGCAGAAATAATATCTGTAAAACACTAGGCCTATACCACACCAGGCAATCAAATGGTTGTTTACATTATTGTTTTTATTATCGTTGGCTTAGTAAACTGGGGGTGCTGAGAATACAATGCTCCAGTGTTGTATAACTCCCATATACTTTTAATAGGCAGCAAATAATTTCTTTAGATTTCTATTGTCTCTGTACCCTCTTATCAGTATAGTCTGGTGCCCACTGGTTAATCGTATGGAAGACTTATCTGGCTGCTTGTTTTGTGGGGATTTTATTTTAATAATATGCATGAAGAGAAGGTGCTTTAATATTTGTTCTGTTTTCTAGATTGCATTTTGCTGTTTTCTCCAAGCAGGCATGCTACTTTATTAGACTTGGTGAATCAAAAACCTAGGTTTCTGTCTCTTAGGGTTGATTGCCAGAGTTTTCAGCTTCTGTATGATTCCTTCTCAACTTCAGTGACAGACTCAGTAGTAACTGGGCTGCAGAAAAGGTCCACACTGGACCTACACGGAGGCTGTGATTGTACACACAGAGTGGGAAGGAGAATTAAGGTGACTGGATTTAACAACATACACACCACTTCTGCCTCAGTAGTGTGGTGGGTCAGTGCCCTGTGTGTTGGGTCTCTATTGGGAAATTCAATTTCAGAAGGAGGTCTTGAAGGCTGAGCCTTGCAAGCAGAGGGAAATCACTTCTGCTCTTGAAAAGTTGATGAAAAAGTTCTGCTCATATGACCAATGTTAATTAAGTAAAGCCATGGCCTGATTAGAAGAAACTCGCCATATGTAAAGAATTAGTAGGGCTTCCTCTTCCCCTCACTGGCCTGAGGTGATCTGTAAAAATGGTTCACTATTCATTTGACCTGGAAAACCAAATCATGCAAATCAGGGTTCAAATCTTCATGTTCACTTTAAGAACACCTGTGAAACTGCCCAGACCATCAAGCGTATGCATGTACAAAAAGCCACTGAGTTGTCTGAAAGATGTCACTTTACAAAAATAATGTCTACCATTCTAACATTACAGTGGTGGAGTTGGTAGCTGTGCCCAGGCCAAACAGTGAGGCTGAACACAGGATCAGTGGCCTGAAAAGAGTGCTGATCTTTTGCTGCACATGCTTTAAAACACAGAATCATGCTGTACTTAGGGGTTTAGATGTAGATTCCCTGGTCACTGAGCCTATCCAGGTGAACAAGTAATCCAAGATGCACGGCTGAACTTACTTAAAGAGCCATACATGAGCTCCCCCTGTCACATCGAGGTGACCCTTACTGAAAAGAATCAAATTGTTCCTAAACCAGAAGAGGGGGTTGCAGAGAAGAAAAAGATATCCCGGAAGAAACTGAAGAAACAAAAACGTATGACATTGGAAATAAATGCAGCATAAAACAAATGCAAATAAAAGTAAAAGAAAAAAGAATTGGTGAGGTTTTCTGATATGATTTTGAGATATGGAGAAGGATGGAAGTTGTTCCTAAGTGAGATTATAAGTAGATGATTCACCAGCAGATCAGGGTCCAAGTTCTCTTTAGAGTCTCCCTCCATAACTTATGATGGGAATACTGTGTAAATTGTTGTTAGAGTGAAGTTACTATGAATGGCTCCTACTTGGCCAGAACTTCGTTTATTCTGTCCACCTTTTTTTTTTTTTTTTTTTTTTTTTGAGACAGAGTCTCACTCTGTCGCCCAGGCTGGAGTGCAGTGGTGCGATCTTGGCTCACTGCAAGCTCCGCCTCCTGGGTTCATGCCATTCTCCTGCCTCAGCCTCCCGAGAAGCTGGGACTACAGGTGCCCACCACCAGGCCTGACTAATTTTTTTTTTTTGTATTTTTAGTAGAGACGGGTTTCACCGTGTTAGCCAGGATGGTCTCCATCTCCTGACCTTGTGATCTGCCCGCCTCGGCCTCCCAAAGTGTTGGGATTACAGGCGTGAGCCACCGCGCCTGGCCTATTCTGTCCACTTTTAAATCAGTATTAACTTCTAATTTCTTTGAACTATTTTAGAAGTTTGTGGTGTGTGTTTTCACACTTTGATTTTTTAAATGGCGTGGTTCTATGTCCTTGAGCACTAGACCATATTAAGCTGTAGTCTCTACAAATAAGCAGGTATCTGTTGAACATAGACCGTAAAAAATATATGAGGGAAGTATGGGATTAGTTTGATTTTGAATTATTTGTATAGTCACCTCACTTTGTAGATGAAGGCACAAACAGCATTCTTTTGTGAATGAGCCACATTTCATTAATGTTACAATGTGTAACATGAAGCTCGGAACCTGCTGAAGGAGAAATATGGTGATGCTGGAGATATGAGAAGACACACACATTTTCTGTACCAGACAAACAGAAGCTATTTTCTCCTCATTCCGATGCCCAGAACAGCCATCACTGATAATAACTGGGGAGAGATTGGAACACCAGGCTGGGAAAATTCAGCCTCTCATGACTCATCTTTTTTGCTCCCTGGTTTCCTAATCTTTGAAGTTTCTGAACATTTAAAAGAAAGAAACTTCATGGCTTTCAAACCTGAAGCACTGTCGTCAATAATGTTCTTTTCTATAATCCTTGTGTCATTTGTTGTTGAGTTTTTCTTTGCTTGTTTTTATGTGAAAAATGAATTTCTTCCCAGCCTATGATTCAAATACCAAATCAAATAAGAACTTTCAAAACAAGAGTTACTATTAAGAGAAATAGAGCTGCTTATTTGGTAGTCAGACATAGTAAGAGATAGCAGAGTTTAATATACTAAGTGGCTGCGACCTATTCTTAGCCTCCATTTCTTTCCTTAGAATAGAAAGAAACCTTTCCTAAGAATATCCAATTTTCCTCTGGTTGCATGTTTTGAATCTTTCCTTAATCATGTACACCAAAGAGCTGTATTCCTGTGGGGGCTTGTTTGTGCCCATGTAGAGAGCCAAATAAGTTTGTTCAGACTATACTACGTAAGTCTTAGAGAGTAAGGGGACTTTCTAGGAAGGTACCAGATAATGTATTTATTTCTGTCAGAAATATGTGCATATTAAAATTATACTTAAATATTTTGTTGCCAAGTGGACTGAGAAAAAAGATACATTTATTAGATTTCTAGAATTTTTATATATGCATCCAGTTTTCAGAAACAATGGAAGTTAATTTGGTAAGGATAGAAAAATGTTTGGATGCATTACACATCAGCATACCTTTCAAAACAAAAGTCTGTTCTCACCACGGTTCTGGTAACTGAAGGCCTTTGTCTAGGCAAAAGTTCCAAGAGATGGAAACAAAGACTAAATCTTTTCTGATACCGTACAAATAAATTATGGTCGGTTGAACTATGGCTGACCATGAGAGTTAATGGACAGATTATTTTACAGGAAGTAACTGGGCACTTTGGCGTTTCTTTTTTTCTTTACAATCACCTTCTCTTAAGGGACCAAGGACTTATGCCCTGAAATACAGAGTACTGAGCTTATTAACTCTGTGATCAAGAGCCAAATTAGATTCATTCACAGCTGGGGCCACAACAATTTGAAACTCCGCTTGCTCTACAATGCTTTGAAGTAACAAAGAAGCAAATAGCACATCTCTTAGGAACCTCTTTCCGTCCTTTAAAAAAAAAAAAAAAACCTCTTTATCAGATGCAGTATCAATTAGCAAGTTACTGGAGATAGTTGTTCATCTGTAGACCTCATTTCTGGCAAAATATCTCAAGAGGGAAGAATTTAACCATTTACTTGGTATTATACCTTAATTATCCACTGAAAGCAGTATGTTTGCAGAGATTTGTCATTAATCAGGGTGTGATTATTCACTAATTGGTATTTCCTGCCAAGATGTCAGTAAAGGTTCCTACAAGCAAATATTAAACTCTAGCCATTGAGAATGTGCACAGATATGGAGCTGTAGATTCTAAAAGAAAACTCACCAAAAATGAGATAATTTGGTTGTCAACGATACGTGCTGATAAACTCAGAGGTAAAAGAATTTAAGCAAAGCTTCATTTTGCTGCCATAGTATTTTAGTTCCCACTCCTGTTTAAATTTCAATATACTTTGGGTTCATTTTCAGAATCCAGGCCTCTTATGTAAGAAATAAGTGTTTATAGTATGTCACTTGTCTCACAAAAGATCATTTTGAAAAGTCTATTAAGTAATTCAAATTTGTGAACACTACAACTTACTAGTGTTAGGGTCTCAATAAGTTTGTTCTTGGAGTAGCTGGATCGTCAATCTTCATTCAGAATTCTTAATTTATCTCTTTGATGGGAAAGTTTCCAGGAATAACTAATTCAGTATTCCATCCAAAAATTTTACTGGCTGCAGTGACAGACAGATAAAATTGGATGCCCCAGTGAATTAATCATGCAAACTGAAGTGGTACGAGTAGCTTGCAGCCATAAACCTTGGTGAATATGATGATCACTTTTTTGAGAAATGCTGTTCTCTGACAAATGCTTTGTATCTTTTTTTTTCCAAAATGTCTACTTTGATCATTCCACTTCAAATTTTACAAGCTATTTTAAAGTCCAATCTTTGAAAGTTGTTTATATATTAAGTATTTTAAACTTGATAGGGAAACTATTTTTTAATGTATCCAGTCAGGACAATTTCCTAAAATATTTTATATGATTAATTAAAATATCTGCAAGAGTATTGCATGGCTTTGGCGTTTGAGAACCTGTTTTGTTTTTGTTTTTTTAATTCTTCAGCCATGTACAGGAATACCTTAGAGATTATTGCAGGATCAGTTCCAGACCACCACAACAAAGCAATTATCACAATAAAGCAAGTTATGCAAATTTTTTGGTCTCCTTGTGCATATAAAAGTTATGTTTGTATTATACCATAGTTTATTAAGTGTGGAATAGCATTATGTCTAAAAAACAATGTGCATATCTTTTTTTTTTTTTTTTTTTTTGAGGCAGGGCTTGGCTCTGTGGCCCAGGCTGGAGTGCAGTGGTGCAATCTCAGTTTACTGCAGCCACCGCCACCTGGGCTCAAGCGATCCTCCCACCTCAGCCTCCTGAGTAGCTGGGACCACAGGTGTGCGCCACCACGCCTGGCTAATTTTTGTATTTTTAGTAGAGACAGGATTTCTTCATGTTGCTAAGGCTGGTCTCGAACTTGTGAGCTCTAGCTATCCACCTGACTCGGCCTCCCAAAGTGCTGAGATTACATCGTTGGCCACCATGTTCCACCAACAATGTACGTATCTTAATTTAAAAAGACTTCATTGCTAAAAATGCTAAGATCATCTGAGCCTTTAGTGAGTTACAATCTTTTTGCTGGTGGAGGGTCTTGCCTTGATATTGATGGCTGTTGAATGATCAGGGTGATGGTTGCTGAAGGCTGGGGTAGCTGTGGCAATTTTTAAAAATAAGACAACAATGAAGTTTACCATATGAGCTGATTCTGCCCTTCACAAAAGATTTCTCAGTAGCATGTGATGCTGTTTGACAGCATTCTACTCACAGCAGAACTTCTTTCAAACTTGGAATTAATCTTCTCAAAACCCTGCCACTGCTTTATCAACAGTTCTATGATGTTCTAAATCCTTTTTTGTCATTTCAACAATGTTCACAGCATCTTCACCAGGAGTAGATTCCATCTCAAGAAACGGCTTTTTTTTTTGCTCGTTCATAAGAAGCCAACTCCTCATTCACTTAACTTCTATTATGAGATTACAGCAGTTCAGTCACCTTTTCAGGCTCCGCTTCTAATTCTAGTTCTCTTGCTGTGTCCACCACATCTGCAGTTACTTTCTCTGTTGAAATCAAAGTCATCTGTGATGGTTGGAATCGTGTATTTCTAAACTGCTGTTGATGTTGACATTTTGACCACCTGTGAATCACAAATGTTCTTAATGGCACCTAGATGATTAATCCTTTCTAGAAGGGTTTTTAATTTACTTTGCTCATATTCATCAGCGGAATCATGATCTATGGCAGCTATAGGCTTACAAATATATTTCTTAAACAATAAAACTTGAAACTCAAAATGACTTCTTGATCCATCAACTACAGGAGGGATGTTGGGTTCCCAGGCATGAAAACGACATTAATTTCCTTGTAGATCTCCTACAGCTCTTGAGTGACCAGCTGTATTGCCAATGAGCAGTAGTATTTTGAAAGAAATATTTTTTTTCTGAGCAGTAGATCCCAAAAGGGGCTTACAATATTCAGTAGACAATTCTGTAAATAAATGTGCTGTCATCCAGGCTTTGTTGTTCCATTTATAGAGCACAGAGTAGACTTAACATAATTTTTAAAGTCTCAAGGATTTTAAGAATGATAAATTAGCATTGGCTTCAATTTAAAATTCACCAGCTGTATTAGCACCTAACAAAAGAATCAGCCTGTCCTTTGAAGCCAGGCATTGACTTTTCTCTCTAGCTATGAAAGTCCTAGATGTCATCTTCTTCCAATATAAAGCTGTTTTGTCTACACTGAAAATCTGTTTAGTGTCATCATCTTCAGTGATCGTAACTAGATTTTCTGGATAACTTGCTGCAACTTCTTCATTAGCACTTTCCATTATACCTTATGATTTTATGTTATGGAAATGGATTTTTTCCTTAAACCTTGTGAACCATTCTCTGCTAGCTGCAGACTTTTCTTCTGCAGCTTCATGTCTCTCAGCCTTTATAGAACTAATAAGAGTTAGGACCTTGACTTGGATTAGGCTTTGGTTTAAGGGAATGCTGTGGCTGGTTTGATCTTCTATCCAGACCACTCAAACTTTCTCTGTATCAGCAAAAAGGCTGTTCTACATTCTTAACATTCGTGTATTCATTAAAGTAGCACTTTTAACTTCCTTCAAGAACCTTTCCTTTATATTTACAACTTGGCTAACTGGCACAAGAGGCCTAGCTCTCAGCCTATCTCAGCTTTCAACATGCCTTCCTCACCAGTCTTAATCATTTCTAGGTTTTGATTTAAAGTGAAAATTGTGTTACTCTTCCTTTCATCTTAACACTTAGAGGCATTTGTAGGGATACTAGTTGGCCTAATTTCAGTATTGTTGTATCTCAGGAAATATGGAGGTCTGGGGCAGGGAAAGGGAGAGAGAGAGAGATGGAAGAATAGCAGGTGGATGGAGCAGTCAAAACATACACATTTATTCAGTTCACCATTTTATGTGGGTGCAGTTTGTGGTGCCCCCAAACAATTATAATAGTATTTCAGAGATTACTGATCACAAGTCACCATACAGATACAAAAGTAATGGAAAAGTTTGACATATTGCAAGCATTCCCAAAATGTGACACAGACATGAAGTGAGCACGTGCAATTGGAAAATGACACCGATAGACTTGCTCAATGCAGGGTTGCCACAAAACTTCAATTTGTAAAAATACAATATCTGCAAAGTGTGCTAAAATGAATGGTGATACAACAAGGTACACCTGCCCTTACCAAAATAGAACCTTTCAATTCAAATGTAACCCATTTTTCTATAGGTGGGTAATGTGAAGGTATAAAAAATATTTGTTTATAGTTTACAAAATACTTCTCTTTGTCACAATTATATGACATTTTCCCCCTATTAAAATTTCCTCATGAAAATGGAGTGGTTGGATGGCTGTGTCTAAGCTGCTTTCCATCATTTTGTAAAATGATCTATGCACTTTTTCTATCATTCTGTTTATGAATTTGAGTTACTATGTGAGAGAGAGCACGCAGATGGGCCCATAAAAAGTTCCGATTACTTGTCTTTTTTAGACTGTTTATGACTTTTGATCATGACACATTATTTGATATTGTCATAGTCAGGTCTGTGAAGTAATGCAAGCATGTACATGGATGGGCAGCTATTCTCGGCAAGGTGAAAATCAAAGTGATATCTGGTCCATCATTCTGGCCTTAAGCTACTGCCTTCTCCTTCATTTATTTTTGATAACATATCTAATTGGTTCCATGTGGGCAGAGCAATTTACCCTGAGATGATTATTTCCGCCAGTGGGATATGCAGGCTCAGCCATCTGCGAGAGAGAACAGTTGGCTCCTGCAGATGAAGTGTTTGAGTGTTTGCAGCTTTCAAATAGGCCAGGTAATTTTACAAATTAAACAGCACAAGTTTTGTTTATGAAAGGCAAAACTCTAAGTAGTGAAGCAAGCAAATGATTAGAGCTAAGAAGCAATTAAATGCACATCAGTAGTAAGGACAAAGAACAGCTGGGCCTGACATTCCTCGGTGATCCTCATCTTTTTGTGGAGAGAAGGCCTTGGGTGCCCGCGACAGCCTCCAGAGCTCAAATCTCATGTGACCCCTCCTCACCTGAGCATATAGGTGAAGAATCAAAGCACTTGGAGGACAGTTCCTTCTGAAGGCAGGAAGAGGCAACTCACCAGTGGGAGCAGTAGGAAGAGATAAGTGGGGCTTCCTGGAATGGCCTAGTCCTCAGGCTAGAACTGGTAGCCTCTGGTGCCTCATCCCCACATCCCCCCAGCATCTAGCTTCTATGGACATGGGTCCGAAAGGCACCTGAAGAGGGTCACCTCTGCATGGGCAGCATATATTTTAGCAATGAAGACTCTTCTCTTAGCTAAGGCTTACCATCTCCAGGGGTTCATAATGACATCAGGTCTGAACAGATAAAAATTTTACAATGTACCAGAGAAATTGCCACTTTTGTAGATTGAAATGGTCAAACATCAGGAAATTTTATGATGATTCAACCCAATATTTTTATTTGCATGTTGACATTTGTGTATAAGTTGACATGAGTAAGTTATTAGAAATCCAGAGAATGCCTTTTTAATTAAAATTTTTATTGAGATAATTTTAAAGTCATATGCAATTTTAGGACATAGTACATGATGCTGAGTGTGGTAGTTCATGCCTATAATCCCAGCAGTTTGGGAGGCCGAGGCTGGAAAATCCCTTGAGGCCAGGAGTTTGAGAAATAATACAGTGAGATCCCATGTACCCATTATCCAGTTTGTCCCAGTGGTGACATTTTGAAAAACTATAGCATAGGCCGGGTGTGGTGGCTCATACCTGTAATCCCAGCACTTTGGGAGGCCAAGGTGGGTGGATCACCTGAGGTCAGGAGTTCAAGACCAGCCTGGCCAACATGGTAAAACTCCATCTCTACTAAAAATACAAAATTAGCCGGGTATAGTGGCACATGCCTGTAATCCCAGCTACTTGGGAGGCTGAGGCAGGAGAATCACTTGAACCCAGGAGATGGAGGTTGCCATGAGCTGAGATTGTGCCACTGCACTCCAGTCTGGGCAACGAGAGTGAAACTCAGAAAAAAAGAAAAGAAAGAAAGAAAAGAAAAACTATAGCATAATACCACAACTAGTATATTAATATCAATACAATCGGTCTACCAATGTCATTCTGATTTCCCTAATTTTACTCTGTGTGTGTACATTTAGTTCTACCTAATTTTATCATGTGTAGGTTTGTGTATCCTCCACCAGAGTTGAGACACTGAAGAATTTCAGTAACACAAGGGTTCCTCCTACTGGCCTCAAACCCACCTCTCTCCCCACCTCTCCACCCCTACCCCCACCTCTGCCATCCCTAACCCCTGACAACCACTAATCATTTCAAAAATGTCATATAAATGGAACCATGCAATATATAACGTTTTGGGATGGGCTTTATTCACTCCAAATAATTTCCTGGAAACTCACCCAAGTTGTTGAAAGTAGTAATAGTTCATTCCTTTTTATTGCTGACTAATGTTCCATAGTATGGATGTCCAACAGTTTGTTTAACCATTCACCCACTGAAGGACATCGAGGATATTTCCAGTTTTTGGGCTATTACAAATAAAGTTGCTGTTGACATTTGTGTACAGATTTTTGCATGTATACAAATGTTCATTTCTCAGGGACAGATGCCCAAGAGTAAAGTTGCTGGGTCATATGGTAGTTGAAGGTTTAAGAAACTGCTAAGTTGTCTTGAGAATCCTTTCTTTAAAATAATGAAAATGTCTTAACTTCACAGGATTCTGTGCCTTGTCTAAAAATTAATCTTTTCTCTTAATCCTTTTTTTTAGCCACACCATATCCTGGTGGATTTAAATGTTTCACCTGTGAAAAGGCAGCAGACAATTATGAGTGCAACCGATGGGCTCCAGACATCTACTGCCCTCGAGGTAAACTCTCAGTAGACTGATTGGGGTCCCCTGGGCTGTCCGTGAGTGAACAGCCCTTTTGACTTTGGTGATGTATAAAGAGAGGCATGCTTGCAATCTCAGCTGCTCCTCTTGTCTAAGGCTATTAGATCTTTTGTACCACACCAATAACTTATCAGAGATTCTCAGAGACATAAACTGAGCCATAGGATTGTTTCCTTTCTCATGAAGTATTTTTGGCACTCCACAGGAGGTGATACCTTCGCCTGTACCCCCGGGCCCAGTCAAATGTAGGAAAAGAGAACAGCCAGTCTGTCTGCCACTCTGAGGCATTAGTCAGTGCATAGTAACCTCTTTTATGTAATGTATGAATTGATGTTCATATAAAGATTCCATTGATTACATATCTTGCCAGAGACTTTCATGCAGTCTCTAGAATTTAGAATTCTGAATGTCATCATTGCACAAATAAAATCCCTGAGATTTTTAAACTATTAAGTTTTTTTTGAAGGATGAGATGAACACTGAACTGAAGCATGGAATTTTGACCGAAAGGCCCATTTCAAAATAAATACCCATTATATTCATGTCTCTTTTATCCTATCAAAAAGAAATAGATGGTTATATTTGGCTACAGAGTCACTGTTAACTGGCTATTTTACTTTGGAGGAAAGTCTATTTATTTGGTGGGGGTAGAGATAATGAGCACAGGGAATTTTATTGACAAATGTTCGAGTGAATAGTTAGATGGGTTTCACTGCTGATCTAATTCAGTTGTTAAAATGGCTTGGACACAACCACACCAAATCCATTATTTTTCAGTATAACACGAGTATTATATAAGAGTTCTCATACTTAACCCAGTGAATGGTATTCTGCCTCTTGTGGAGGATTGGAAATTGGGAGAGCATGGAAACCAAAATTAAAGGAAACATGTCAACTATCCAAGCTAGTACTCTAACCCAGGAGCCTCCACTCCACCTAGTGTGTCCAGTAGAAACACCTGTGGAATTTTTCAAAGAAATCACTGAAAGCCTTGCCCTGTCTAGACCAGTGGTTTTCAAGCTTCAGCAGCAGCATCATTCTCCAGAGGGCTTATTAAAACATAGATTTCTGCTCCCACCCACTTCTTCACCCACATTTCTGATTCAGTGGGTCTGAGATAGGGCCTGAGAATTTGCATTTCTAAAGGGTTGTCAGGTGATGAGTTAAGAATCACAGCTCTACACAAATTGAGCCAGCATTTCTGAGATTAGGGCCCTGCATTGGTACTTTAAATATTGCAGATGATTCTAATGAAAAGTCAGGGGTAAGAACCACAGGGAGCTCCTCTACATAAGAAACAGAAATGTAGTGTTGTCATTTCTAGGCTCTTCTTGTTGACTTTTAGGTAGAGATGATAATAGGGCCTACAGGGCAGAGAAAAACATGGAAGCACTAAAGATTGGCTTAACTGAAAACTAGATATCCAGCCGTCTGAGTAATCGAAAATAAGTTTTATTGCCGTCTGTAGTCACTGCTCATTTCCAAATGGGCCAGTATTTTCTAACATTACCACTGTGGAATGAACATTGCTAATGGATCTGATTAAACCACTGCTTCTCAGACTTGGCTGTCTATTGAAATTACCTGGTAAACTTTCGAAAACACTAACACCTAGATTTGTTCCCAGCGATTCATATTAAATGGTCCAGCTAGGCATAAGGATTTTTAAAAGCCCTCCAGATGGTTCTAATATGCAACCAAATTTAAGAACCATCATGAACAGTGACTTCAGGCAAAACCAAGATGATTTGCTTTGTATATCTAGTCATCTTTGGGCTAGTTCCTGTGGTGATAAAGCTGGCTGATTTGCTTTTGAAGCTGTTGCCCTGTTGGTCAGAGCTAGTATATAGGAAGCGTGTTTTAGTCCACTTGTGATGCTGTCATAAAATACCTCACACTGGGTAATATATAAACAATAGAAGTTATTTCTCGCAGTTCTTGAGGCTGGGAAGTCCCAGATCAAGGTGCCGGCAGGTTCTAGAAGGGCATAGACTCTCTGCTTTCAAGGTGACACCTTGCTGCTGCATCCTCTGGAGGGGAGGAACACTGTGGCCTCACGTGGCAGAAGACAAAAGGCGGGGAAGGGAACAGACCCACTCCCTCAAACCCTTTTATAAGGGTCCTAATCCCATTCTTGAGGGCTCCAGACTCATGACTTAATCACCCCTTAAATGCCCCACCTCTTAATATCCTCACATTGGTGATTAAGTTGCATATGAACTCTGGGGGACACATTCGGACCATAGCAAAATGTGACTGCTTCTCCTGGTACTGACTGAGCTTTGAGGTAACCTTAGTGGAGATAATGCAGAGGAAAAAGGAATGTGAACTGGTATTCTGTGTAGGCTCTGGGCCACGTTTGATGGTATACAAGTATATCCCTGTCAAAAAGAAAAAGCAAGGGACCAGAAACACTGCTTGAATGCCTCACAGAGAAAAGAGGAAGTTCCATCTTGATACTTTCTTTTGAGGTCATAATCTATCATTTCAAAGTCCAGATACCTAAAGGTATTGCAGAGTGGTCTCTACACAATTTATCCTTTTCTCTTTTTTCCCCTCTACTTTTATCTTTCTGTCCTTCAATTTAAAGGGATAAATAGAAAGTCATGCACTGAGGTTCAGAACACAAAACAACCATGCTAGGCCCCTTGGGGAATTACAAAGTGAAAGATAGGAATCTGGTTTCTTCTTTCAGGGAGCAGGCGGTTTAGTTGGGCTGATAGGATCTGAACATATCAGATGTCAAAATTAGCAGGACAAAGGTAAGTGCCAAGTGGAACCTGGCATTAAGCACTGTGGGAGTTTACAGGAAGAAGAGCTACTGGGGACTGAGGTAGCCAGCAAAAGCATCACGTGCTGAGAAGATTGCAGTAGCTCTACAACTTGGAACTGGAGGTCCAGCATTGAAGAGAACATGTCTTCCAGGAACTCACTCAGAGCAAAGGCATAGAGACAAGACTCCCCAGGTGTGCTCAGTGGATGGGGAGAGAGCTGACCTGGGAGTAGCAACTAGTTTGTATGAGAGAATTAGGGACCCAAAATAGTGGAGCCAGGTGATTTTTGTGGGGCCTTGAGCATCAGGTAAGGAGTGGGAACTTAAAGCTGTAAGCTGAGAAGGGGTGAGGCCACACTCAGCTTCCTGCTTGGCCAGCCCTATTTCCCACGAGTCTTCTGCTCTTTCCTCCAGGTTTTCTTCAGATTTTTCTAACAATGAAAATAATGCCATTTTATTAATAAATTAAAATAGAAAATGTATTTCACTAGTAGCTAACTCTAGATTTTTCTGTTAGTAGTCTGAAGCAGCTCTAGGACTACCAATGGGCTTAGGAAGGGCAACTGAGACACTGCTATGGAAATTCTAAGACATTCCTGGGTTTTTTTGGTTTGCTTTGTGACATAGTTAACTGGGTTTAAATTATCACCTGATGTGAAAATAATTTGTTGAAAGTGAAAAAAATCACCTCATCTAAGTATTCAATCTTATAAACGCAGAATAAGTGCACACCCCAAATTGCTTAGGGGATTCACTGAATGTCAAGAATTTTCTAAAGCTAACCTCAGTCACATGCATGTGCATAGAGACATAGTGTATCTTAGCGACTGACATTCAGGGATTCAGACTTGTTTTGAGTTATTGTTTGGCCAAGTAAGTGTCAGGAAAGCTTTCTCCTGACTGGAATCACTCTTTTGGCAGTGGCGGCATCAGCTGGACACACCTCTAGCTAACTCAGGTTCCCTGTCTCTCTTCTTTTCAGAAGGTGTGTGATATAAGGGCGTTCTCCTCCATTACATTATTTGTGCCTCTGGTGCTTCCAGATTCATAGTACTATACTCCCTTCCTAGAAATGGGAGCTTAAGATGCTCTCCATAACTGACTCTGGTTGCTTTACTTGCTTGGCTTCCATTTCATCTTTGATCTCTGAGCACTTCCTTTGCAACAACTTTAATTTCATCAGCTACTCATTATAAATCTGTTCAATTTTCTTGATTTTGTGAACCAGAATGGAAAAGGATCTTGAAATCACATTACGTTAGGAGCCAATTGAAGGAACTGATGATCTAAAACAAGAGTTGAATGTCGTGTGCTTGGATCTACGTTTGCCCATGACTTTTCTCTGTGCTGCAAGATGAAAAGATCCTAGAGAGAGGGACTGTAAAAATGGTTATTAAAAGTCTATGGAATTAAATGTGAAGTCAAAGACATTCCAGTTTTTAAAAAGGCTTGTTTTGTGGAGGATAGCTAAGCCAAAGACATTATGTTCCTCCTTAATTATGAAGTACAGATGCCTCCCTCTAAGGCAAAATCTCCATTTGAAAATACTGCTGATATATAATCAGAAAAAGAAAATTATTGAGTTAGAGGACACATATTCTTTTGGCTCCAGCTTCTATGCTCTTCACTGTTTTTCTGTAAAAGTAAAGAAAAAGCTGGACATATCCCTTGATGGCTTTTTCCAGATTGGTTGCCTGATGGTTCTTGCTACAAGCAGGAAATGTAAATGTGATCCTCAGCTCAACTGAAGACAAGACCATAGTTACAAATTTTCAGGAACGATTTCTTTATTGTTGACTTTTTTCAGACATAGCCCAGGCTGAAACAGACAACCTTTGTGTTTGACTTAACCTAAGGGTGGAATTTTCTTCCTTTTAGGCAATTTTACAGTTAGAATATAGCCCTCCAATTTTTTTTCATTTATACAGGAGTCTCTGTTGTCTCTCTGAATCCCATGGGGACCCAACGCCTTGCAATTTATTATGGCTTATCTTTTAACATTGTTCTTTCCCTAGGATAGAGAAATCAATACCTTATCCAGTGTTGGCCCTTGACACTTTCCTTTCTGGAGAATTCATTTGTAATTTACAAAAAGTGCTGGTTACATTTTATCCAACACTTCTGGCTGCTATGTAATAAGATGTTTTTCAGATGATCTCTCATCATATTATTGTCATATTGCTAAGTGAAAGTCTTAGACATCCTCCTTTTTAAAAGTAATTTTAAAGTTGAATATACATACCGCAAAGTGAAGAGATCATAAGTGCACAATTTGTGAATGTTTACAAAGTGAACATGCTGTGTTTCCACCCATATGAAGCAATAGAACCCCAGAGGCTGCTAGGGTGCCCCAGTCATTATACTCCATCCCCAAAGGTAACAATGTTGAGACTGTTATCATTGAGCATCACATATGTGGAGTTGTATAGAATGTACTCCTTGCTTTCAAACATTATGTATGTGGCATTCCTCCATGTCTTTTCGAGCAACAAAGTCATGTTTTCTCAGGGATGTATAGTAGATCATTATATGAATATACCAAAATTCATCTATTCCACTATTGAAGGACATTTGGGTTGTTTCCAGTTTCTTAATACTATGAACATTCTTCTGTATGTCTTGTGGTACGTGTTCATATGCGTTTCTGCTAGGTCTTTCTCAGAAGTGGGATTGCTAGGCATGGGGCATGTAAGCATTGGCTTTACTAGATACTGCCTGACCGTTTGCAAAATGATGGTACCACTTACAATCTCACCAGCAGTGCATGGAAGTGCTAGTTGCTGCACAATCTTGCCAACACCTAGTATTGACAGAAACAATAGAAGGTAGAAGTTAACCAGATGACATTTTTAAAGTGCTGAAAGTAAATAACTGGCATCCTGGAATTCTATGTGGAGACCATCAGTCTCGCTTCTCTGAACCTCATTTCTCCTGCGGCTGCCCTGCTAGCTCTGATCTCCTGTTTGTGCTCCCAGTCCCCTTGAGACCGATGAAGGTGCTGCCCTACTTCTCTGCCCCTTAGCAGAGCTTTCTGCTTGGTTTCTCAGCCTCTCCACCTGTGCAATTTTTGAATCAGCAAATGCCTCGAGGGGAGAACAGGTATAGAATGTCAGGCACCACTCAGGGGGCTTGTCTTTTCTCTGGTACCTTGCTCTTTAAATCCAGTCTACAATGGCAGGCCTGTGCTTTCACACAGATTTTTGTTGTTTACATTTTAATTGGCTATTTTAATTTTATTCTGTTTCTTGGTAAGCCATCCCATTTCAGCTGGCATTATAATTCTCGGAATTAGTCTTAGAACTTTTCTAGCAAGTTTTTTTTTTTTTTTTTTTGAGACAGAGTCTTGCTGTATTGCCCAGGCTAGAGTGCAGTGGCACGATCTCAGCTCACTGCAAGCTCCGCCTCCTGGGTTCACGCCATTCTTCTGCCTCAGCCTCCCGAGTAGCTGGGACTACAGGCGCCCACCACCACACCCAACTAATTTTGTGTATTTTTAGTAGAGACAGTATTTCACCATGTTAGCCAGGATGGTCTCAATCTCCTGACCTCGTGATCCACCCACCTCGGCCTTCCAAAGTGCTGGGATTATAGGTGTGAGCCACCACGCCTGGCCTCCAGCAAGTTTTTAACCTTAAGTCCTATCAGCCCATACAAGACTTTTTTTCGTACACTGAGAGCATCTAACCTTCTCCAATTCACAATATTTTGTCCAAATATGTTTTACAAATCCAGTTGCCTCAGCTGGGATGCTTCCATTTGATGGTCTGCCTTATCACTTTTATCCTGACCACTGTTCACCATAAAGTCCTGTCTATCCTCACTACCTTTGCATACCTTCCCAGCTGCCTTTTTGGAATTGGCCTTGGTAATAAGTACATTGCCTTCTGAATTTCAGTGATTAGTTTTAAAAGAAGTTCCTCCAGTGAGAGGTTCATTAAGAAATGTGGATGAATATTTTTTAGAAGAAAATAGGGAAGTCTCCATTTGGCAGCTTCCTCAAAAGGTGCTGACTTCAGGGTAGAGGAGACTAACCAGTTGTGATTCAGTCAGTTTGATGAGCATTTATTTGTTTTTAATTTCTGCCTTGAGGAATTTTTTACTTGGAACAAGAGGAGAAAACACATCTTTTTAAAAGATCTATGGAGAATAATTGTTAAGAGCAGAAAAGCCAAAACAATAATCTGGTGCCTGAAAGCGGAGACTGTAGTAATTACTAATTAGGGTAAGTTTAAAATAATTCAGTTTATCTGCAACTCAATTTGTAGTTCATCCTTTTCTTGAGTCTATTTTCTTTCATCTTGGGCTCTTTTTTTCTTTCGCTTTCAATTTTACTGAACTTTGAAGTATAATGTACATACCAAATAGTAAATAGCATGATGGACTTTCACAAATTGAATACTCCATGTAAGCAGCACCCTGATTAAGAAATGACCAGCATCTTAGAAGCTCCTCGCATGCCTGTTTTCAGTCACTTTTCCTACCACCAAGGGTCGCTGTTATAGACTGACTTGTGTCCTCCCCATTTTTCCCCCTACCTGCTCTCAAATTCTTATGTTGAAGTCTTAACCTTTAGTACCTCAGAATGAGACCATATTTGGAAATAGTTTTTAGAGAGGTAATTAAGTGAGGTCATTCAGGTGGGCCCTGATCCAGTCTGACAAGCATCCTTATAAGAAGAGATTGGAACACAGACAGGAACTGAGGGAAGCTGTTGTGAAGACACAAGGAAAAGACTGCCCAAAAAGAGAGGCCTCAGAAGAAACCAGCCTTGGCCAACACCTTGATTTTCAATTTCTAGCCTCCAGGACTGTGAGAAAACCTTTGTTTAAGCATTCATTCGGTGGTTTTTTATGGCAACCCTGGAAACTAATATAGTTACCCTCCTAATTTCCAGTAGTGTAGGTTAATTTTGTCTTACTGGGTTCTTTGTAGAAGTGGAATCATGCAGTATAACTCTTTTGTATCTGACTTCTTTCACTCAATATTATGTGAGATTCATCCATTTCGTTAGATTTAGTTGTAATCCGTTCATTCTCATTGTTATGGGAACAGATACTATAATTTATTCATTCTGTCGCTAATTGACATTTTTACAGCGTGTTTGTACAAATAGTTCTTCTATGCACGTTCTAGGACTTATCATTCTTGTTGGATGTATATTGAGGAATAGAATTTTAGCTTCATAGAATATGCATAGGTTTACTTTTAGTAGTCCTGGCAAATAATTTTGAGAAGTCATGATAGTATATGAAAATTGCACTACTGGTAGAAGTGTAGTATTATTTCTCTTTTAAATTTGATGAGACTATTCAAATTCAATGGAAGATATGTTATAGACGTCGTAGAACTAAATTAAAATGTTTTAATTTGGTTCAACTTTGAATGGAAGAGCTTAGCTAGATATATTCTTCCTACCCATCCATCTCTGCTGGTAATACAAGAGTTTATTAGAGATTAAATGCCTGCTATTGTGTGCAATGCCCTGTGTTATATGTTGGAGGGAATGCAGACACCAACAAGAATGGGCCTGATTCTCAAGATTATAATGTATAATACAACAGTAGATCTCAACCAGGAGCAATTCCCTCTTCCCTGCCCGAAGTATATTTGTCAATGACTGGAGACATTCTTAGTTGTTACTATTGGCAGTGACATTGGCATCTAGTGAGAAGAGGCTGTTGGATGCTTTAAATGTCCTACAATTCACAGAGCAGTCTGCCCAAAACAAAATTATCTAGCCCAAAATGTCAGAAGCTGAAAACTCCCATTTCTGGAAAGATGGAATGGATGTACTTTTCTATTCCTCCTGCTAAGTATGACAAAAAATTCTGAACATTATTTATTAAAAAGCAAACCAAAGACATGAAGGGACTCTGAAAGGTGTAAAGAAAATGACAGACTAGGGACTTCAAGACTCAAGGAACAACACAGTGCTGAGTTCACTAGGTTTTCTTTCAGTCTCATATATTCTAGACTTGAAGCTAAAGAAGTCAACATCCTGCAAATGCCATAGGCACTGGCAAAATAACCCCCCAACAGAAGTTTGCTCTCTAGCAGAAGGACCAGGAAGGGGGAAGCCTAGAAAGATAACTTTTAGACAATAGCTGCTCTACTGCAGCAAAACACTATGGAAAAAATTGTAGCCCCAATCCCATACCAGCAGAGGCTGAATGGAAAGCCTTGACTTCATCCTCAATAGGCTGTAATGAGATGTCCCAACCTTTCTGCTTGGGATTGTGTCAGAGAAGGACAAGTAAAGGTGACACTTGTCCCTCCCCACCAGGCAGTAACAAGGTCTCTTCCACAGTGTCAATGGAGACCGTGTTAGGGAGCCTAGACTTTCACCTCCACCAGCAACAATGAGATGCCTCTACTTTCCCCTGACCAAGGTTGTGTCAAAGGAGGCTTAATGGAGAGTCAAGACTTCACCCTTCACCGCCACCCATTGGTATTGAGGCTACAACACATCTCCCATCCCATGGCATTAGTAGAGGCTACATGGGAAGCATTAATGAGGCACTCTTACCACTCTCAAACAGGGAGTATAAGATCAAGAGTGTCCTAACATAATAACAATATGTCCAGGCTTCAATAAAAAAAACCACTTGTCATACCAGGAAGATCTCAAACTGAATGAAAAATAGCAATCAATAGACACCAACACCAAGATAAATACAGATGTTAGAATTATCTGGCAGGGATTTTAAAGCAGCCATAATAAAAATGTTTCAGTAAGTAATAACAAACACACTTGAAACAAATTTTTAAAATCTCATCAAAGATATAGAAAATATAAAGGAGAACCAAATGGAAATTGTACAATTGTAACATAATGTACCTGAAATAAAAATCTCAATAGATGGGCTCAACAGCAGAATGGAAGGAACAAAGGGAAGAATTAGTGATGAATTTGGAAAACAGAGCAATAAAAATTATCCAATCTGAACAACAGGTAGAAAATAGGCTGAGGGGAAAGAAACCTCTACAGAGCCTCAGAGATCTATGGAGCTGTAACAAATGTTTTAACACTACATCATCAGAGTTTCAAGAGAACAAGAGAAAGAGGGTGAAGCTGAAAAAAGTACTCAAAGAATTAGCAGCTAAAAGTTTTTCTAAGAAGCTGAGCAAACCCCAAAGAGGACAAAACTAAAGCAATCCACACAAAAACACATAATAATAAAACTTCTAAAAACAAAACGTCTTGAAATAGCAAGAGAAAAAGAACATCTGATATGAGAAACATTAGTTGAATGAAACGTTTTCATCAGAAACTATGGAGGCCAGAAGTCAATGGTACAATATTTTCCAACTGTTAAAAAAAGCTATCAATGCTGAATCTTATATTCAGAGAAAATATCCTTCAGGAATGTGAAGAAATTAAGACATTTTCAGGGGAAGGAAAACTGAGAGAATTTGTCACTAGCAGACCTACCTTAAAAGAATGGCTGAAGGAAGCTCTATATGCAGAAAGGAAATGATAAAAGAAGGAAACTTGAAACATCAGAAAGGAAGAAAAAACTTAGTAAACGTACTTGATACTACAATGCAGTACAACAGAATGTCCTTCTTCTCTTGAGTTTTCTGAATTATGTTTGACAGTTGAAGCAAAACTTATAATGCTGTCTGATGTGGTTCTAAATATATTGTAGAGGATTATTTAATACAATTATATTACGGCCAGGCACAGTGGCTTATGCCAGTAATCCCAGCACTTTGGGAGACCAAGGCAGGTGGATCACCTGAGGTCAGGAGTTCAAGACCAGCCTGATCAGGTTGATGAAACCCCATCTCTACTAAAAATACAAAAATTAGCCAGGCTTGGTGGCAGGCACCTGTAGTCCCAGCTACTCGGGAGGCTGAGGCAGGAGAATCGCTTGAATCTGGGAGGCGGAGGTTACAGTGAGCCAAGATCACACCACTGCACTCTAGCCTGGGTGACAGAGTAAGACTTTGTCTCAAAAAAAAAAAAAAAATTATTACAAACAAGTGAAGGTATTAGGGCATAAAAAGAGGTAAGTTTTGTACACTTCACTTTAATTGGTAAAATTATGATGCCAGCAGGATGTGATAAGTTTTGCATATAATTTAATACCTAGCGCAACAATTTTAAAAAGAGATATACTCAAAAGCACTGTAGATAAATCACAATGGAATTCTAAAAAACATTGATGTAACCCATAGGAATGTAAGAAAAAACAAAAACAAGACAGAAAATAACAAAATTTGTCTTACCATATCAATAACTACCTTAAATGTAAATGGCATAAATATACAAAATAAATGAAATGTATTGACAGAATATGTTAAACCATGACCCAAATATATGTCATCTGTAATAAATTTACTTCAAAATAATTATATAAGCAAATTAAAAGAATGGAAAAAGATAGTAGGGAAACATTAATCAAAAGACTTCAGTGCAGATAAAATTACCAGAGGCAGAGAGGAACATTATAGCATGATTAAAAAGAAGCCCATCCACTAAGAAGATATAGCAATCTTAAGTATATAAGCATCACATAACAGAGCTGAAAAATATGTGCAACAGAATAATATAAAGGAAAGGAGGAATAGATAAATCTACAATTATAGTTGGAGACTTCAACACCACTCTTTCAAAAACTGATAGAACTACAGAAAGAAAATCAGCAAAGATATAGAAGAATTCAACAGCACCATTAACCAACAGAATCTAATTGACATTTACAGAACACTCCATCCAGCAACACCAGAATATACATGGTTTTCAAGTGACCATGGAACACATACCAAAATAAACTATATCCTGAGCCATAAAGCAAACCTCAACAAACTTTTAAAAATTGAAATCATACAGAGTGTTTTCTGACACAATAGAATTAAACTAGAGATCAATGACAGAAAGATAAAAGGAAGGTCACCAAACACTTGGAAACTAAACAGTGCACATCTAAATAATCCACAGATCAAAGATAAAGTCTTAAGGGAAATTTAAAAGACAATGAACTGAATGAAATTAAAACATATGAAAATTTGTAGGACACAGCAAAAACAATGCTGAGGCCGAAATTTATAGCACTATATGCACATATTTAAAAACAGGAAAATCAATTCTCTAAGCTCACACATCAAGAAGATGAAAAAGGAAGAGAAAAACAAACCAAAAGTCAAACAAAGCAAGACTAAGCAAAAATCAGGAAATAATAATGATAAGAATAAAACTCAATGAGAATACATATACTAAAACATTTCATTGTACACCATAAACATATACAATTTTTTTCAATTAAAATCAATGGAGAAAAACATTAAGGTACTAAGAAAAGGAAAATAAGGGAATAGTATGAACAACTCAAAAACATAAGTTTGACAAGTTAGATGAAATGGACCATAACTCAAAAAACAAAGTACCACAATTCACTAAAAATGAGATAAATAGTCCTATAACTCCTAAGAATTTTTTTTATAACTTAAAAACACTCATAAAAGAACTCTTCAGGCCCAAATAATTTCACTGGAGAATTTTACCAAGTTTTAATAGAGGAATTAACACCAATTCTAGATAAAATCTTCCAGAAAATGGAAGAGAAGGGGGAATACTCAATTCATTTTATCAAGCTGGAGTTACCCTGATACCAAAACCAGACCAACACAGCACCAAACAAACAAACAAACAAATACAAAATTCCAATCTATTATTTTTTTATGAATATAGACACTAAAGTTCTTAACAAAATATTGGCAAATAGAATGTAGCAATATATGAAAAGAATTATGCACCATGACAAAGTGGGGCTTAGTCCATGGATACAAGGCTGGTTTAATCTCTGAAAATCAACCAATATAATCCACAGTGTTAATAGGCTAAAGATGAAAAATCACATGTTCATATCAACCAATGTAAAACAATTGTCAAAATTAAACACCATTTATGATTAAAACCTCTCAGAAAAATAGGAATAGCGAGAAACTTCTTCAACTTGATAACATCGATTAAAAACCTACCACTAACATTATGCTTAATGGTAAAAGACTGCATGCATTCCTGCTAAGACAGAGAACTAGGCAATTATGTCTGCTTTCACTACTTTTATTTAGTGCAACCCTGTAGATTCTAGCATGTGCAATAAGACAAGAAAAGTAAATAAAAGACATACAGATTGGAAAGGAAAATATGACTGTCCTTTTTCACAGACAACATGATTTCTATGTAGAAAATTCCAACAAATCTAAAGAGAATTCCTGGAACTAATAAATGAGTTCAGCAAGGTCATAGGATATACGATAAATTGAGAACTCAATTGTGTTTATGCTATCAATTAACATGTGGACACTGAAATTTAAAATATCCCATTTATATATACCATTTAAAAATATACCATTTAAAATATAGCATTATATTGCTCAGAAGAATTAAATACTTCCAGGTAAATCTAAGCAAAACATGTATAGGACTTGTAAGCTGAAAATTATGAAACGTCAATGAAAAAAATAAAATTTAAATAAATGGAAAGACCGTGTTCATAGATTGAAAGACAACATAGTAAAATGTCAGTTCTCTACAGATTGTTATATAGGTTTAACACAATTCCTGTCAAAATCCCAGGAAGATTTTTTTTTTTTTAGATATAGACAAAAGTGTTCTACAGTTTATATGGAAAGATAAGAAACTGGTATAGCTAAAACGATTTTGAAAAAGAAGACTAAAGTAGAAGGAATCAAACTACCCTATTTCAGGATTTAATATACAGCTGTAGTAATCAAGACTGCGGTACTGACAGAGAAATAGACATAGATCAATTAAACAGAATAAATAGACCTTAAAAATATGCCCATCTAATTTTTAACAAAGGTGTAAAAGCAATTCAGTGGAGGAAAGACAGCCTTTTTAACAAATGGTACTGGAGGAACTGGACATTCACAGGCAAAAAATGAATCTCAGCCTAAGTCTCACACTTTTTACAAAAGTTAAAGTGAATCACAGACTTAAATGTGAAATGTAAAAACATACAGCATTTAGGAAAAAATAGAAGAAAATCTTCATAAATCTAGGGCTAGGTGAGGTTCTTAGACTTAATACCAAAAGCATGACTCATAAAAGAAAAAATAATAAATTAGACTTCATCAAAATTTAAAACTTTTTTACCCGGCACAAGACCCTGTTAAGAGAATGCAAATGCAAGCTATGAAATGGGAAAAATATTTGCAAATCACATATCTGACAAAGAACTGCTATCTAGAATATATAAATAATTTTCAGAACACACCAGTAAACAAAATACATCATTAGAAAATAGGAAAAATATGAATAGACATTTCACCAAAGAAGATAACCAGATGGCAAATAAACACATGAAAACATTTAACATCATTAGCCATAAGGGAAATGCAAATTTCAAACATGAGATATTATGATACTTCTATCAGAATACCTAAAATAAAGAATAAGAAAAATGCCACATGCTAGTAAAAAGGAGGAGAAACTAGATCACTCAATACGTTGTTGGTAGGAATATAAAATGTTACAGCCACTCTGGAAAGCAGCTTGACAGTTTCTTAAACAACTAAACATGCAACTACCACATAACCCAGCAGTTTCACTTCTGGTCACTCATACAGAGAAGTAAAAAGTTATATTCACACAGCAACCTCTACACAAATGTTCATGGTAGCTTTATTAATAATATCTCTAAACTGGAAACAAACCTGGATGTCCTTTCAATGGCTGAATGGTTAAACCAACTTTAGTACATCTATGCCGTGGAATACTACTCAGCAATAAAAGTTAACAAACTCTTAAAAATTAACAAACCCAGTGAATGAGACTGAGTGAAAATGCCCAGTTCCAAAATACTACATGTTGTGTGACTCATTTATATAACATTCTCAAAATGACAAAATTATAGAAATGCAGTACCATTTAGTGGTTGCCAAGGGTTAGGGAAGGGGTGGGGGCAGGAGGGAAGAGGATGTGACTATAAAAGGTCAACATGAGGGATCCTTATGGCTGTGGAGAAGTTCTGTATCTTGATTGGGTTAATGTCAATATCACAGTTGTGATATTATACCATAGTTTTGCAGTTGTTACCATTTGGGGAAACTAGGTAAAAGGTGTAGAGGATCTCCTATTATTAATATTCCTTACAAATGCATGGGAATCTACAGTTATCTCAAAATAATAGGTTAAATTAAAAAAAAAAAAAACAGTTTAAACACAAAAAAATCAATTGTTTTGATCAGGAACCATGATCTAGAAGAAAAGCCAGATATCCCAAATGAGAAAGTTAAGAAGGACTAAGACAACATGGAGAAGAGAGAAGATTAGCATTGACCTGGTTGGGAGGAAGATCAGGAAGATTTCACAGAATTTATCACATTTGGATTGAGCCTTGAAGAATATCAGGTGTCCAGGAGTAGAAGATAGGAAAAAATATGCAGACCATGCTAAGGATGCACATTTTTCATCGTGCATGGTCAAAAGTTGTGGTACTATGTCTCAAGGTATATACGAGGCAATGAGGAGACAGTTTGGAGCCTCCATCAAGGAGAACCGTGAGTAATGAGGGCTGAGTTTCAGATGCCAAGCTCTGAGTTAGAAATTAAATTAACTGATGATTCTATCAGGGAAGCGCAGTTACTCCAATGCACTTGACACACAGCTTCGGGAGCAGAGAGAGCAATGGCCTATTCCCAAGCCACTCAGGCAGGCCAAATAAGCCTAGTAATTCAGCAGTCAGGATTCCTTGACAATTAGGTGGCATTCATGCTTTTGTGCGTGGCGGGTTGCATGTCAGAGACAAAACAAGAAACAATGAGGTCCGGAATTGAGGAAATGGAAAATGGAATAGAAAAGACCAGATGGATAATGGAGACATTTCAGAAGACTTGGAGACTCCCAGATTAGGGAGAAAAGTCTGAGCTGATTCCAGATTTCTAGTTCAAGTTACTGGAGAAGCTGGAGGTACAATATCCCAGGAGGTCCCTTCCTGAGATAGACACATGTGAAGATAAAAAGATGCAAGGGGGAGGGAGATAATGCGTTGGGTTGAGACACATTAGGTGTGAGGTAATGCTGGAAGTGTCCAGAAAATAGTTGGTAATTTGGTTCTACAGTTCAGGAAAAAGACTCAGACTGAACACATGGCATGAGAAGTTTGATGAGGCCACTTGAGTGAGAAGAGGTTCAAGGACAGAACATGGGAGAATATCGACTTTCATATTAGGGAAAGTGTTGAAAGTGGAGAGAACAGAGATTAGGAGAACATCTGGAAGACAGAACTCTGAAGTCTAGGATGGAGAGTCCCACAGATGAGATTATCCATAGTAGAGTCCCAGAGTCACAAAGAGATCCTACAGGGTCAGACATGGGAAAAGGGCATGGAATTTGATGCGTAGGGCACAGTTGTTGCAGGGGAGTAGTGTGGCAGAAGTGAAGAGCTATGTGAACAGTAAGGAATGGGGGCAGGGAGAGAGCAGGCAGCTGCGACTGGCCTTTCATTTTTCAGTATAATTCGTAATATTACTATTAAAGTATTTTCCTCCCATTAATTTTCTTGCACCTGGAAAATTATTCTCTAGCATCATTTTTATCAACCTGTATGTTTGTGAAGAAACTAAAACAAGCAGAACCATGAAGAATAATTGAGTGGCAAGAAAGCCTTTTATAAGAAAGTTGGACATTTGTAATGTCTCAATTCAAATCATCTTATGTATGTTTTGTTTAAATATAGTTTCTGTTATTAAAAACAATATTGGTGGGTAAATGAAAGTTTGCAATTTAGCTTTGGGTTACTTTTAACTTTCAGAACGAGATTATGAACTCTGTGTGCATGCGTGCACATGGGTGTGAATTTCATAAAAATTATATTTTCCAATTGTTGATGAAGTTCTCTTTCCCATTTCTGATTTTAGTTGAATGCCTGTTAATCTAATAGTAAAAGACTTTTGTTTCACAACCTCTGGGAATACCATGTAGTTGCAGAATATGAGATTTTAGAGACAGAAACTAACCTGGTGGAAATTCAAATTCATCTTTTATCTTTTAGATAAAAGCCTTTGAAATCCTTTTAGTGTGAAGTTATCAGCAGGCTTGATTCTCATATTACCTCATTACTAACCCAAGGAGTTTTCAAAATGCATAGAGAACAATGCTCTGTGGCTGAAACTAGGTTTTTATCACTACTCCAGTCCAGTGATAAGCCAAATGTGGCCCACCTAGTTCTACTTGGGAAATTCTGCCTGCTCACCCCGATAAACCTTTGGAGATCATGAGATCACAACACATATAGAAGGTTCTCATAAGTTGTGCACTGAAGAAACCTGTTCGAGTTTATTTGAGCATTTTCAAAACTTCTTAAACCACAGAACCTTTTTCCACATTAACATTTCATAACTCACCTAGGGTTTTTGTAAGATAAGAAGTGGAATAAATGCTTTTGAAGGATTGATGCTTCAGCACTGAGGTCTGTACTGCTGGAAGTGATGGCAGTGTTCTCCATATATTTTTGTTTCATGGATTGGACTGGGTGAAGTACAAGAAAAAATTCTTACTGCACTGATCTCCCTTCTACCCCCAGAATGGCAAAAAATCAGCTTATTAGGTACTAAGGTTTTGCATGTGTTCCTGAAAAATTATTTTTATCAGTTGTTGCGTCTACTGTCATTCAATGGAATACGCTCTCCATTATGTATAAGATATTTTGTTAAAGATAGAAAAGTATGAACAAAGAAGTAGTCATATCAAGTTCACCAATTGTTATTTTAAGGCTTACTTAAAACAGGATAATTCACTACTTGGGGGAAAAGGCTGATTTCCAAAACTGCAGCTATGTAGTGATTTACTCATTCCATAAGCCTATGATCTTATCTGCTCGGATTTACATTTGGAGCAGTAAAACCTCTGGCAGCTGCTCTTAGCTGTCTGCATGAAGAGGAGACAGGAGATAAGAACATTCCTGATTTTATTGCTTTCTAGAACATTTGAAGTTGGGGTGGGGGTGGGAAAGATGAACCTATTGTGACCATAAACGTCCATCGAGTCTGATACCAAAGAAGTAAACCAGTCCTCTTAGAAGATGTGGTAAATCTCCCAGGCCACTGGCCTCCATTTGTCAAAACCTGTTAAGGCTTAAAAAAGAGGAGAGCTGCTGCCTCTTCTTCAACAGAAAAGCAATCACTCCAATGTTAAGATAGTTTAGGGCTTTGGGATAATTATTGCCAGGTAGAAAACTTTCAACTATTCTTATTGTGAGCTCCCCAGATGACCTTACCCTACTCCCAAAGAGCTCCATAGGACCCTGGGCAACCTTGGAGCAAGCTTCAGCCCAATCCAACTAACAATTCCAGCCGGGATGCAGTGTGGGACAGCATTTAGGGGAGGGTGTTGCCACAGACTCTGCCCAGGCACACCTGCCAATAGCATCACCACTGGGAAAGTGGCAGCTCTTAGTACGACTTAATTGGAGACCATTTGGGATTCCTGTCAGGTGAGGGTCTCTAGGAAGACTGTTAAAACCCCTGAGTTTTGATGACTTCCAGGATGTGTTGAAGGGTCTGTATTAGCTCATTCTCAAGACCTAAAATTTTCTTACGCTTTCTTCTTTGGACATTAGTTCTTCAGTTAAAAGCTGCCAAAATCATGACAGAATCTGGTGGGGGAGAGGGGAGGAATTTGTATTGCCTAATAAATAATCTCATAGAAGGTCATAATTCCATATTAGCCACTAAATATCTGAAATGTATAAAGCATGCAAAGTTGGATCCAAGATGTGGATGAAAAACAGCTCGGTGACATTTCTTAAGAATTATTCATTTTCTTTTTTAATGTGAAAGTAGAGCAAGAACATTCTCCTAAATCCCAGACTTAGAGAGCTGAACATTGCCTGGAGGCCATAAAGAATTACATTGACAAAGCCATTTTTCTTTAGTTTTTAAATTACACATTAAAAGTTCCCCCAAAGAATTTTGGAAGAGATCTCAAGCTTTCAGATTCATTAGACATAGAGGGACCTCTGGAAACTCCCATCATGGTCTTCATCTGTTGTCCTAGGAAGACACTGAAATCATGCTAGGGAGAAACGAAGCTCCTCAATTTTGGAAAAATGTTCATTATTGTTTCAGTCTTCGTCTGTAATGCACCCTGGACCCAGCTATGCTCATTGGCACAAAGTTTTAAATTGTTCTGCTCTTGTGAATAGCTGCTTCCCCCCAACACACACACACACACACACACACACACACACACACACACACACACACACACACACCAGCCACTGCTGTAGTGTTTTATCTCCTTGAGGACTACTGTTACCTGCCTAACTCATTTTAACCCTGAGTTCTTTGAACCTCTTTGTCCTTTCATCTTCCTTAAAATTGCTATGACTTATACCTCTTAAATCATCCCCGCAAAACCACTCATCCCCTAAAAATAAAAATCAGTCCAGTGGCAAAATTTGTTGAAAGGCAAGGAGAAACCATTGTGTCTTGGTTTATGGGAATAATGCTGGGCAGAGAAATCAATATTCTTTGAAGGTTGTCCTCCTACCATGGCAAAGTGGAGCTCTCCAAAGAGGTCTTTGGGGTTGGACATAAACTCAAAGCAGTGCACATCTTATGTGCTATTAGCTCTTTTCTGGAATGATAATGCTGACACTCCTGTTATTTTCCTTTTAGGCAGGTTTGGTCAACATTTCCCATCTCAAATATATTTTCTCTGTTGACAGAGACCAGATACTGCTACACTCAGCACACAATGGAAGTCACAGGAAACAGTATCTCAGTCACCAAACGCTGTGTCCCACTGGAAGAGTGCTTATCCACTGGCTGCAGAGACTCCGAGCATGAAGGCCACAAGGTCTGGGCAACAGAGCAAGTGACCAGTACTACATAGCCAGCTGCCTTCTCTTCAGACATCTGCCAGTACTCATGAGCAGATTCTTACTCCCCCGTGAAGGCTGTCTTTTGATTGTCTTTATGCTCTATGAAAAGACGCTTCCTTTCCTGTTTACTCTAAAAGAATACACATTTATACCAGAGCATAGGACAACTGATATAAATTGTGTAAACACACATGAAGAGGGTGTTCAGTGTTATTGTAATAACTTTCTTCACTCAGAGGAAAGTAATAAAGCTACCAGAAAAAAGAGGAGCAAGAGACCAGTTATGTCCATCACAGTGAAGCTTTGCAGATGTACCCAGTTCATTCATCACAGGAGGACCGACGCAATTCAGCTTTGATAACTTTCTGTAAAGTAGGGCTCATGTTGTGACTGGGATGTTAGTTTGGGGAGGGTCTCCATTGGCTCTTGAGTCATTTGATAGGTGATGGAGACCCATCTTGTGTGTTCGCTTAAGCTTCACCTGGTACCTGTAGAAGCCTGTATACGGAAACACATGGTGCCTATGTACAGAAGCACTCAGTGTAAAATGAGCTTGGGAGGCAGCCTTGAAGGGGCATATGGACAATCACAGAAAGGCAGCCTTGCCCTCTATACGTGTGTCTATACATGTCTATATGCTGTCTATACGTGTGACCTTAACATAGCATACTTTGGCCTTTATTTAGCAGCTGAACACTTCTGCAGGTGGCCTTCCTGGTGGTTTGGGCAATGTCCATTCTCAATACCTGGGAACAGCACTGTTTCTTAAGAAGGCAGACACCTAATTTTCAAGCAACCTCTTGAATACACTAATAATTAAAATTTTAAATATAATCTGCCTATTCTGCTCCTGGTTCAAAATGAGTAAAACCAAAGGCTTTCCCTGACCTCTCCAGCAAATTGGACTTGATTCTGAGGAGTTACTGTGGCCTCTTTACCAAGGAGAAAGTTAAGGATTAGAGAAATTGGGTCATATGCTCGGTCACACAGCTGGTAAGTGACAGGCACAGAATTCCAACTCACCTCTGGTTTGGAGTCTACCTCCGCAACATTATACTGACTTCCTGGCACGTGTCACTGTGACTAAAGACTCAAATCCCTGCAGGAAAATGACTGTATAGAATGTTATTAATAACCATCCTATGACTAGGAATCACCTGGGAATCTTGTTAAAATGTAGTCCTAATTCTTTGTCTGGGGCAAGGTTTGAGATTCTGCACTTGTAACAAACTCCCAGCTGATGTTGGAGCTGCTGGTCTGTACTTTGTGTAGCCATGCCCCAAGAAAGTTTTTGTCACTAACTCTGTGGGTTTATTTCTTTCTAATGATCCACGAGTAAGGTGGTGTAAAGCAGGAGTAACTGCATGAATGAAAACCCTTCAAACATTAACTCACCCAATGAGAATGGAGACACTTATGCAAACAGTTCTGTGAAAGTCAGTACTCAAGTTTAAACCACCCGGGTTGTTGCCACTTGACTCTCACTTGAAAACTTGGCAAACGAAGGCTTACCCTCTCTTCCTCAAGTAGTCAGAAAGAGCCTCATGGAAAAACACGGACGAGTTTCTTTATTCCCATTTTAAGGGCGAAAGAACTGAGGCCCAGGAAGGCTATACACCTTTGTAAGAATCGTATGGGTGGAGGGTGTCAAAAACAAAACCTAGCTCTCTTGAAGTTTGGCCTGGGGAGTTTTCATGTTGACCAGATTGCTTCTAGAAGAAATATTATCCCCAGCCTTCCTGAACGTAGAGTTGGCATCTCCTTTATAGATTAGGTAATTTTTACTTGCATCTTGCCATGTGGGCGACAGTGCCTTCAAAAACCCTGCCTCCTTCCAAGACATGCTGGCTTCTCATTATCTTTTTTTCTTCCTTTCTTTCAGGTCTGCACTTCTTGTTGTGAAGGAAATATCTGTAACTTGCCACTGCCCCGAAATGAAACTGATGCCACATTTGCCACGACGTCACCTATAAATCAGACAAATGGGCACCCACGCTGTATGTCAGTGATAGTGTCCTGCTTGTGGTTGTGGTTAGGGCTCATGTTATAGTGGCTCAGTGGCTCCATGTGTTAATAGCGATCCATGGGGATCTCGATGGTCCACAGACCTGCATGAGTCATTGGCCTGACAGTAATTACACATGTGAGACACAACACTCTTGGAGGTCATCACAGCCAAGCATTGCCACTTACCATGAGGAATAAATGTTGCTTCATTGTAGCCATTTTGAGTCTAACCGAGACTCATCAAAGCCTTCTGTCAGTACAGCCCAAGTTCCATACCATAAACGTTTGTTTTCATTCCAAGAAGTAGTTCTGCATTTATCGAGATCTGGGGTTCTTAATTTGGAAGAATACATGCATGAGATGCAGTAGGTCCTGAGACTGTAAGATATTAGGAGTATGTTATAGGGGCATGTATAGATGTGGGCTTTTCAGGAGAAAAGTAACCATTGGTTTAAATATAATCATGAGTTCATTTGTAGCTTTAGAATTTTAAAACATTGACTCCAAACTGAATGGACTATTTCCTTGGAAATTCTGACTGAGTCCCTGGAAGAGTAGTAATTCCAACAATTCCAGCCATTTGTTCAATTAATTTTCCCAACATTCTTCTCCCAGTGCTGGGAATCACATTTCCTCTGTTCTGTGCAGAAGACAAAAAGGCAATCATAAAAGTTTGTTATATTTGTGGGGGTGCCTGGAGGAGGATTTTCCTCAACTTAATGGAGCCACTGTCCATAAAGTGGCTGTTATCCCTTCATATAATTGGTGAGATCAGCCTTCTCCTTGACTTGGCACCTAATTATGCTTCATGAGATCCTAGATTCCACCTGAGTCAATTGTGTCCAGAGCCCCAAACCAGGATGGAGTTGTTTTCCCCAGATATGGGGTTCTATTCAGCCATAGATAATCTAGACAGAGGATTTCAGAATGAAAGGAAAAATGTGTGGAGATTAGTCCTAGTTCATTCTGAGGGCCGACTAAGTGGCTCAGCCAGCTTCTTACTCCATCTGCAGTTCATACTGCCAAAGAGCTCCCACTTCCAAATCCCCAGTGACTTTATGGAGAAGATTCTGCATTAAATTGTCTTTCGAATGATGGGGAAGCAAGGCATAATATGCGATGATGAGGAGAAAGTAGACCAGTGAGGTGATTGCAAGACTAACAAGGAGACTCAATGGGAAGTTTTTCTTTCTTTTAGATATTGCTTTTGAAGTAGATGGTAAAATTTTTGTCATCCTTCTTGTATTTTTTGTACCCCAAGTTACAATTTTTCTTCTTCCTTGTAAATAATTTAAACAGTATTTATTTTTGTAAGGCATAACTAGAAACTAAAATATATTCTAAAAAATTCATTATTCTGAACAAAGTGATCAAATTAGAATACATATTTTTCAACAGTGGTAGAGCTTTTAATATATGTTTATTGAAAGTTATCTATAATACTTGCACCAGTGTTGAAAAAAGTTAACATGTAGGCAAGAGCAATATGTTTGTCTCAAGGATTTTTCCATGGTTTCCTCAGTGATGGTGTCCTGGAATTATTCAGGTGGTGACCATCACTGGTCTAAGTTTGTGTGCAGGGTTTTCAGATGTGTTTTTGTGAAACTTGGTAGAACCATGGCTAATAAAGAGGACAGTGTTGTCAGGGTCCATCTGCCCTCCATAGAAAAATGTCTCTGGCTCATAAAATGAGACTCCCTCAGGGACTAAATATGAACTGACAGCAGTAACTCTGATACAGAATAATCTAAATTGCATCAAATGGCCTTAATTCAGAGTTTGTTAGGCTTATCAGTATGTTGCTTTTAATTGGGGTGGGAAAGTAGAGGGAGAGAAAGCAAGACATTTATTAAGCACCTCGTATGTGCCAGGCACTATGCTAAGCACTTTACATAAGTTAGGATTAATCCCTGCAAGAATCCTATAAAGAATGTTACTAGCATTTACACTTCCCAAATGAAGGTACCAAAGCTCAAACGCAATGTTGTGAAGCTGTTTCCTTCAGATTTAGGTTATGTGGGATGATGTGGGATTGAAGAGGAAAGAAAGGTGGGATTATCCCCCTAGGAAGACTTTCAGGCCTGACTTCATAGGAATTCATCCATCTTATCATGTGGAGTTTATCTCACCCTGCTGTTGCAGGATGCTATTTGCATGTGTCCCCAGGTGATGTTTTTTCTTTGGGGAGTAGGGGTTTGGCTTCCTCATTCATCCCTCTTGCTAAAAGAGGAGATAGTTGATGTTGCATCTAAAGATGCTATAAGACAATGAAAGTTTGATGTTGTACATACCTACAAGTACCATTTTTGTGCATGATTACACTCCACTGACATCTTCCAAGTACTGCATGTGATTGAATAAGAAACAAGAAAGTGACCACACCAAAGCCTCCCTGGCTGGTGTAGAGGGATCAGGTCCACAGTGGTGCAGATTCAACCACCACCCAGGGAGTGCTTGCAGACTCTGCATAGATGTTGCTGCATGTGTCCCATGTGCCTGTCAGAATGGCAGTGTTTAATTCTCTTGAAAGAAAGTTATTTGCTCACTATCCCCAGCCTCAAGGAGCCAAGGAAGAGTCATTCACATGGAAGGTCCGGGACTGGTCAGCCACTCTGACTTTTCTACCACATTAAATTCTCCATTACATCTCAATATTGGTAATGGCTTAAGTGTAAAGAGCCATGATGTGTATATTAAGCTATGTGCCACATATTTATTTTTAGACTCTCCACAGCATTCATGTCAATATGGGATTAATGCCTAAACTTTGTAAATATTGTACAGTTTGTAAATCAATGAATAAAGGTTTTGAGTGTATCTTACCAGGCTCCTCCCTGCAAATGCACATGTCAATCAATGATTAATGCACCCAGGTTATGTACAAGGCACTGGGCTTAGCACCACAGGGAACTTCCTTCCAGAGGCTTGCTTTCTAGTTGTGTAGACAAGAATACATGCATGAGAAGATACAAGACAATTCACCCATGCCAAATGATTCATACAGGCTGTTTAAGTACTGCAGAAAATAAAAGAAGGAAAGGCTACCAGACTTTTCAATAAGGTCTACAGCTTCCCAAGAGCATGTCTTTGTTAAATCAGGAAATATAAAAATTATGTGTGTATGTGTATGTATATATATATACCACCCTATTAACTATTTTAAAATCGTATTCTATTTTGGGGGTTGTGTTAATGATGATGAACCAGAAAAGATTTTCTCTTGATGGTTTCTTCAACAGGAAACAGATATTGGAATAGTGTACATGTCATTTTTATCTATACAATGAATTTATTATATTTTTCTTAGTAAAGTGATAGACATTGAAAGCAAGCTTGAAAAATGTCAGTTTGTTTGTGATTCCTGATTATTCTTCTCCTCCTCTTTTTTTTTGTTTCGTTTTTTTGAGACAGCAGGGTCTTGCTCTGTTGCCCAGGCTGGAATGCAGTGTCACCATCATGGCTCACTGGAGCCTCAAACTCCTGGGCTCAAGTGATATCCTCCTGCCTCAGCCTCCCGAGTAGCTGGGACTACAGTATAGGCATGTGCCACCACACCTGGCTAGGTTTTAATGAAATGTCTTGCAGAGACAGGATCCAACTATGTTGCCCAGCCTAGCCTCAAACTCTGAGGCTCAAGCAATCCTCCTACCTCAGCCTCCCAAAGTTCTGGGATTATAGGTGTGAGCCACTGCACCCAATCTCTGGTTATTTAATTACCTATGTTTTGAAATTTCCAGGGAAATCTTTTCCACAAACTTATATGTTTTCTCTTGGTCTGAATCAGTGACACAGTTGGTCACTGATGCTCCTTAAAGTGTGGTACTTACATGAAGATAGCTCTTATTGCTGATCTCCGTGGATAGTTCTGTCTTTAATGTAAGTGGTATTGCAGGTGGACTGTGCTTTTAGAAAATTTGATTTTGAAGATACAGACTTACATGTTTACTTAATGTGGGTTTTTTGTTTGTTTGTTTGTTTGAGACAGAGTCTCACTCTTGTCGCCAGGCTGCAGTACAATGGCATGATCTCACACTTACTGCAACTTCTGCCTCCTGGATGCAAGCAATTCTCCTGCCTCAGCCTCCCAGGTAGCTGGGATTACAGGTGTCTGCCACCACGCCCAGCTAATTTTTGTGTTTTTAGTAGAGACGGGGTTTCACCATGTTGGCCAGGATGGTCTCAATCTCCTGACCTCACGATCCACCCGCTTTGGCCTCCCAAAGGGGTTTTAAAAGAAATTCTTCACTTTATAAATGTATTTCATATCCCTTTCCTAACACATTTTTAAGATTTTATTTACAAACAAAATTTAGGGCATGCGAGCTCTATAAAAGTTAGAAGTGGTGCCTTGGCGGTGTTACAGTATCTTTTATCTGAAATACTTAGAGCACTTACAAATGTTTTAATAACTTTCCTTTAACTTACCTACTAGGAGTGAAGTACATGAAAACACTGAGAATCTGTTATGAATCTCATTGTAACTGGGGGCACTTGAACTTAAAGATTCAGATATTTTTCTAAGATTGCACAGGAACTTGGGGCAGGACTAAGGCATGGACATGAAGCATCATGACTTCACCTTGGGGCACTCTTCACTGGAGTCTACTGAAAATGGGCCTATGATTTTTTTAAAAAAATATAAACATTTCTGACATAATTTGGTGTTACAAAACCAACGCAAATTTCCAAAGTGTCTTTCAAATGAAGCCTTCACTTTCAGCAGTTACTCTGTCTAGCTCTTGTAAAAAATTATGGCCTTTCTCATTAGCAATTACTATTGTCTTGCTGTTTATTATCTTTGACAAATTTTAACTCCATTGCAATTGCTGGAATTGGATTGGGGGACCTCTACATAGCTGTATTTGAAACTGGGTAGAGACCTAAAATCTAGAGCCTAAGAAATTTATCTGGGGTCCTCTTTTCTATTACCCCAGTAGAATGATTTTTCTATATGACTTTATTTGCAAAGCAGTTTTATATACCTTGCTTCGGTTAATCAGCATGACCCCATTTATAGCTTTCATAGATAAAGCTTTGGAGTGGTTTTGGGAGGCCCCACTGGTAGTTTATACTACAAGGATTTTGATCCCTGATCCAGGATTCTTTGTTCCACACACATGTCACAAGGGTGACATGCATAATGGCCTCATCCTTCTCTGGCATTTTACTAGAAAGCCATTTCTCAGGTCACAAAGTTAGAGTGAGTAGAACCTTAGAAAACATCTAGTCTACCTGCTTAGATTTATACAGGAGAGAAAAGAACCCTGGAGAACTCAGATCATTTGTCTCTGAGCATGCCATATTGCTTTTGTTACAACTCATCAAAATGTCCCTTCTTTGGTGCTCAGAGTAATTAAGACATGGCTGATAGAAAACAATTTAGAGGCCTCCTCTCCCTTTACTGTGGGATTGGCAGTCTTACGAGGACCATCATGGTAGTGAAGGGTAGAGAATAAAAGGGCAAGCTTTTGCAGGACAGCAAGCTAGCCTAATGGAAACAGATTTTTCATTCTAATATGAGAAGAAAAATATTCTGGGAAAATAATCATTTTCAGAGTCATGGCCTAAAAAGGTAGAATGATGTGTCTAAATTAGACCTTATCAGTTATTCAGAAGTAGTTTTCTCGGGGTTTATGGCATGTCCCATGTCAGAAACTGGCCTCCCAAAACCGTGTGTTGTCTCTATGCTCAGAGTTCAGGCCTCCATTGATGTCCTCCTGGGGAGGTGACAGGGCTTGTGTTGTCTAAGTGGGGAAAGTGTATCTGAAAAGCAACTCTGTTGGATTTAGGCAAAATGAACAAAATGCCACCAGGATGTAGCCATGATGCAAAGAGAAGGGCTAAAAATAAGCCATGCTCTCAATAAATCCATTCATCTTTGAGAAGAATTCAGAATAGACTTAGTGTCTTGCTCCTCTTCCATCTACAGAGGAGCGTGACTGTTTGGGTCCTATGGAATTTGCACCCGGAGTCTGAGCACATGCCATCCGCCTCCCCACTGGTGTGCACCTGGCGATGGCTACTGGTCCAACTTCTCAGCTACCTCCTGGCTAAGCTTTCCCCTGACCCTAGCTTCTCCCAGCCATAAAGAAGGTCTGTGAACAACGAGCAACCCACATCACACAGTGGCGTGTGAAGACCAGTTGTTTGGGGAGAGGGATCATGCTTGAGAAGCTTGGCACTGAGGTGCGTTGGGTGGAAAGGGGCTGAGTAGATGTCAGTGGTGGGAGAGAACACTTCTGGACTCACTCATGACTCAGCCTGGCTCAGTCCTGGCACATGTCAGCACTGGGTTTATCCCTACCTTTAAAGGCTTTAAACATTCAAAGCGTTGGGCCCATCCTTGACTTTAATATGTTTAATTACTTAATAACCTTGTGTATGTTTTGCCACTGCCCTAAATACCAAGTGTGCTGTGTAGAGACACATTCTCCTTGATGCAAGACAGCCTGAGACCACGTGAGATGTGCCATCAGACCTCCCATGAATGCCCTTTCTTTAAAGTCAGATCATCTTGAAAAAACTGAAAGGTCAGCCGGGCGTGGTGGCTCACGCCTACAATCCCAGCACTTTGGGAGGCCAAGGAGGGCAGATCACCTGAGGTCAGGAGTTCGAGACCAGCCTGGCCAACGTGGTGAAACACTGTCTCTACTAAAAAAACAAAAATTAGCCAGACGTGGTGGCACACACCTGTAATCCCAGCTACTTGGGAGGCTGAGGCAGGAGAATCGCTTGAATCTGGGAGGCAGAGGTTGCAGTGAGCCGAGATTGTGCCACTGCACTCCAGCCTGGGTGACAGAGCAAAACTGTGTCTCAAAAAAAAAAAAAAAAAAAAAAAAAAGAAACAACAACCCTGAAAGGCCTATTTGGAGTATTTAGGAAAAAAGCATAGTGGTGTGTTTCAGCCAGGTTATATCTGAGGATCTTGAAAACAACCAGAGTATAAGTCTGGCTTCTGATTAGAGGTGAGAGAAGACTCCCCAGGAAAAATAATATTTAATCCAATACTTGGAAAATGAGAAGGTGTCAGGCTAGTGAAAAGAGTCCCCTGCTCAGATAGGCATCAAAAGGTCACGGATGTGGACTTTTAGGAAAGCTGTGAGATCAGTCTTGAGAGAAATTGGTAATTAGCTGTAGGTAAATATAACTTGCCAATAGACCTGTCCATGATTAATTTTTATAGATTGGTCTTCACTAAGGCTGCTTCTGTGATTATTATTGTTCATCTTTGACGGTTGTAGCCCTTCCAGTCTGTTAGCTAGTATCTGCCTGTTAGAATCACCTGGGGTAGGGGAGCTTCCAAAAATTACCTGATGTTTTAGAGCACTCCAGACCAACTTGATTAGCTGGGCTCATAACCACCTTAATTTTAAAGACAGTGGGACAGCAAGGGCTTCTCTTCATACTCATCTCAAGAATTCTGGAGTACCAAGGCAGCCTACTAGGAATATGATTTTCACTAGGGTCCTCAGAGCCCCTGTTCAGTGGTTCTGTCAACTAAACAAATAGGGCAGACAAATACTGCCCCAAATTCTCAGAAGACAGGGAATTCACCCTTTGGTATATAGAGGTGTGTGTGTGTGTGTGTGTGTGCGCGCACGCATGTGTGGTTTTTTTTATTTTTTATTTTTTTAGAGACAGGGTCTCACTCTGTTGCCCAGGTTAGAGTACAGTGGCACAGTCATGGCTCACTGCAGCCTCCGATTCCTGGGCTCAAATGATCCACCTGCCTCAGCCTCCTAAGTAGCTAGGACTACAGGTGTGTGCCACCACACCTGGCTAACTTTTTACTTTTTTGTAGAGATGGGGTCTTGCTATATTGCCCAGACTGGTCGAAAACTCCTGGCCTCAAGTGATCTGCCAGCCTCAGCCTCCCAATGTGCTGGGATTATGGGAATGAGGCACTGCACTTGGCTCTGGAAATGAACATTTGGTTCAGTCTAGGAAATGCCTCTTTTGAGCACAACTCTGGATACTTTTACTTTATTTTTCCACCTGCTACCTGGGGCACTTCACCCCTGGTACTTACATGAAGGGAATGATAAAGTTGAAAGAACTGGATCTGTCCCACCCACATTCACACATCATAAAAGCAAAACAAAGGAAAATTGACCTAAACCCTAATTCTCCATCCAGCTACCCCCTCTCTTTAGTACCCTCTACAGCCAAACCTCTTGAAAGACTTTTGTGCTCACTGACCCGATTTCCTCACAATCCACTCACTCTTTATACCAGTCCAGTCTGTCCTCAGGCCTCACAGTGAATTCACTGAATTCACTAATGAACGACAAGCTGCTCAGCCCAACAGTCACTTCTCAGTCCTCTCCTCACCTAACTTCTCAGCTTCGTTCAACACTTCGTCTAGTCCCTCCTACTTGAAATACTTCCATTGGCTTCCATGAACCACCCACCCCAGAAGCTTTCCTACTTAGAAAACCTGCCTTCTATACAAATTTAAATGTCAGAGTTCCTCGAAATTTGGTGCTAAAGTTCCTCCCCATTCTATAATCTTTCCTAGGTGATTCTTCCATGCCTGTTATTTAAGTTTCCAGCCATTTGTCAGTGGCTGACAAATAATCTCTCCCCCTCAGACTCCTTCTATGAATTCTAGAATGCTCTCCCCAAATTATCTACTCAACATTTCATTTGTAGGACTTCTCAAACTCAAGCACCTCCGTTGTAAGAGTGACCAAAACCAAATGTATCATCCACTCCCAGGCTCACCTCGTCTAGTGTCCCCATCTCAGTGAACAGCATTGACATCATCTGGTTGTGTGGACCAGAAACCTGGGTTTCTCCTTCACACTTCCCTCTACTTCACCTCCCAGGTCTAATCTACCGTCAAATCCTGTCAATTTTTTCTCTTTCAAGTCTATCCACTCCTTTCCATGTCCAATTCCACCCCTCTGGTCCCAGCTATGATCACATCTTTCCCAGCATCCTTATTGATCTCACCCATCCCTTCTTGCCCTATTTCAATCCATTTTTCATAGCTAGAAGTAGACTTTGAAATGCAAACCTGATTAAGTCACCCATCTGCTTAATACCATTCAAGAATTTCACATTGTTCATGGGGTGGAAAACAATGCCCTCTCTATGGGCCAGCAAGTCCCCCTGCACTGGCCACATAGCCTTCCTCCATGGCCTCACACCTGTTACATGCCCTTTGACTTGAAAGGTACCTGCCACTCTGCTTTCCTTTTTTCTCTCTCTTTTTTTTTTTTTGTTTTGAGATGGAGTTTCGCTCTTGTCACCCAGGCTGGAGTGCAATGGCTCACGTCAACCTCCGCCTCCCAGGTTCAAGCGATTCTTCTGCTTCAACCTCCCAAGTAGCTGGGATTACAGGCATGCACCACCACATCTGGCTAACTTTTGTCTTTTTAGTAGAGACAGGGTTTCACCATGTTAGTCAGGCTGGTCTCAAACTCCTGACCTCAGGTGATCAGCCTGCCTCAGCCTCCCAAAGTGCTGTGATTACAGGCATGAGCCACCACGCCTGGCCTCTGCTTTTCTTTTCTTTGAACACTGTGCTCCCTCCAGCCTCAGCTCTTTGCACAGTGTTCTTTCCTCTGCCAGGTGTACTCTTCACCCTCTCTCCATTGACCTGGTAACCCCCTTTATACCCTCCATATCTCAGCTCATTATCACTTCCTCAAGAACATCTTCCCTGACACCCCCAAATTAGATCAAGTCCCCTTGTTGCCCACTCTCATGGGACCCTGAACTTCCTTTCACAGTGCTTTTCAGTTTGTCTTCCTGTGTGTGGGGGGGTGTTTGTGTCTGTAATATCAGTGCCTGGCTCTCCTTCTAGCTCTAAGTTCCATGGGGCCAGGACCATTGTCTGCTTTGCTCATCACTTGCAGTGTTATTGCCGTGCACCACCCAGATTTCCCTTCAGGAATGATTGTTTCCTCGTTGTTGGGGGAGCGTTGCCCCAGCAGCCCTCTGATAGTAGTCCTCCTCGTGAAGTGATGGGGCTGAAGAGAGTTGCCTCACCCAAGGCCATGCCCCCTTCCCTAGGCAGCCCCTACATGCAGTCATGGAGCAAAGTAAGAATATAAAGGCCCAGCCCCCATCACCTACCTCAGACACCTTTGAAGGCATATCCCATCTTCAGAGCTCACGTGGGGTTGGCTGTGGCTTCACTGAAACTTCATTGCAGCCCAGCTCCCCTCTCTGTTCAAGCCTGCATCTGTCACCTCCCTTCCACAAGTGTCGATGCCAAGAACAGTCCCTAATCAGTCTCTTGCACACTAATCTCCATCTCAGAGCCTCCTTCTCAAGAGTCCTGACCTATAGCAATACATATTCCCAGCATGGAGAATAGTGCCTGGAACATAATAGGTGTTTGGTAAATGTGTGGAGTAGACCCATAAAATGAGGAAGAAAGAGTAAGGGGCAATCTCAAGGCATCACAGCTAGTAAGTGACACAACAAGAGTTAAAATTGAGGTTGTGCTTCTGCTAGTCCTGGCCTACTTCTGACACATCTTCATATATTTAATCTTGCACTAAAAAATGTATAATGTCAAAGCCGTAAAACTAGCATCTCTTGCTGGTTGCAACATAAATTGTTAAAGCTCTTTCACAAAGCAATTTGGCAGTATGTGTTGAGTGCTATGAGAATGGACATATTCTGACCCCATAATCCTACTTCTGTAAAGTGGCCTGAAATATTAGAAACACTGTTATGAACAAATTTGTTCCTTGAAGCATTATTTGTAATTACAAAAACAAAACAAAACAAAACAAAAAACAAATCGTGACAATGTAAATACATGAAAGTAAGGGAATAGTTAAGTCAGTAACAGCACATCCACTTGATATACTATCAACAAAAATGATTGCTCTAAAGACATTTTCAAGTCAAATGAGAATAGTGCTAAAGCCATATGTTCAATGTGTCATACTATGTAGGAAGCAAATATGTACATTAAAAAATGCTTGGAGAAAATAAGCCAAAATTCTCTCATTGTTTATGTTATGGTAATAACTTTTTTCTTTTAAAAAAATTTTCCAATTTTATGCAATGTGGTTATATTACTTTTATAATGAAAAACATAAATATAATAAATGGTTAAGACTATATATGTTAAGTTTGTGGTTGTTATTACTTTAGGGGTTCCTCAGAAGTGTTGCTTTTAGCCCAGATCAGGGCTCAGACCCTGGGAGCCTGGTTCCCAGCTGTGGCTGCCCAGTGCAGTCCCTGGATAGCTTTAAAATCTACCAATGTTGGAATCCTACCCCCAGAGATGCAAATTGTACTGATCTTGGATGAGATAATCTGGAGAAAATGACTTTAAAAAATTATTTCTTTTAAAACTACTTACTTTAAAAAAAATTCCAAACTTATAGAAAAATTTCAAGACACATTAATTTTTAAATTTTGCCACATTTGACTTATTCTCTTTGTCTCTAATAATATAATATTATAGTTTGTCTTCTGAACCGTTTTAAGGAAGGTTACAAACACAATGCCTCCTTACCCCTTAATACTTCAGCATTTCCTAAGAACAAAGATATTCTCTATCATAACCAGAATGCAGTTACAAAAATCAAGAAATTTAACATAGACACAACAGCTTATTATCCATATTCTAATTCTAAGACAAGCATTTGACGAAGAAGGTAGTTATTATGGAGGAACTGGCTTTCTTCTCATTGTTACTCTGGTTACACAGACCATCAGCTACAAAGCAGCAGGAATCAGCCCTTATACCAGGAGTCAGACCTGTCCTTTCTCATGTTTCTTCAGACCCCTTCCATTCTCTGAGCTCCCATATATCATTCTAGCCAGTCCCCTTTTATTCCAATAAAGTTTTATGTTAGCTAGGGTCAGTTTCTGTTGCTTGCCACCAAAGAACCCTGCTGGTTTAGGGTAGTTGAGCTGGGATTGTTCCTAGAATACTTGAGTTCTTCACGTCTTTAAGCTTACTGGGCTGTTCTAGGACATTCCCCCTCTCCTTTTTAGGACACAAAATGCTTCAGGATACAGAAACTGGTGGAAGACAAGTATCATTCCTGTCCACAGGAGATCTGACCACACCTGACCAGGGCTCCAAGGATCAAATCCTGACTTAAGAAAAATCCTGGAAGGCTGAGACTCTGAGCAGAAAGCATTGCTAAAAGCTGCTGATCCCAAGACCAGAGGAAGCCATGGCCAAGGACCTCCTGCAGACACGGGACTCCAAAGGTGACTACTTCAGTTCCCTGTGTCTGGAGAGTCCCCTGGATGAGAGCCCGGTGGAGGTTTGTCAAGATTGCATCTGTCATGGACACCCCTTCAGGTCTTAGTGGAGGGAAACCAGTTGTCTGTGGACCCCAGGGGACCCACTGGCCTCCAGGCAGGATGTCAGGAGCCTGCCTTTGTCTGGCACTCCAGCATTCTGGCATTCAAGTGCAGGGCTTTTGCCTGCTCCACGATAAGAAAACCTTTGACCAGGGAACTTCTGTCTGGGCAAGTCTGCTCAACTCCAGGAGTTGTGGGCTGCATATTTCCCTGGAGGAAAAAAAGATGCTGAAAAATGCATTTTCTGCCTCTCTGCTTCTCACTCTCTAATCTATGTTGATTGCGTATCTGGGACTGTGCTAAGAAGGAAGAGAGGTTTTAATGCTCCCATTGAATACTAAAGCATGAGAAGGTCTCTCCTTCCGCTCTCTTTCTCTTGACCTCTTCCTTCTTTCAGAAGTTTCTGACTCACTGGTCAAGAATTATTTAGAAGACTCTAAATGGGAAGAAGGCTTAGACTCAAATTCTGACTGTAAATAAATGCAATTGAGGAGGTGAATATATGCTATTTGCAGTTGGTTAAAAAAAATAGATTTTAAATGTTCTCACTGCAAAAAATTGATAAGTCTGTTAAGTGATGGATATGGTAAGCAGCTCGACTTAATCATTCACAATGTAAGCATATATCAAAGCATTACATTGCAGCCCATAAATTATACAATTATTATTTGTCAATTAAAAATAGAATTAAATTTAGAAATTTTTGAAGTATACTTTTTTTCTGAAATGCTATTGAACCTAATGGCACATTTTACAATCAGTGCCAGAATAAATAAATCCAGAAAATGTGGTGTATATCATAGTGACAAGAGAGAACTGTAAAATGGAATAAGCATTAGCTTGGGATCAGCAGGCTAGGTCTCAAGTCATGGTTCAGCCACCAAAAAGCGAAGTGACCTCAGTTAAATTTCTTCACATTGTGTTGAGGCTCAAAAGAGATCATGGAAAGCTCTTAACTCTGGGCACACAGTGAGCTTACAACAAACGTTAATAGATTTGTGTATGGGTTGCTCTCTTTCAACTGCTTATTAAGTTTCCACTTACTTGAATTGGATAAACCTATAGTACTGTCAACTGATTTAGGTTGAAGTTTACCAAACTGTTTGACATTTCAGATTGTAGAGAAATGGATTAGAATAGCAAGGGACCCAATGTGACTCTTTTGGTGTGGACTGATTATCCCTATCCTGTACCTTATTGAAAAATAAGTGATCTAGTGTCAATGCCAGAGGACTGCAGCTTGCAGTTATGGCTGGGGTATGTTTAATTTTACACAGGAATTGTCATGATGCCACGGCTTCTGTCCAGTGGAAAATCCTTTTCAGACTAAACACTAAGCATAGATTTAAAATGTCTTCCATGAGAATAGAGAGGAGAAAGCTTGGATCCTATGGAAAGACCATAAATGGCAGAGAAAATTCAGATACAAACACAGACCTTCCTAGCTCCATAGCTACCCCCGTAGTCCATGCACAGCAATCCTTCAGAACCTGGTGGATGCAGGCAAAGCTTTCCTTAGAAATTAATGTGTCAAGGTGTTTGGGCTGTTCTTTGAGCAAATGAATAAGCAAGGATTAGAAATGGAATTCCAAATCAAGAAACGAACATTCCAGCTCAGGCCAATCCTAGTGGGACCAAAACAAGGTAAGATAAAAAGAAGCACACCTAAATCAAACCAGTTGTAATGAGCAAATGAGTAATTTAGGTTAAAAAAAAAGGGATCAACAACTGCAAAAAGGTACTGCGTTTTTGGTGTTATTTTTTCCCTGTATCCCTCTAAGGATATCTTTAGTACTGCCCATGCCCAGACCACACCAAACCAAAGGTGGCAAAACCCAACAAAAGTTGGAAACTTAGCAATCTCACAACATCTACTTCTTAGCCTTGTTCTGTTTCTTGTCTTGGGATATCTGATATCCAGCCACAGTGTTTTGACTATGCATGTGGAGTGCCTGATATTAAACCTTCCATAAAGAGCCCTGTTAATTGGGTCATCACGGGCCCCTCAGCACAAGCCAAAAGGATTCGTAGCACAAGTGATCATAGTTAAGGGCCAGAGAGGAATGAAATGTTTACATCTTGAGATGGAGAAGGGGAGGGCATTCCTTATGCTCCTGAGGGGAGAAAATTTTGTACTTCTGTAATAAAATGGTACATTGGTAGACTAAAGAAAAGCAAGTTTTTACTCAGCATGAAACTGAGTAGAGTAAGGCACTGGAAAAAGCATTAAGGTGAATCACAATTGCAACTTTCTTATCAATTTAGTACACCTGTTGAGGCTAAAGGGTTGCAGATAGAGCAAGGATTGCAGTTGAAAGGGAATTGCTTTCAGGCGTTTGGAGGACAGTGATGTGGAATGCTCTGTAAGTACTCATTGCCATGTTGCATTGCTGGTCCTGTGCCACATGCTTTCCTCTCTACCTGTGAGCCATTTAGGGATTGGAAACATTTTTTCTAAGCTGTCAGCATATGTGGACCTGGAATTCTCACTCTCCAGGTCATGAAACCTGCTCTGTTTGTCTGACGCTGAGCCAGTGACTTTGGATCCTGCCAGAGCCCAGCAGCTCATCCTGTATTAATAGCACGGCAAGTCTTATGGGGTAGAGTTTCCATATTTATAGGTTTTATCTTTTCAAAGCATTTTAAGATAATTTCATTCCCCTAATGGCCCTGTCAGAAAGGTGAGCTCAAAATTAGCCCCATTTGAAAGATGGGAACATTAAAACACAAAATGTACATGGGAAGCACAATATGGAGCCAGGTTCTGCAGGCAAAGACACTATGGCCTAAAGGAGCCACCTAATCCCGCCAGACCTCAGGGTCACCAACTGGTGAAGGAGTAGACATTGAATCAGGGGTTTTAAAACATTTCTGGCTGCCATTCATCCTAATAGTTTGTAGTGTGACTCAATGCACATATTTCTAATGTATATAAAAATGCAACTGAAATACATTTCACAAAAAGATATAGACCTTCACAGTATTCATTATTATATTACACTTGAATATTGTCTCTATTCCATTCTGTTCCAGTTTACTATTTTTTAAAAGTCTTAATTTCAACACACCAATATTGATTTCATGACTCCACTAATGGGTTAAAACTTATAGTTTGAAAAACAGTGAACTATGTGATTATTAATGATCCTTTCAATATTTATTTCCAGTTATATACCTGAAGTCAAGAAATCAGGAACTCAATACCTGGTCTAAAGACCATGCCCCCTCACTGCTCAGGTGTTTCGATAAGGTAATGATCTCTTCCTGAATTATGAGTTCCACATTCACTCTTGTACTAACTCAAGTGTAGTCCTATAATCTTTCTGCAGTTCATTCGAATGTTTTTTGATGTGTTGATTAATTGTCTCACAAATATTCCTGTTTGAAAAGACAAATCTAGGTTCGGATTCAAGCTTCGCTAGTTAAAACACTCTCCCTAATCTTCTTCAATCTTCTGCTTGTAAAATGGGATAAATGAGCTTGTTGCGAGGGTCAGCCATCAGCAATGTAAGCCCATAGCATGTGCAGGTGCAGGCATGTGCGAGCATCAAATGAGCAGTCCTTTCTTGACGGGTGTGCTGGGCACTGTGCTGGCACTGGTGTGACAAAGACCATGACTTGGAATGCACCCCTAAGGGGCTCCGGTGCTTATCAGGCTCACCCTCTTTCTCTTTTTGTTTTGTAAACTGCCTTGAAAATTTACCAATATATCACATTTTTCTGTCAGCAAGTAGAACTGTAGGAAATAATTTTTAATGGTTGGTTAGTATTACATTTTATGATTGCGCCATAATTTATTTCATCATTTCCTCTTTCTTATTTTTTAGGTGTTTCTAGTTTTTTACTTTGAAAATCTTTTTATATAAAAGTAATGCATGAGCATTGAAATTTGAAATTGTTCTGTAGAAAAGTAAAACCATTCTCCCTTTCCACTCCATCTCTTCCCATTCTTCAGCAATAACTGCTATTAATAATTTCTTGAGTATACTTTTTAAATATTTTCTAATGCATATACAATTTTGCATGTATTTATATAATTATGTGAATGAATTCATATATACATGTAGAAAACAAGATCTGCAATATGCCTTTTAAAATTAGTACATATGGAACATCTTTTGCTGCTAGCACATGTAGATTCATTTTGTTTTCTAAGTGGCTGTATGTATTCCATTGTATAGATGGGCCATAATTTATTTAACTCATCCCCTACTTACTCAAATTCAGTGTGTTCTAAAAGTTGTGTCTAGATTTTGCTATTATAAACAATTATGCCATAAACATCTGTGCACCCTCTAGAGGTAACTGTGGGATAACTAATAGAAATGGAATTATTTTATGCGTTTATAGCTGTGTTCTATGTTACCAAGTTACCCTCTTGAAAGAGGTGCCAATTTAAGCTTATACCAACAGTGTATGAGAATGTCTGTATCTGCAAAGCCTCTCTAAACTTGGTATCCCATCAATATTTTATCTTTGAGATCTCTTTTTTTCTCATTTGGAAATATTAACAAGAATGTTTATGTTAACTCAGTGGAGAAAAGTCGGAGACATTTGGATAAGATGAGTTAATGCCCTTGCCCATTCTGGAATTATTTGGGAGGAAGGCTGCTCATGGGACAAGTCATTTTACCTTCCAGGAGAGATTCAACACTGGCCATTGACTATATGTGCAGCACACACTTCTTCTGAAGGCTTGAGGCATCTACCGTGTGACAGATCATGAATCAAATGACCTGCAAGCTTAGAGAGCCTTTCTCAGCCCTGCCACATGCAGCTATGTTGATGCTGATGTGACTGATTTTACTTCCTTCCCTTTATTCACCAACAGAGAGGTCGCTATCACACCACCAACTTCTGTTGCTTAGGTCCTGGCTTATGAAGAATAGACTCTGGGAGCACATTGGAAATCAACACTCTTGCCTTATGATGCAGGACAGATGCTGAAATTCTCTTAAGAGTAGCTTTATGATTATTTTCTTTGGAAACATGGATTAACTCACTTGCCATCTTCAGGCAGAAGAAAAACCTCATCCCCTCCCCACCCCACCCCATCCCTTTTAGATTCTGCAACTCTGTATTCTGAATTTTTGTTAAGAAAATCTACAAATTAGAAATATCATTTTAGGGACAATCAATATCAGGTTTCAATATAACAGCAACTGTTAAATAAGAGAAAATACCTACTTTCAAAGCCCGCATATCAATAAATAGTAATAATAAAGAAGTAGTAAAACTGGCTCAAGGAAACTAGCAGATTCAAATGAAAACTAGCAGATGATTCAAAACTAGCAGATTCAAATGACCAAATGTACACAGAAGCAGCAAGATTTCTATTGTTAAAATGTGACAAGGGACCTCAGAAATAATTAAACCAAACATCCTCAGTTCATTTGATAGAGGAGAACATGGATACACAAAGAGGAGATATGACTTATCCCAGGTCACATAGTAAGTTAGAGGCACTGTCGTGACCTATGATAATAGCAAATAAGAATGGCATGTTGAATTCTCAACAGCGTGTACATTTGGTATTGAAAGGGAATTATTTTTATGTACAGAATGCTCTTTTGTGAGCTGAAATAACGTCATGTATTGAATGCGCTAAAACCAAATGGATGCAATATCCAGTTTATTCTACATTTCCAGTGTTAATAGAGCATTTTAATCACTTTCTCTAGTCGAATTTCTTTCCTTCAGAGCAACACCCCTGCTGAGCACCATGTTTCCATGAAACGCTGTTGTTTTTTTCTCTGCAACTGTGAAACTCTTGTCTTGCTCCTCTGAAATAAGATAACCACAGGCAGGCTCTAGGCTACACCCACATTCTGGAAATATTTTATGAAAGGTTTTCCAACTTCCTAGAGAAGCTGCTGTTGTCGCTAATGGCAAAATCAACAGGGGGAAAAACACTTTAATTTGGGAAATTCTAGCACTTCCAACCAATGAGACTGGAAAGATAGGAAACAATCTGCTCTGCCCAAACAGCAAAGTTCTCCCTGGGAAGTTCAGTGGAACACGGCAGCTTGTCTTAGACTCAGAAAATTCTGGGTCTTTGGGATGAAAAAAAAAAAAATCAAAAGGCTTTTTGTCGGCTTGTGTACCAGAAACAGAACATTCACTACACGTGGGCTTGCAGAAGAAAAGAGGCCAACTCCGGGCACAGTTCCCTCCCACCTTCCACAGAAGCCGCTGAGCCGCACCCTGGTGCTTTCTGTGTGGGGCACAGTTTAGTTTATTATTATTATTAAACTCACTATCTGTCATCTTTCAGTAGGTTATGCCACGGTAGCCAACAACACTAAAAGCTTAGTGGCTTCAAAAAGAAAGGGTTTTTGTTGTTGTTGTTTTCCCTCCTTGCTCACACTATCAGCTGCAAGTTGGCACCATTGGTCTCCTTCATTCTGGAATTCAGGCTACAAGCGCAGCCTCTGTCTGGAGCATGCCATTCTCTTGATAGAGGGCAAAGAGAGCAAGATCGCTGTGGGGAAGCCACAATGCCTCTTAACACCTTCTGCTAGGAACACACACTTTCGCTTCCGGTCTCATTTCATTGGCCAAAGCAGGTCCCTTAGCCAAGCTGCTGTCAATACGGCAGCGCAGAGCAGCACACTCCCCCTCTCCTCCAACTGGGGACTCTGCAAGTCACGTGGCAGGGGCAAACCGAGTGGGGGAAGGGGCAGTGAACACTCGGGAACAACTGTGCTACCCACCATTCAGGTTAAGTCCCAGAAACGTTGCGCTCCTCAAAAATCAGAGGGGATGGGGCTCCTGCCTTTGACGTGTTCTGACCAACAGCTCTGAAGCCAAGGGGCATCAATATTAAGTCATGATTCTAAAAGTAGGGATGGGCTAAGGTCAAAGTTCATGGGAGGTGTGGTTTCACTCTATGCAACACGCATTACCCACCCGTCCCACCCTCGTCTTTTCCTCCTTACTGAAATAGGTAGGTTTGATGTGGTTTCTACGTTTTCCAAAATTGGACAAGATGGCAACAACAGAAAAATGTCAACAACAGAAAAATGTCTATTAGGATGTTTTCCATACGGCTGAGCCTTGGATTTTTTTTTATGAGGAAAAATGGTTTAAGTGGGTGATTTTGAGTGGTGGCTGTGAAAGAAAAATCCAATTTTGAATCATTTCTGAACCAATTTTCCCTACTTGTGTGTTTAGATAAAACAAGGAAAAAAAGCAAGACTGAAGATCAGCTGCTTTTTAAAAATGAAATGAGTCTACTTTTTTTTTTCTCATGAAAATCAGTTTTAGATGTTGATTCTGAAATGCAAGTCCAGCTCCAGCAAAGGGTTTTCAGTGGATGGTTTGTCTTGCCTTTTTTCCCGCTGGGATCTTCAGGCATTCAGTACCCTCATGCTGCCCTCTGCAGTACTCTGGGCCAGGAAGCTACAAAATTCAGCAAAAATGTAGGACACGTGTACTCAGGGCTAGGAACTATGCCAGCTGGAGCTGAAACGCTGGATCCCACACAGCCCCTCCCCTCAGAAGCCAGCAATCTCAGAGGGGAGACAAACAAGTAAACAAGAAATTATACTAGAGTGATGAATGCTGCAAGGTTGAGGTACAAAGAGAACTTTTCAAGTACAAAGGAGGGAAGTATAACTCACTTTTACAAAATAGGAAAGGCTTCCTAGAGAGGATGATTTATAAACTGAGAGATGAAGGATGAGGGGGAGCCAGCTAGGTGATAGGGAGGAGAGGAAATCCATTCTGGGACTCAGGCTGCACGCCCCTAAGTAGGAAGCAAAGGGTGAAGGGCTTTGTACTTTACTCGCGGCAGCATCCCTGACCACTGAGATAATGGGATGATGATGATGATGGTGATTGTTATCATTATTATTTTGAGACAGGGTCTTACACTGTCACCCAGGCTGGAGTGCAGAGGTGCGATCTCGGCTCACTGCAGCCTTGACATCCTGGGCTCAAGCAATCCTCCCACCTCAGCCTCCCGAGTAGATGCACCTGGGATTACAGGTGCATGCCACCATGGCTGGTTGGGTTTTTTTTTTTTTTTTTTTTTTTTTTTTTTGTGTGTGTGTGTGTGTGTGTACTTTTTCATAAAGACTGAGTTTCGCCGTGTTGTCCAGGCTGGTGAGCTTTTTATAATGGTGATTCTCATCCTGTTAACCTATCTCAGCTCCTGTTTTTGTGTTTTTTCAAAATTTTATAAACTGTTATAATTTATTTTTTATTTCGAATAACTAAAGATAAAAAAGTTTTTAAAAAGGATAAGATAAATACCCATGTACTTCCCATCCAGAATTAGCAAATATTAATATGTCATATTTCATTTGATTTTTAAAGAAGTAAACTATTACCAATAAATTGAGTTCTCTATCAGCCTTTCCCTGGTTTTTTCTTTTTATTCTTCTCTCCTCAGAGTGAAATGCTGTCATGAATTTTGTGAGTCAGGTTTTATATGTTTACTAAATATATATTAATAAACAACATTGTTTTGTGTAAGTAAATTTTACATAAATGATTTACTGTACATAATATTTTTCAAATTGAATGCTTCTCAACATGATGTTTTCAAGATCTACATATATACTGAGCTCCATTATATAAATATACCAGGATTAATTTGGCTGTACCACTGCTATGAAAATATGGGTTGTTATCAAGTTTGTTTTCTTTCTAGGAGGACTGCAGTAAAAGTGTTTGAATTAGGCTATTTATCTATTTACTTATGTTTACACATTTAAGGAGTATTATCTGAAAATGTGATTACTCAGTCATTGAGAACACACATTTTAAGTTTTGCTAGATGTTAATATCTCAAATTATTAGTTTCCATTTGTTTTCTTCTTGAAATCTTGGTGAGAATATTTCTTTCCTCTTGATCTTTAGTGATTGTGTGAGGTCCCATGTTAATGTATTTTAATTTGCAATTTCTCCAGTGAAGGAAGATCTATGCAGATATATACTCTTTGTTGCATGATTGGATATGATGTTTCTTCTCATCACCTTCCCTTGCCTTGGTGCTATTAAATGCATTTCTCATATTTTCAGATCCAACACTTTCTTCCCTCCACACTCTCAATAAATGACTTCACTTCTTATTTAAAGGAAAAAATATAAATAATGTGAAGAAAACAACCTGAAGAAGCACCTCCAGATTCACTAATATGTGATTTGTATACCATACCTGCCTTCTCCAGTTACAGAGGGGAGGTGTCCTTGCTTGTAGTTAAGGCCAGTGCTTCCACTTGTACCCTGAATCTCATCTCTCTTAATCTCTTCAAGTCCACCGTTCCTCTAATTTCCCCTGACCTCCTATATCGGGGGTCAGCATGCTTTTTCTGTAAAAGACTAGATAATACGTATTTTAGGAATTGTAAGTCTCATGATATCTGTCACTATGTTTCAATAAAATTTACTTTTAAAAGTAGGCAGAAGTCCGGATTTGTCCTGCAACAATTGTTTGTCAATTCCTGTCCTATGTCATCCATAATTTCTCCAGCTCTACTAGGGTTTTTTTTCCCATCAGTGTATAAGTGTGCTGCAATACCACCCATTTTAACAAATACTCTTCCAACTGTGAAGTTCATCATAATTTCTCATCTCAGTTCAAATGAAGTGAGAATCCATGTGGTCAGATGGAAAGTGCATTGTGATAGGAGTGAGGAGAACTGATCCTCCCTCTACTTCTGTTGCAAAAAGAAAGGAAAAGAAAAAATATTGACTTAGACCGACACCTCCCTCTACCACTGCCCCACTTCTCTACTTCCCTCTACAATAAACTCCCTAAAATGTTGGTCTGTCCTTGATATCCCCACTTCCTCTTCTCCCTTTCTCTCTTGAACCCGCTCCTATCGTGTTTGGTCGACCCTTACATGAAATATTTTTCCTAAAGTCAGCAGCCCCCATCTTGCCAACTCCCAAGGCCAATTCCCAGTCCTCATCTTCATCTCTTGGCAGCGTCTGAACTCTGTCTTCCATTGTCTTCCTTTTCTGAGTTCCTCTCATACCTTCTTGCCTTCTCTCTCTGACTAAATGCAGGAATGCCCCAGGCTCAGATCCTGGCTGTTTCCTCTTCTGGATCTACCCTCATTCCGCAGATCCTGTGTAGTGTCATAGCTTTAAATTACAGTTCTTTACAGATGACCCTCAAATTCATGTCATCTGTCCAAATCGCTCACCTGAGCTACACACACATCTTAGCTTGGATGCCTAAAAGTTAGCTCTATTAAACATATGCAAGGCTGGGCACGGTGGCTCATGCCTGTAATCCCAGCACTTTGGGAGGCCGAGGAGGGTAGATCACCTGAGGTCAGGAATTCAAGACCAGCGTGACCAATATGGTGAAGCCCTATCTCTACTAAAAATACAAAAAAAAAATGTAGCAAGCCTTGGTGGTGTGCACCTGTAGTCCCAGCAATTCAGGAGGCTGAGGCAGGAGAATTGCTTGAACCCGGGAGGTGGAGGTTTCAAAGAGCTGAGATCATGCCCCTGCCTCCAGCCTGGGTGACAGAGTGGGACTCTGTCTCAGAAAAAAAAAAAAAAACAAGGCAAAACGGAACCTCAATTTCTACCTTCTCAACTGTATTCTTCCCCAGATTTTTCCATCACAATGGCACCATCACTCATCCAGTAGTGCTGATGCAGGACCAAGGAGTCATCTTTAATACTCTTTCTCTCACATACTACATCTAATTCATCAGAAGACTTTATTATCTCTGCCTTCAAATTATATCCTGAATATGACCACTTCTAATCATGTGCATAGCTATTACCCTAATCCATGGTACATCCACCTCCAGGCTGGACTGGTGCAGCAGCCTCCTAACTCGTGTGCCTCTTCCACCTTTGTTCACATTCCATAAATTCTCAACACAGTAACTACAATTATCTTTAAATGATATAAACCCGATCATGTCATTCCCCTTTGGAATAAAACCCAAACCCTCCATTACCTGCCCCCAGTCACCTGTGTTCTCTTTTCTCCCACAACCTCTCTGTTGATTGTGCTGCTTCCCCAACCCAGGCTCTGCATTCATTTCTGCCTCTACTTCCTTAATTTTCTTTGTCTCTATAATGCTCATCATGACCTTCACACTGGCCTCATTATTTCTTCCTCGTCTTTCTTCAGATGTCACCTCCTCAGGCCTTTTTAGACCCCCATCTCCATTTCCTTATTTAGATTAATTTTCTTTTTTTAAATTATACTCTAAGTTCTGGGATACATGTGCAGAATGTGCAGGTTTGTTATGTAGGTATACATGTGCCATGGTGGTTTGCTGCACTCATCAACCCGTTATCTAGGTTTTAAGCCCCACATGCATTAGGTATTTGTCCCAATGCTATCCCTCTCCTTGCCCTGCACCGCCTGACAGGCACCAGTGTGTGATGTTCCCCTCCCTGTGTCCATGTGTTCTCATTGTTCAACTCCCATTTATGAGTGAGAAAATGCAGTGTTTGGTTTTCTGTTCCTGTTAGTTTGCTGAGAATGATGGTTTCCAGCTTCATCCATGTCCCTGCAAAGGACATGAACTCATCCTTTTTTATGTCTGCATAGTATTCCATGATGTATATGTGCCACACTTTCTTTATCCAGTCTATCATTGATGGGCATTTGGGTTGGTTCCAAGTCTTTGCTATTGTGAACAGTGCTGCAATAAACATACATATGCATGTGTCTTTATAGTAGAATGATTTATAATCCTTTGAGTATATACCCAGTAATGGGATTGTTGGATGAAATGGCATTTCTAGTTCTAGATCCTTGAGGAATTGACAGACTGTCTTCACAATGGTTGAACAAATTTACACTCCCACTAACAATGTAAAAGTATTTCTATTTTTCCACATCCTCTCCAGCATCTGTTTTTTCCTGACTTTTTAACGATGGCCATTCTAACTGCCATAAGATGGTATCTCATTGTGGTTTTGATTTGCATTTCTCTAATGACCAATGATGATGAACTTGTTTTCGTATGTTTGTTGGCCACATAAACATCTTCTTTTGAGACGTGTCTGTTCATATCCTTTGCCCACTTTTAGATGGGTTTTTTTTTTCTTGTAAATTTGTTCAAGTTCCTTGTAGATTCTGGATATTAGATCTTTGTCAGATGAATAGATTGCACAAATTTTCTCTCATTCTGTAGATTGCCTCTTCACTCTGATGGTAGTTTCTTTTGCTGTGCAGAAGCTCTTTAATTTAATTAGATACCATTTGTCAATTTTAACTATTGTTGCCACTGCTTTTGGTGTTTTAGTCATGAAGTCTTTGACCATGCCTGTGTCCTGAATGGTATTACCTAGGTTTTCTTCTAGAGTTTTTATGGTTTTGGGTTTTATGTTTAAGTCTTAATCCATCTTGAGTTAATTTTTGTAGAAGGTATAACGAAGGGGTGCAATTTCAGTTTTCTGCATATGGCTAGCCAGTTTTCCCAACACCGTTTATTTAATATGGAACCCTTTCCCTATTGCTTGTCTTTGTCAGGTTTGTCAAAGATCAGATGGTTATAGATGTATGGCATTATTTCTGAGGCCTCTGTTCTGTTTCATTGGTCTATATATCTGTTTTGGTATCAGTACCATACTGTTTTGGTTATGGTAGACTTGCAGTATAGTTTGAAGTCAGGTAGCATGATGCCTCCAGCTTTGTTGTTTTTGCTTAGGATTGTCTTGGCTATGTGGGCTCTTTTTTGGTTCCATATGAAATTTAAAGTAGTTTTTTTCTAATTCTCTGAAGAAAGTCAGTGGTAGCTTGATGGGAATAGCATTGAATCCATAAATTACTCTGGGCAGTATAGCCATCTGCACATTATTGATTCTTCCTATCAATGAACATGGAATGTTTTGTCATTTGTTTGTGTCCTCTTTTATTTCCTTGAGCAATGGTTTGTAGTTCTCCTTGAAGAGGTCCTTCACGTCCCTTGTAAGTTGTATTCCTAGGTATTATATTCTCTTTGTAGCAATTGTAAATGGGAGTTCACTCATGATTGGGCTCTCTGTTTGTCTATTTTTGGGTATAAGAAAGCTTGTGATTTTTGCACATTTATTTTGTATCCTGAGACTGCGGAAGTCGCTTATCAGCTTAAGGAGTTTTGGGGCTGAGATGATGGGGTTTGCTAAATATACAATCATGTCATCTGCAAACAGAGACAATTTGACTTCCTCTCTTCCTATTTGAATACGCTTTATTTCTTTCTCTTGCCTGATTGTCCTGGCCTAAACTTCCAATACTATGTTGAATAGGAGTGGTGAGAGAGGGCATCTTTGTCTTGTGCCAGTTTTCAAAGGGAATGCTTCCAGTTTTACCCATTCAGTATGATATTGGCTATGGGTTTGTCATAAATAGCTCTTATTATTGTGAGATATGTTCCATCAATACCTAGTTTATTGAATGTTTTTAGCATGAAGCGGTGTTGAATTTTACTGAAGGCCTTTTCTGCATCTATAGAGATAATCATGTGGTTTTTGTCATTGGTTCTGTTTATGTGATGGATTACATTTATTGATTTGCATATGTTGAACCAGCCTTACATCCGAGGGATGAAGCTGACTTGATCGTGGTGGATAAGCTTTTTAATATGCTGCTGGTTTCGGTTTGCCAGTATTTTATTGAGGATTTTCGCATCAATGTTCATCAGGGATATTAGCCTAAAATTTCCTTTTTTTGTTGTGTTTCTGCCAGATTTTGGTATCAGGATGATGTTGGCCTCATAAAATGAATTAGGGAGGAGTTCTTCTTTTTCTTTTGTTTGGAATAGTTTCAGAAGGAATGGTACCAGCTCCTCTTTGTACCTCTTGTAGAATTCAGCTGTGAATTCATCTGGTCCTGGGCTTTTTTTGTTGGTAGGCTATTAATTACTGCCTCAATTTCAGAACTTGTTATTGGTCTATTCAGGGATTTGGCTTCTTCCTGGTTTAGACTTGGGAGGCTGTATGTGTCCAGGAATTTATCAATTTCTTCTAGATTTTCTAGTTTATTTGCATAGAGGTGTTTATAGTATTCTTTGATGGTAATTTGTATTTCTGTGGGATTCGTGGTGGTATCCACTTTATCATTTTTTATTGTGGCTATTTGATTCTTCTCTCTTTTCTTCTTTATTAGCCTGGCTAGTGGTCTACCTATTTTGTTAATCTTTTCAAAAAACTGGCTCCTGGATTCATTGATATTTTGAAGGGTTTTTTGTGTCTCTGTCTCCTTCACTTCTGCTCTAATCTTAGTTATTTCTTGCCTTCTGCTAGCTTTTGAATTTGTTTGCTCTTGCTTCTCTAGTTCCTTTAGTTTGATGTTAGGGTGTCAATTTTAGATCTTTCTTGCTTTCTGATGTGGGCATTTAGTGCTATACATTTCCTTCTAAACACTGCTTTAGCTGTGTCCCAGAGATTCTGGTATGTTGTGTCTTTGTTCTCATTGGTTTCAAAGAACTTATTTATTTCTGCCTTAACTTTGTTATTTACCCAGTAGTCATTCAGGAGCAGGTTGTTCAGTTTCCTTGTAGTTGTGTGGTTTTCAGTGAGTTTCTTAATCCTGAGTTGTAATTTGATTGTACTGTGGTCTGAGAGACTGTTACGATTTCTGTTCTTTTGCATTTGCTGAGGAGTGTTTTACTTCCAATTATGTGGTCAATTTTAGAATAAATGCTAAGTGGTGCTGCGAAGAATGTATATTCTGCAAATGTGGGGTGGAGACTTCTGTCTATTAGGTCCACTTGTTCCAGAGCTGAGTTCAAGTCCTGAATAATCTTGTTAATTTTCTGTCTCATTGATCTAATGTTGACAGTGGGGTGTTAAAGGCTCCCACTATTATTGTGTGGGAGTCTGAGTCTCTTTGTAGGTCTCTAAGAACTTGCTTTATGAATCTGGGTGATCCAGTATTGGGTGCATATATATTTAGGGCAGTTAGCTCTTCTTGTTGCATTGATCCTATTACCACTATGTAATGCCCTTCTTTGTCTTTTTTGATCTTTGTTGGTTTAAAGTCTGTTTTATTAGAGACTAGGATTGCAACCCCTGCTTTTTTTTTATGTCCCTTTATTTTGAGCCTATGTATGTCTTTGCATGTGAGATGGGTCTCCTGAATACAGCACACCAATGAGTCTTGACTCTTCATCCAATTTGCCAGTCTGTGTCTTTTAATTGAGGCATTTAGCCCATTTACATTTAAGGTTAATATTGGTATGTATGAATTTGATCCTGTCACCATTATGCTAGCTGGTTATTTTGCACATTGATTGATGCAGTTTATTCATAATGTCATTGGTCTTTATATTTTGGTATGTTTTTGCAGTGGCTGGTACCAGTTTTTCCTTTCCATATTTAGTGCTTCCTTAAGGAGTTCTTGTAAGGCAGGACTGATGGCGGCAAAATTCTTCAGCATTTGCTTGCCTGTTAAGGGTTTTATTTCTCCTTCACTTGTGAAGCTTAGTTTGGCTGGATATGAAATTCTGGGTTGAAAATTCTTTTCTTTAAGAATGTTGAATATTGGTCCCACTCTCTTCCAGCTTGTGGGACTTCTGCAGAGCGATCTGCTTTTAGTCTGATAGGCTTCCTTTTGTAGGTAACCTGATGTTTCTTTCTGGCTGCTGTTAACATTTTTTCCTTCATTTCAGCCTTGGTGAATCTGGTGATTATGTGTCTTGGGGTTGCTCTTCTTGAGGAGTATCTTTGTGGTGTTCTCTGCAGTTCCTGAATTTGAATGTTGGCCTGTATTTCTAGGTTGGGGAAATTCTCCTAAAGTGTGTTTTCCAACTTGGTTCCATTTTCCTGCTCACTTTCAGGTACACCTATCAAATGTAGGTTTGGTCTTTTCACATAGTCCCATATTTCTTGGAGGCTTTGTTCGTTTCTTTTCATTCTTTTTTCTCTTATCTTGTCTTCACACTTTATTTCATTAAATTGATCTTTGATCTCTGATATCCTTTCTTCTGCTTGATCAATTCAGCTATCGATACTTGTGTATGCTTCACAAAGTTCTCATGCTGTGTTTTTCAGCTCCATTAGATCATTTATGTTCTTCTCTAAACTGGTTATTCTAGTTAGCAATTCCTCTAACCTTTATCAAGATTCTTAGCTTCCTTGCATTGAGTTAGAACATGCTCCTTTAGCTCAGAGGAGTTTGTTGTTACCCACCTTCTGAAGCCAACTTCTGTCAATTCATCAAACTTATTCTCTGTCTAGTTTTGTTCCCTTACTGGTGATGAGTTGTGATCCTTTGGAGGAAAAGAGGCATTCTGGTTTTTGAAATTTTCAGCATTTTTGTGCTGGTTTTTTGTCATCTTTGTGGATTTATCTACCTTTGATCTTTGATGCTGATGACCTTTGGATGGGGTTTTTGCATGGTCATCCTTTTTGTTGATGTTGATGTCGTTGCTTTCTGTTTGTCAGTTTTCCTTCTAACAGGCCCCTCTTCTGCAGGTCTGCTGGAGTTTGCTGGAGATCTACTCCAGGCCCTGTTTGCCTGGATTTCACCAGCAGAGGCTGCAGAACAGCAAAAATTGCTGCCTGCTCCTTCTTCTGGAAGCTTCATCCCAGAGGGGCACCCACCGGATGCCAGCCAGAGCTCTCCTGTGTGAGGTATCTGTTGGCTCCTGCTGTGAGGTGTCGCCCAGTCAGGAAGCACAGGGGTCAGGAACCCACTTGAGGAGGCAGTCTGTCCCTTAGCAGAGCTCACGTGCTGTGCTGGGAGATCTGCTACTCTCTTCAGAGCTGGCAGGCAGGAATGTTTGTCTGCTGAAGCTGCGCTCACAGCTGCCCCTTCCCCCAGCTGTTCTGTCCCAGAGAGATGGGAGTTTTATCTGTAAGCCCCTGATTGGGGCTAGGGTCTTTCTTTCAGAGATGCCCTGCTCAGTGAGGAGGAATCTAGAGAGGCAGTCTGGCTACAGTGGCTTTGCTGCACTGTGGTGGGTTCCACCCAGTCTGAACTTCCTGGTATCTTCGTTTATACTGTGAGGGGAAAACTGCTTACTCAAGCCTCAGTAATGGTGGATCCCCCTGCCCCCACCAAGCTCAAGTGTCCCAGATTGACTTCAGACTTCTGTGCTAGCAGTGAGAATTTCAAGCCAGTGGATCTTAGCTTGCTGGACTCTGTGGGGGTGGGACCCGCTGGGCAAGACCACTTGGCTCCATGGCTTCAGCCCCCTTTCCAGGGGACTGAATGGTTTTGTCTCACTGGGGTTCCGGGCGCCACTAGGGTATGAAAAAAAAACCGCAGATAGCTCGGTGTCTGCCCAAACAGCCACTCAGTTTTGTGCTTGAAACTCAGGGCCCAGGTGGTGTAGGCACCCGAGGGAATCTACTGGTCTGAGGGTTGCAAAGACCATGGGAAAAGCATAGTATCTGGGCCAGATAGCACCATCCCTCACGGCACAGTCCCTCACAGCTTCCCTTGGCTTGGGGTGGGAGTTCCCCGGCCCCTTGTACTTCCCAGGTTAGGCAATGCCCCACCCTGCTTCTGCTCTCCCTCTCTGGGCTGCACCCACTATCTAATCAGTCTCAGTGAGATGAATTGGGTACCTCAGTTGGAAATGCAGAAATCGCACACCTTCTTCATTGGTCTCCCTGGGAGCTGCAGACTGGAGCTGTTCCTATTTGGCCATCTTGCCAGATCACTAGATTAATTTTCTTCACAGCACTTCATGTTAAAAAGCAACATTTGTTCTTTATTTCCTATGTGAAGGTAAGCTGCTTGAAGGCAAGTAGTTTACCCCATTGCCAGGAAGGGTGTCTAGCATATAGTAACCACTAAATAAATATTTGCTGAGTGAATGAATAACTTTACCTCAGAAGGAAGGAAGGATTTTAAACACAATCCCAAGGCCAGTTCCTCTCACCTCACATGTTTCCATGTCGTGACTCTGCTGGGCTGTGGCAAGGTGCTCTGACACTCAGAACCTCTGGAATACATGTGACATTGCCACTCCCAGATTTTCCCACTGTCATTCATTCCTACCCTGTCCTTCTTCATCATTAGTCAATAGCAGTGCCAGTTACCCTCTCCACCTTTGTAGTACAGACAATTCCTCGTTTCTCTGGCTGGTTCAGACCTTATTTGCTGGGCCCGTGACAACCAGCAGGGACAGGAAAAAGGCTGTCAGATTGCTCCCCTTCTGGAGGTAAAAAATTAGAAGGTCACAAATGTGTTTATTTTATTTTATTTTATTTTATTTTATTATTATTATACTTTAAGTTTTAGGGTACATGTGCAAAATGTGCAGGTTTGTTACATATGTATACATGTGCCATGTTGCTGTGCTGCACCCATTAACTCGTCATTTAGCATTAGGTATATCTCCAAATGCTATCCCTCCCCCCTCCCCCCACCCCACAACAGTCCCTGGAGTGTGATGTTCCCCTTCCTGTGTCCATGTGTTCTCATTGTTCAATTCCCACCTATGAGTGAGAACATGCGGTGTTTGGTTTTTTTGTCCTTGCCATAGTTTGCTGAGAATGATGGTTTCCAGCTTCATCCATGTCTCTACAAAGGACATGAACTCATCCTTTTTTATTGCTGCATAGTATTCCATGGTGTATATGTGCCACATTTTCTTAATCCAGTCTATCATTGTTGGACATTTGGGTTGGTTCCAAGTCTTTGCTATTGTGAATAGTGCCACAATAAACATATCTGTGCATGTGTCTTTATAGCTGCATGATTTATAATCCTTCGGGTATATACCCAGTAATGGCATGAATGAGTCAAATGGTATTTCTAGTTCTAGATCCCTAAGGAATCGCCACACTGACATCCACAATGGTTGACCTAGTTTACAGTCCCACCAACAGTGTAAAAGTGTTCCTATTTCTCCATATCCTCTCCAGCACCTGTTGTTTCCTGACATTTTAATGATCGCCATTCTAACTGGTGTGAGATGGTATCTCATTGTGGTTTTGATTTGCATTTCTCTGGTGGCCAGTGATGGTGAGCATTTTTTCATGTGTTTTTTGGCTGCATAAATGTCTTCTTTTGAGAAGTGTCTGTTCATATCCTTCACCCACTTTTTGATGGGGTTGTTTGTTTTTTTCTTGTAAATTTGTTTGAGTTCATTGTAGATTCTGGATATTAGCCCTTTGTCAGATGAGTAGGTTGTGAAAATTTTCTCCCATTTTGTAGGTTGCCTGTTCACTCTGATGGCAGTTTCTTTTGCTGTGCAGAAGCTCTTTAGTTTAATTAGATCCCATTTGTCAATTTTGGCTTTTGTTGCCTTGCTTTTGGTGTTTTAGACATGAAGTCCTTGCCCCTGCCTATGTCCTGAATGGTATTGCCTAGGTTTTCTTCTAGGGTTTTGGTGGTTTTAGGTCTAACATGTAAGTCTTTAGTCCATCTTTAATTAATTTTTGTATAAGGTGTAAGGAAGGGATCCAGTTTCAGCTTTATACTTATGGCTAGCCAGTTTTCCCAGCACCATTTATTAAATAGGGAATCCTTTCCCCATTGCTTGTTTCTGTCAGCTTTGTCAAAGATCAGATAGTTGTAGATATGCGGCATTATTTCTGAGGGCTCTGTTCTGTTCCATTGATCTATATCTCTGTTTTGGTACCAGTACCATTTTTTTTTTTTACTGTAGCCTTGTAGTATAGTTTGAAGTCAGGTAGCGTGATGCCTCCGGCTTTGTTCTTTTGTCTTAGGATTGACTTGGTGATGTGGGCTCTTTTTTGGTTCCATATGAACTTTAAAGTAGTTTTTTCCAATTCAGTGAAGAAAGTCATTGGTAGCTTGATGGGGATGGCATTGAATCTATAAATTACCTTGGGAAGTATGGCCATTTTCACGATATTGATTCTTCCTACCCATGAGAATAGAATGTTCTTCCATTTGTTTGTATCCTCCTTTATTTCATTGAACAGTGGTTTCTAGTTCTCCTTGAAGAGGTCCTTCACATCCCTTGTAAGTTGGATTCCTAGGTATTTTATTCTCTTTGAAGCAATTGTGAATGGGAGTTCACTCATGATTTGGCTCTCTGTTTGTCTGTTATTGGTGTATAAGAATGCTTGTGATTTTTGCACATTGATTTTTGTATCCTGAGACTTTGCTGAAGTTGCTTATCAGCTTAAGGAGATTTTGGGCAGAGACAATGGGGTTTTCTAGATATACAATCATGTCATCTGCAAACAGGGACAATTTGACTTCCTCTTTTCTTATTTGAATACCCTTTATTTCCTTCTCCTGCCTGATTGCCCTGGCCAGAACTTCCCACACTATGTTGAATAGGAGTGGTGAGAGAGGGCATCCCTGTCTTGTGCCAGTTTTCAAAGGGAATGCTTCCAGTTTTTGCCCATTCAGTATGATATTGGCTGTGGGTTTGTCATAGATAGCTCTTATTATTTTGAGATACGTCCCATCAATACCTAATTGATTGAGAGTTTTTAGCATGAAGCGTTGTTGAATTTTGTCAAAGGCCTTTTCTGCATCTATTGAGATAATCTTGTGGTTTTTGTCTTTGGTTCTGTTTATATGCTGGATTACATTTATTGATTTGGGTATGTTGAACCAGCCTTGCATCCCAGAGATGAAGCCCACTTGATCATGGTGGATAAGCTTTTTGATGTGCTGCTGGATTCGGTTTCCAGTATTTTATTGAGGATTTTTGCATCAATGTTCATCAAGGCTATTGGTCTAAAATTCTCTTTTTTGGTTGTGTCTCTGCCAGGCTTTGGTATCAGGATGATGCTGGCCTCATAAAATGAGTTAGGGAGGATTCCCTCTTTTTCTATTGATTGGAATACTTTCAGAAGGAATGGTACCAGCTCCTCCTTGTATTTCTGGTAGAATTTGGCTGTGAATCCATATGGTCCTGGACTTTTTTTGGTTGGTAAGCTATTGATTATTGCCACAATTTCAGAGCCTGTTATTGGTCTATGCAGGATTCAGCTTCTTCCTGGTTTAGTCTTGGGAGGGTGTATGTGTCGAGGAATTTATCCATTTCTTCTAGATTTTCTAGTTTATTTTCTAGTTATTTTCTAGTGTAGAGGTTTTTGTAGTATTCTCTGATGGTAGTTTGTATTTCTGTGGGATCGGTGGTGATATCCACTTTATCATTTTTTATTGCATCTATTTGATTCTTCTCTCTTTTCTTCTTTATTAGTCTTGCTAGCAGTCTATCAATTTTGTTGATCTTTTCAAAAAACCAGCTGCTGGATTCATTAATTGTTTGAAGGGTTTTTTGTGTCTCTATTTCCTTCAGTTCTGCTCTGATCTTAGTTATTTCTTGCCTTCTGCTAGCTTTTGAATGTGTTTGCTCTTGCTTTTCTGGTTCTTTTAATTGTGATGTTAGGGTGTCAATTTTGGATCTTTCCTGCTTTCTCTTGTGGGCATTTAGTGCTATAAATTTCCCTCTACACACTGCTTTGAATGTGTCCCAGAGATTCTGGTATGTTGTGTCTTTGTTCTCGTTGGTTTCAAAGAACATCTTTATTTCTCCCTTCATTTTGTTATGTACCCAGTAGTCATTCAGGAGCAGGTTGTTCAGTTTCCATGTAGTCGAGCGGTTTTGAGTGAGTTTCTTAATCCCGAGTTCTAGTTTGATTGCACTGTGGTCTGAGAGACAGTTATAGTTTCTGTTCTTTTACATTTGCTGAGGAGTGCTTTACTTCCAACTATGTGGCCAATTTTGGAATAGGCGTGGTGTGGTGCTGAAAAAAATGTATATTCTGTTGATTTGGGGTGGAGAGTTCTGTAGATGTCTATTAGGTCTGCTTGGTGCAGAGCTGAGTTCAATTCCTGGGTATGCTTGTTAACTTTCTGTCTTGTTGATCTGTCTAATGTTGACAGTGGGGTGTTAAAGTCTCCCGTTATTATTGTGTGGGAGTCTAAGTCTCTTTGTAGGTCACTCAAGGCTTGCTTTATGAATCCGGGTGCTCCTGTATTGGGTGCATATATATTTAGGATAGTTAGCTCTTCTTGTTGAATTGATCCCTTTACCATTATGTAATGGCCTTCTTTGTCTCTTTTGATCTTTGTTGGTTTAAAGTCTGTTTTATCAGAGACTAGGATTGCAACCCCTGCCTTTTTTTGTTTTCCATTTGCTTGGTAGATCTTCCTCCATCCCTTTATTTTGAGCCTATGTGTGCCTCTGCACGTGAGATGGGTTTCCTGAATACAGCACACTGATTTGTCTTGACTCTTTATCCAATTTGCCAGTCTGTGTCTTTTAATTGGAGCATTTAGTCCATTTACATTTAAAGTTAATATTGTTATGTGTGAATTTGGTCCTGTCATTATGATGTTAGCTGATTATTTTGCTCGTTAGTTGATGCAGTTTCTTCCTAGCCTCGATGGTCTTTACATTTTGGCATGTTTTTGCAGTGGCTGGTACTGGTTGTTCTTTTCCATGTTTAGTGCTTCCTTCAGGAGCTCTTTTAGGGCAGGCCTGGTGGTGACAAAATCTCTCAGCATTTGCTTGTCTGTAAAGTATTTTATTTCTCCTTCACTTATGAAGCTTAGTTTGGCTGGATATGAAATTCTGGGTTGAAAATTCTTTTCTTTAAGAATGTTGAATATTGGCCCCCACTCTCTTCTGGCTTGTAGAGTTTCTGCCGAGAGATCCACTGTTAGTCTGATGGGCTTCCCTTTGTGGTTAACCCGACCTTTCTCTCTGGCTGCCCTTAACATTTTTTCCTTCATTTCAACTTTGGTGAATCTGACAATTATGTGTCTTGGAGTTGCTCTTCTCGAGGAGTACCTTTGTGGCGTTCTCTGTATTTCCTGAATCTGAATGTTGGCCTGCCTTGCTAGATTGGGGAAGTTCTCCTGGATAATATCCTGCAGAGTGTTTTCCAACTTGGTTCCATTCTCCCCGTCACTTTCAGGTACACCAATCAGATGTAGATTTGGTCTTTTCACATAGTCCCATATTTCTTGGAGGCTTTGTTCATTTCTTTTTATTCTTTTTTCTCTAAACTTCCCTTCTCGCTTCATTTCATTCATTTCATCTTCCATCACTGATACCCTTTCTTCCAGTTGATCGCATCGGCTCCTGAGGCTTCTGCATTCTTCATGTTGTTCTCGAGCCTTGGCTTTCAGCTCCATCAGCTCCTTTAAGGACTTCTCTCCATTGGTTATTCTAGGTATCCATTCATCTAATTTTTTTTCAAAGTTTTTAACTTCTTTGCCATTGGTTTGAATTTCCTCCTGTAGCTCGGAGTAGTTTGATCGTCTGAAGTCTTCTTCTCTCAGCTCGTGAAAGTCATTCTCCGTCCAGCTTTGTTCCGTTGCTGGTGAGGAGCTGCGTTCCTTTGGAGTAGGAGAGGTGCTCTGCTTTTCAGAGTTTCCAGTTTTTCTGCTCTGTTTTTTCCCCATCTTTGTGGTTTTGTCTACTTTTGGTCTTTGATGATGGTGACGTACAGATGGGTTTTTGGTGTGGATGTCCTTTCTGTTTGTTAGTTTTCCTTCTAACAGACAGGACCCTCAGCTGCAGGTCTGTTGGAGTTTGCTAGAGGTCCACTCCAGACCCTGTTTGCCTGGGTATCAGCAGCAGTGGCTGCAGAACAGTGGTGGCTGTAGAACAGCAGATGTTGGTGAACCGCAAATGCTGCTGCCTGATCGTTCCTCTGGAAGTTTTGTCTCAGAGGAGTACCCGGCCATGTGCAGTGTCAGTCTGCCCCTACTGGGGGGTGCCTCCCAGTTAGGCTGCTTGGGGGTCAGGGACCCACTTGAGGAGGCAGTCTGTCCGTTCTCAGATCTCCAGCTGTGTGCTGGTAGAACCACTACTCTCTTCAAAGCTGTCAGACAGGGACATTTAAGTCTGCAGAGGTTACTGCTGTCTTTTTGTTTGTCTGTGCCCTGCCCCCAGAGGTGGAGCCTACAGAGGCAGGCAGGCCTCCTTGAGCTGTGGTGGGCTCCACCCAGTTCAAGCTTCCTGGCTGCTTTGTTTACCTAATCAAGCCTGGGCAATGGCAGGCGCCCCTCCCCCAGCCTGGCTGCCACCTTGCAGTTTGATCTCAGACTGCATGCTAGCAATCAGCGAGACTCCGTGGGCGTAGGACCCTCTGAGCCAGGTGCAGGATATAACCTCTTGGTGTGCCGTTTTTTAAGCCCATTGGAAAAGTGCAGTATTTGGGTGGGAGTGACCCGATTTTCCAGGTGCCGTCTGTCACCCCTTTCTTTGTCTAGGAAAGGGAACTCCCTGACCCCTTGCACTTCCCGAGTGAGGCAATGCCTCGCCCTGCTTCCGCTCGCACACAGTGCGCTGCACCCAGTGTCCTGCTCCCACTGTCTGGCACTCCCTAGTGAGATGAACCCAGTACCTCAGATGGAAATGCAGAAATCACCCGTCTTCTGCGTCGCTCACGCTGGGAGCTGTAGACGGCAGCTGTTCCTATTCGGCCATCTTGGCTCTACCCCCCACAAATGTGTTTTTCAATCTACCCAGTCTTGTAGTTTATAAAAATTCCTCCTAGAATTGGGCAATAGCTTGACTGTCAGTACTAGCTCTGGCCGGTGTAAATACTTAATTTCATTCTGGATTTTCTTGGATGTTAATAAAAAATTGGGACACTAGGCATCAGTCTTCCCACTACAGTCTCCTATCAAATAGAACTACCTTTCTCCCTTTATTTTACAATATACAGCCCCAGTCAACAAATAAACACATTTGTCTTCTTCCCCAACCCCCTCATACCCAGAAACTGGAAGCCAAAGGTAATGAGGAATTAGGCAGAGTGTATAATTTTCATTAAAAGATTTGTTTACCCATTTCTTGAAAGCTACTTTCAGAAGTGTGAGGTTCCCACTAAAAGAAGTGAACTCTGATGCTGACTTTAATGATTCTAGGTTTGAACTGAACACACCTCCCATGGTGAGAATGTGGAGTGGCAGGTGGCACTTCTGGAAGATGGGCCATGTTCCTGCCTGTTTGTCCCTCCTCACCCCTGTTCCCAACTATGACTATAGCAGTTCTGGCCTGTAAATATGTATGACAAGCAGAGACGTAGCATCTTTCAGGGCTCTACAGTGAGGATTTCCACAGCTGGGGACCCAGCAGAGGGAGAGGCAGCTCATTCAAGGGGAACAACAAGTTATCTTGACATAATGGGCCTGGAATGTAGATGTGGGATCTGTCAAAGGAGCTTCTCTGTTCTCCATATTGACAGCTCATGCTTGCTCCATGACATGCTTGCTGCAGAAACATGACCTGGAACTGATGTGTTCTGACAGAAACAAGCTGGGGGATTTTGGGCATGCTCTGTCTGTCTTTCTGTCTCTCTCTCTGCCTTTTTCTCTCCTCACTGATGGTGCTGAACTGTTGAAGAGGAATGGGGTCATGTAGCTGTCAGAAGAGGGTCCCCAGTCCCACCGTCATTGCCTTCTTGAAAGCCATGCTTCTTGGCCTATTAAATCCACACGGAGGCTGTTCCTGGAACTCTTGGAAGAATGTGCTGTTATCTGAATGTGGGATTTTACTGTACATAGAATACAACTCTGTTGTGATATCTGCAAAACAGGGATTGAAAGAATGAAAAAAAAAAAAAAGAAAAAGAAACCCACTTGTAGAGACAGGTAAGTGTGGTAACCAAGATAACCAGAATGTAATATAGAAAAAGGACACTTTTAATTTTGATGTTGAAAGATAAATAATCTATTATGATGAGTCTTGTTCGGTATGATCAGCCTATATTGGTACAATTGAACTCTCTATATAGCCTTAAAATTTCTTTTCGGGAGTGAGTATTAATCAAATTTTACTTTGAAAAATTCTACGCAGATGATCAACATTATATTAATCAATTCATTCAACAAGTATTTAAAGAGTATTTACTATTTGTTAGGTACTGGGAATATAATGGTGTAGAAGAGGAGGATGTCTCCCATGGGGTTTGTCTTTATCAAAGGCTGAGACTGATCAAAACAAGTACACAAATAGGAGAATTACAACATCTGATAAAGTATATGAAAGAAATGAATGAGGGGCTAAACAAGAGAATATGAAGGAGGAGTAAGGGACTTAAGCTAATATTTATAGTGAGATTCCAAAGATAAGATTAGAATATTCACATGAGGAATTGGGAAAGAGCATCCCAGGAAGGGGTAGCAGTGGATTCAATGGCCCTATGATAGGAGAGGGCAGGATCTGTCCAAGGAACTGACAGAAAACCAGTGTGGCAGAAGTTAGGAGGGGTAAGGGGGAAAAGGAGCTGAAGAAATGGGCAAGGGCAATATGGAGGACATGGCAAGGAGTTTGGATTTTGTTCTACATGTGATGGGAAGCCAGTAAAGACATTTAAGTTGGAAAGTGACATAATCCATTATGCACACACAGGCACACACTTTATAAAACAAAAAACAATATCAGACTTCAAGTACAGCCTTTTCCTCAGAACCATTTGAGAGTAAGTTGCAATATGATGCCCTATATTAGTTATCTATTGTTGTCTAACAAATTACCCTAAAGCTTAGCAGCTTTAGGAATGAGATTATGTATTTAGAATGTATTTAATTCTAAAATAAAGGGAGAAAGGAAGTTCTGTTTGCCCGCAGACAGCAGAATGTAGTTTGAAGACTGATGCCTTGTGTCCCAACTTTTCATTAAAATCCAAGAAAATCCAGAAAGAAATGTAAATACTAAACAACATTTATTATCTCAGAGTTTCTGTGGGTCAAAATCCAGGTGTGGTTTGGCTGGGTCATCTGCCTCAGAGACTCTCAGAAGTCTTTGAACAAGGTGTTGGCTAGGGCTGCAATCTCACTCAAACACTCAACTGTAGGAAGATTCACTTCCAAGCTCTTTCAAGTGGTCATTGGCAGGATTTAGCCCCTTTTAGGCTTCTGAACTAAGGCCTTCAGTTGCTTTCTGAGGATTCAGTTCCTCACTGGCATGTGGCTGGAGGCCTCCCTCAGTTCCTTGCCATGTACTTCCCATTATGGGGAAGCTCACAGCATGGAAGCTGACTTCTCAGTGTGAGTGAGCAAGAAAAGGAGAAAGAGTATCCAAGATGGCAGCCACAATCTTTTTGTAACCAAAAAGGCTAATCTCATAAGTGATATGCCATCATTTTTGCTGTGTTCTATTATTTGGAAGTGAGTCACTGGGCATAGATGTAACTCAGTGGGTGGGGATTATATGAGTGCGTGAATATCAAGAGGAAAGGATCATGGAGACATTTTAAAGGCTGCCTACCATGTGACCCATCAACCCAACCACTTTATAACAAGGATATTCTCCTACTACTCAAAATACGATCCCACAAATCAGGAAATTAAATCAATACATTACTTTTTTTTTTTTTTAAGATAGTCTTGCTCTGTCACCTAGGCTCTCGGCTCACTAAAACCTCCGCCTCCTGGCTTCAAGCCATCCTCCTGCCTCCTGAGTAGCTGAGATTACAGGTGCACACCAACACACCCAGTTACTTTTTGTATTTTTAGTAAAGATGGGGTTTCACCATGTTGGCCAGGCTGGGCTTGAACTCCTGACCTCAAATGGTCCACCCACCTGGGTCTCCCAAAGTGCTGAGATTACAGTCAATACATTACTATTAACTAATCCTTGGACCCTATTCAAGTTTTGCCAATGTCACAATAATGTCCTTTATAGCAAAAGGATTCCATTCAAAATCATGCTTTGCTTTTAGGTAGCATATCTCTAGTTTTCCTCAATCTGCTATAGTGCCCTACCTTTCTTCGATGGCCATGATCTTGACACTTTGCAAGATTGGAGGCTACTTTGTAGACATCTCTCAATTGTGGTGTTTCTGATGTCACTTTATGATTAAATTCAGGTTATGTATAATTGGCAGGAATATCATCAGAATGATGCATTACATCCTATAAAGTGGTGCATGGTTTTGAGCAACCTATTTAAGCCAGTGGTTTTAACTTTGATCACCTGATTATGGTCAGGTAAGAGCCAGGCCTCTCCACTGAAAAGTTACCTTTAAAATTTGTTATTTTATTTAATGAATAATTATTTAGTATGATCACTATTTTTTTGGTGCTAAAATAGTTCCAGATGTGACCAGTGGCAACCCTTTCAAGGTGGCTTCTGTGTTCTTTTGATATGTTTCCATCATTTTATGAACACTTTCTCGATTTCTCACACAAAACATTTTCCACAGTCATCTAGTACTTCCCTTGCCCCAGGCTTGGGATGATCCATTTCAATTAGGAGCCCTGGTTCTTTTTAGTAGAAAATGGTATTTAGACACTAAGATTTGTGCTTATTGTTACTTGGGCTTCACTGCTCCCAGGCTTTCTCAGTGGACAGAGTTAGGGAGCTATATGTGTATGTATGTGTGTATGTTTACACATATTTACCTCTGTTGATTTTTATGTCCATTGGTGTATATTGGAGATCATGAATTCATACTGCTGCCTCCAATTCCAGTGCAACACCACAGGGTAAATCCTATTTTTATACCTTTCCATATTTGTAGCCCTTTTCTCCCACAGTGAGAAATATGGCTTTCATTACCCTTAATCTATTTAACTTATTTGATCAGCATCCCTGCATATAATCAATCTCCCATTTCTGCCGCCAACCCTCTGCGCCTCCCCGCGTTGACAATCTCACCCACTCAGGCTCTAACAGCCATGCCAGGCTATTGCCATCTCCTTGCCCTCCTATGTGGATATCCTTCTCACTCATCCAGGCTTAGGCAATACCCATCAAGCTCTCTCCCCACATGGATGCCCTCCTGAGCTTTCCCTGGGTTCTGACCCCCGTTTCTGGTCATTGTGGCCAATCCCCCACAATATGAATGCCTATGTTGTGTAACACCAATGAATGGCTTAGGGGCTGAATTGTTGAGGAAGGGTAAAGAAACACAGGAAAAAGAAAAAGGAGGAGAAGGAAGAAGAGCTATGGTATATTTTAAACCAACATCCCTTACATTTATATGGAGCGTGAATTGGAGAAGACAGGAACTGAAGCAGGGAAACTAGTTAAGGGGCTAATGTGCAAGGTCTGGTGAGAGGTGATTGTGGCATAATTGTGGTATGATGTAAGGGGCAGGCAGAGGAGAGAAAAATACATATTTGGAGAGTTGAAAGCACTTTTTCTTGGATTACATGCAGAAGGTAAGGGAAAGGTAGAAATTAAGGAAAATTCCTAGATTTATAGCTTGAACAACTGTTAGAAAATGATGCTCTTGGGCCAGGCACAGTAGCTCATGCCTGCAATCCCAGCATTTTGGGAGGCCAAGGTGGGTGAATCACCTGAGATCAGGAGTTCGAGACCAGCCTGGCCAACACGGTGAAACCTCATCTGTACTAAAAATACAAAAAAAATAGCCAGGTGTGGTGGCGGGCACCTGTAATCCCAGCTACTTGGTGGGCTGAGGCAGGAGAACTGCTTGAACCGGGGAGGCAGAGGTTGCAGTGAGCCAAGATCGCGCCATTGCACTCCACCCTGGGCAACAAGAGCAAAACTCTATCCCCTCCCCTACCTCCCTGCACCCGCTCCCCCCACCGCACCCCGCCAAAAAAAAAAAGAAAAAGAAAATGATGCTATTTAATAAGATAGGAAGAAATTGGGGTTGGGGTGCAGTGTGTTAAGAAAAATCAATAATTATTTTTCAAATCTGTCAAGCTGAAGATACATGCGTGAAACATTCAAAAGATGTTAAGTAGGCACATGGCTATATGGTAGCAAACTCAAACCAGAAGTCTGGGTTGGCAATATAAATTTGAGAGTCATGAACATAAAGAAAGGGCAGAGAGAGAGAGAACATTCAGGAATGACCCTCAGCAGCCCCCAGAATCAAATGCCAGACCCAGCAAGCAAGCTTGAGAAGGACAGGCTAGTGGCAGAGGAAAAAGCACAGAAAAACAAAAGTGATAACAGAGAACGAAGAAACGTGCTTCAAGAAGGCAGTCATAATTTCTTATTTCAAATATTATTAAGAAGACAAGCATGAGAATCCAAATCTTCATTGGCTTTAGCAATAAGCAAGTTGCTATGGACAAAACTGTGTTCTCCTCCACACCACCCCAACCCTACAAAATTCATCTATTGAAGCCCCTGCTTCCAATGTGATTGTATTTGGAGACAGAGCTTTTAGAAGCTAATTAAGGTTGAATGAGGTCATAATGGTGTAATCCTAATACATAGAATTGGTGGCTTTATAAAAAGAGGAAGATCTCTCTCTGTCTCTCTCCCCGCTACCCCTCAACCACACATATGTACAAATAAACCAAGAAAAGGTCATGTGAAGACACAGTGTGAAGGTGGCCATCTGCAAGCCGGAAGGAGCACCCTCACAAGAAACCAAATCCTGCTGGCACCTTGATCTTGGATTTTCCAGCCTCTAGAACTGTGAAAAATTAAATTTTTGTTGTTTAACCGACTCAATCTATGATATTTTGTTATGGTAGCTGGAGCTGACTAATACAAAAGTCATTGGTGATCTTGACAATATTAAATTCAGTGGGATGGTTCAGGAAGAAATCAGAATATAGTGGATTAAATAGAGACATACAAGAAAATGGAAATGTGGTATGAAACAACTGTTTTGTGAGGTTTGCTCTGAATGACAGAAGAAATGGTGCTGTCCTGGAGGAGCATTTAGAATCAAGAATGAGTCAAATGGGTGATTTTGGAATCTGTTCATATGTGGAGGGTGATGATCTCAGAGGAGGAGACTGATAAGGCAGACTGAGGAGATAACCTAAAAGGGAAATCCTGGAGGGTACTTGTGGTTGTTGACAAAGTGGAGGATTAACCTTTTATATGAATAGTCTCCGTGGTGATGGAAAAAGATAAAGACACTATGGATTAACAAATACATTTGTCATGTAGGAGAATGGACATCTAAAAACCATAACCTGACTTTTTTTTTCTTTGTTTTCTGGGTTTCTCTCTCTTGCTGACCTTCTACTATAAGGTTAAATTACACATATTATTGCCCCAAGGAAGAAGTGGAGGGTACTGTCTTGAGTAAAGCACAAATAATAGAAGAGGAGGAGAAAACGATATGAGGGGACTTCCTGCCAGGCAGGCAAGGGGAGGACAAAGGGAGGAGAGGCCAGAGAGAAGTATAAAAGAAAGAAGCAGCCACACGAATGCTCTTGAGGTCTAACTTGAGAGTATGTTATATTGGAAAGTTCTAGATAGATTTGTAGAAAACAAAATTTATATGGCCAGTACTTACTTTCCTGAGACACAGCCTGGGGTGGTTGAAATCCTCTCAAATGAGCCCTACATTTGAGGAGGCATCATCTCCAAGAAGGCAAAGGAATGGGAGAGAAATCAAGGCTGAAAGAGATGCTTGAAAGATGCTTCAACAAACATTTCCATCAACACAAAGCCTCTCCCACAGGTTTGAGAAAGCAGCTGGTTCCAGCCCCCAGTGGTGGCGGAAGTGCTGAGAGGAGCCAAGGCTCAGAATAAGACTGAGGTTGAGATGGGAGTCTGTGATGTGGTGAGAGACCAGGGTATCATCTGTGGAGGCTGCTGGATGGCCAGAAGCCCACTAGAATGACTTATCCCCTAGTGGGATTGGGGGCTCAAAGGAGAGGAGGTGGACCAGAGGCCTCTCTCCCACTGCTGTGAACTCACAGAGGGTTCCCCTATGTCCAGATGCTACCTAAGGAGAAGAGAAAGACAACAGGAAATGGAAAACACTTTGAAAAATTGAGTATTTACTTCCACAGAGACTATTTAACCAACAGCTTCTTTTAAATGGAAAGAAACCAAGTTACTCTTAGTAAACTTGTTATCATTTTTTTGTGTGTGTGTGGAAATGAGAACTTCAGAGAAAGATGGGGTCAATTAGACATAAAGAAAAAAAGTCACCCTTTCCCTAAACATGGGCTGTGATATAAATTTTGACAGCAATACAGTAGGTTTATTGGTGAGACAATGAGTGAAATTGCATTGAATGGCTTCTGTGTTGCTCGTGAAATGTGAGGTGTGAGTGACAGTTGAGAGGAAGGGTTAAGGGAGAGGTGTGGGAGTTTGAGGAAAGAGGAGAACGTATAATATTACTATCTCAGGGGTATTCAAAATGCACATCAGTATATATATACTGAGACCGAGTATATATATTTTGAGACTGAGTCTCTCGCTCTGTTGCCCAGGCTGGCATGATCTTGGCTCACCACAATCTCCATCTCCTGGGCAACAGAGCGATTCTCCTGCCTCAGCCTCCTGAGTAGCTGGGACGACAGGCACATGCCCGGTTAATGTTTATATTTTTAGTAGTGACAGGGTTTCACTATGTTGGCCAGGCTGGTCTCGAACTCCTGACCTTGTGATCTGCCTGCCTCAGCCTCCCAAAGTGCTGGGATTACAGGCGTGAGCCACCGCTCCCGGCCTGCACATCAGTAGCTTAAAGTCTCTGAGAAGCCCTATTTTGTGAAAAAGCCACCTACTTAAATTTATATACAAGCTGAGGAAGATTCACGTTTGATGGGTATCAAAGTTTATACAATCTGAAGGTCCTTTTTAAGAAAAAGAACACAGAATTATGAACACAAAATTCAGAACAGAGCCTTGGAAGGGACTTATGAAAACAAGAAGATTTAGCTTCCTTAGCTTTACCATAGACCCACTTGTATCTACATGTTACAATGCCTGTATTTGCTCACCCAAAGACTTTCCCCTCCTCATGCCTACTAATAACTCCCAGAACAGGCTTGATTCACAGCAATTTGGGATGTGCTGGCACAGACTGTTGCAGCTTTCCCTAACTTGTTTCCTTTCTTCCATTCTTCATCTAAAATGTAAATACATCATCCCACAGCGTTATTTTTCTAGACATGATTTTTCTAGGACACCAGCCTCATCCCCACAATCCATCTCTCTTCATGACTTAGGTTCCAACCTCTCTAGATGAGCGCCTTCCCCACTTATTAGACCACAACCCACAATAAGAAGTATGTTTTACATTATGACCCAATACTCATACATATCATTGAAAAAAATTTCACAAAACCAACCTTAACTTTTCTATGTGTGATGCACTCTAATTGTCTTGCTGATATACTCCATATACAAAAATAATCCTGGTAGGGCCACAGTAAAATAATTCTTACAGCCGGCAGGTTGAGAAACACTCCCTGGTCAGCATTGCACCCCTAATGCTTTTTTATGCTGCCATGCTTTGCTTTTGTGGCTCCCTCACTTTTGTGGATTGTCCTTTACCCCTGTTATGACTCTGCAAATCCTTTTCACCCCTCCAGTTTCAACTCATATTCTACCTTTTATATAAAGCCATCATCCGTTGAATCCTCTGTGCTCTCCAACATTTTGCATTCACATTGCTATGGGAAATATTTCATTCTGCTTTTGATTATAATTAATTATGTAAAATTCAGTCCTTTTTACTTCATTGTAAAGTCCTTGAGGGCAGGATCAGGTCATTTATAGACGTGGTCATTTCTATAAATCCTACAGCATCCAGCACCCAGTACCTTGCAAATTATTAAAGTAGGAAGAAATTAAAGTGGCTCACAAGGTTGTTGTGAGGATTCAATGAGATAATATATTTTAACAATAGTGGTATAACTAATATTTATGATAACTTGTTTTAAAATGAAGTAGCTGGCTTATGGTTGCACAAATAATAACTGGTGTTGCCAGGACTCAAGGCAAGCCCGATATTGGTAGCCACCACATTACTGTCTTATTCAAGTGCTTAGCCCATAGGAAGGATTCAGTAACTGGTAACTATTATTGTCACTTAACAAAAGGGTGTTGAATCAAAGCTGAATGAATGAATTAGACAGAGACTGTAGATTATGTATAATAGCCTTTGGGCCTAGGGATAATTCCATTCATCATTCTGCTATTAGTTTGCTATTTAGTCTGCTGTTTTATTTTTCTGTGTGAGTGGTTGTGACTATATGATTAAAAATCACCAGATGAGGAAAATGAATTTACTGTCTTCAGTAGTCTTAACGGCCACATCAGATTAACTGCAAGACTGATTCAACTATGAACAAATTAGACATTAAGATAGATGAAAAAAATCCAATTTGACCAAAAATAATTTTGAGACTGCATAGATAAAACTAATTTTCTTCCTTTGTGCACTTTAGTTCAATTCAGTCTTTCAAATATATGGTGTAAGGCACTGCAGGAAAATATATGGTGTAAGGCACTGCAAAAAAAAAAAAAAAAGCAATGTCTTTTGTTACCAAGGAATGTATAATCAAGTGTGAATATCTTGGGGGTGGGGGTAAAGGAATATGATGTCTATCTAAATAAACAACCTTAATAGAAGGCAGAGCAAGAGCTGTTTCACGAGGTTTCAATGAGCTCTGAGGCTCCAAGGAGGAATGAATTGTTTCTCCAATGAGGGAATTGTAGAGGGGAAAGGTATTAAAAAGTGGAATGGACAAATGTGATTCTGGTTCTCAAAATGAAGAAGCAGCATTTTTTCACTAAAGATCATTGGGAAGTGTATAGATTCCAAGTAAGATTCTAGTATTAATTATTAACAGGATGGCGGTGAGAAAGGAATCTGGTGATCACAAATATTGAAAAAGTCTGCTGTGAAGAATTGTTACCAATCCTATTGACACTATTCGACAAGATAGAGAAAGAGGGAACCCTCCCTAAGTCATTCTATAAAGCCATTATCACCCTAATACCAAAACCAGGAAAGGACATAACCAAAAAAGGAAACTATAGACAGATATTGCTGGTGAACATAGATGCTAAAATGCTTAACAAAATACTAACTAACCGAATCCAACAATATGTCAAAAAGATAATCTACCATGATCAACTGGGGTTCATACAAGGGTTGCAGAGATGGTTTAACATATGCAAGTCAACAAATGTGATACACCACATAAACATAATTAAAAACAAAAATCACATGATCATCTGAATAGATGCAGAAAAAGCATTCAACAAAATCCAGCATCGCTTTATGATAAAAACTCTAAGCAAAATCAGCATACAAGGGACATACCTCAATGTAATAAAAGCCACCTATGACAAACCCACAGCCAACATAATACTGAATGGGAAAAAGTTGAAAGCATTCCCTCTGAGAACTGGAACAAGACAAGGATGCCCAATCTTACCACTCCTCTTCAACATAGTACTGGAAGTCCTAGCCAGAGCAATCAGACAAGAGAAAAAAATAAAGGACATCCAAATCTGTAAAAAGTAAGTCAAACTGTCACTGCTTGCAGATAATATTATTGTTTAACTCAAAAACCTTAAAGACTCCTCCAGAAAGCTCTTAGAACTGATAAAAGAATTCAGCAAAGTTTCCAGATACAATACTGATGTAAACAAATCAGTAGCTCTTCTATACACCAACAGCGACCAAGCGCAGAATCAAATCAAGAACTCATAGCCTTTCACAATAGCTGAAAAAGAAAATACTTAGGAATATACTTAACCAAGGAGGTGAAAGACCTCTACAAGTAACCCTACAAAACACTGCTGAAAGAAATTGTAGACAACACAAAAAAATGGAAACACATCCCATGCTCATGGATAGGTAGAATCAGTAGTGTGAAAATGACCATACTGCCAAAAGCAATCTACAAATTCAGTGCAATCCCCATCAAATACAACCATCATTCTTCACAGAATTAGAAAAAACAATTCTAAAATTCATATGAAACTTAAAAAGAGCCTCCATAGCCAAAGCAAGACTAAGCAAAAAGAACAAATTTGGAGGCATAACATTACCTGATTTCAAACTATACTATAAGGCCATAGTCACCAAAACAGCATGTTACTGGTATAAAAATAGGCACACAGACCAATGGAACAGCATAGAGAACCCAGAAATAAACCCAAATACTTACAGCCAACTGATCTTTGACAAAGCAAACAAAAACATAAAGTGGGGAAAGGACACCCTATTCAACACATGGTGCTGGGATAATCGGCTAGCCACATGTAGGAGAATGAAACTGGATCCTCATCTCTCACCTTATACAAAAATCAACTCAAGATGGATTAAGGACTTAAATCTAAGACCTGAAACTATAAAATTTCTAGAAGATAACATTGGAAAAACCCTTCTAGACAATGGCTTAGGTAAGGATTTCATGACCAAGAACCCAAAAGCAAATGCAATAAAAACAAAGATAAATAGCTGGGACTTAATTAAACTGAAGAGCTTTTGCACGACAAAAGGAACAGTCAGCAGAGTAAACAGACAACCCACAGAGTGGGAGAAAATCTTCACGATCTATACATCTGACAAAGGACTAATATCCAGAATCTACAACGAACTCAAACAAATCAGTAAGAAAAAAAAAACAAAACAAATAATCCCATCAAAAAGTGGGCTAAGGACATGAATAGACAATTCTCAAAAGAAGATACAAAAATGGCCAACAAACATATGGAAAAAAAATGCTCAACATCACTAATGATCAGGGAAATGTAAATCAAAACCACAATGTGATACCACCTTACCCCTGCAAGAATGGCCGTAATAAAAAGTCAAAAAACAGTAGATGTTGGTGTGGATGTGGTGATCAGGGAACACTCTACTCTGCTAGTGGGAATGTTAATAGTACAGTCACTATGGAAAGTAGTGTGGAGACTCCTTAAAGAACTAAAAGTAGAACTACCATTTGATACAGCAATTCCAGTACTGGGTATCTACTTGGAGGAAAAGAAGTCATTACACGAAAAAGATACTTGTACACATATGTTTATAGCAGCACAATTTGCAATTGCAAAATCATGGAACCAATTCAAATGCCCATTAATCAACGAGTGGATAAAGAAACTGTGAGATATATCACACACACACACATACATATATATACACACATATATACATATATATCAGTTTCTTTACTCGTATATATATGTATACATACATATATACACATACATATATATGTACACATACATGTATATACATACATATATATATATATATATATATATATATATATATATATATATATATATAATGATGGAATACTACTCAGACTTAAAAAAGAATGAATTAACAACATTCGCAGCAACCTGGATGAGATTGGAGACTATTATTCTAAGTGAAGTGACTCAGGAATAGAAAACCAAACATCGTATGTTCCCACTGATATGTGGGAGCTAAGCTATGAGGATGCAAAGGCATAAGAATGATACAATGGACTTTGGGAACTTGGCGGGAAGGGTGGGAGGGGAGTGAGGGATAAAAGACTACAAATAGGGTGCAGTGTATACTGCTCAGGTGATGAGTGCACCAAAATCTCACAAATCACCACTAAAGAACTTACTCATGTAACCAAATACCACCTGTGCCCCCAATAACCTATGGAAAAAGAAAAAGAAGTCTGTTGTAGATGGAATGTTTCAGTCATCTCCAAATTTATGTTGAAACATAATTCCCAATGAAACATTACTGGGAGATATGGGCTTTGGGAGGTGATTGAGTCATGTGGGCTCCACCCTCAAGAATGAGACTAGGAAGTCTCCTTGTAGAAGGGCTTGATGGAGGGAGTGTGCCATTTTTTGCCCTTCTGCCTTCTGCCGTGTGAAGACATAATGTTCCTCTTCTTCAGAGGACTCAGCATTCAAGATACCTTGTTGGAAGTAGAGAGCAATACTTACCAGATGCTGTCATCTTGATCTTGAACTTCCTAACCTCCAGAAATGTGAGAAATTAAACTTCTGTCCTTTATAAATTACCCAGTCTGTGGTATTATCTTATAGCAACACAATAAAGTCATATCAAACTAATTTTTTTTCAAGGGGGGGCCTTGATTATTAAATTGGTACAAAGAAGAAATGCAACATATAGAGAGAGCATCCAAATTTCATGATAGCCTTGGGAATGGAACAGAAGAAAAATGAGGTACATTAAAATTGATGAATTGAACAATTTTATCCAAAGGATGCTGGTTAATAGATAAATGTTACCCTGAAGGACACTCTTTAGTGTCTTTTCATAGGCCTCTAACTTTAACACTGCTTGATTCACATTTAATCAGAAACTTGGATAAAGATATAGAAGACATGATCATTAATTTGCAGATGAACCAAAGCTGGGAAGAATGGTGAACAAACAGTGACAAAATCAGGATCTACATTGACCTTTGTTAGGTTGAAATGATGGCTCAAATCTACCAACATACGGTCAGTAGTCTTGATCTTGGTCCAAAAGACAACAGTAGATTAAAAAGATGATGGAGATGTGACTTAGTAACAGCAAAACAAGCTTTTAGTTTTACTTAATTTCACTAAGTCAAGAGTATTACATGATTACTGAGACTATCACCGAAGATGAAGATACCACACCACTATCAACACCACCACCACACCACCAACTCCACCACTACCATCACCCTCCTCACCATCCCAACCACCACAACTACCATCACCACAACCATCATCACCACCACTGTTACCACCATAATCACCATCAGTACCACCACAATGACTTGATGTGTTCTTAGGTTGTGTTCATGGAAAAACTGTTTCTGGAGGGGAAGGGATAGCACCACTGATCACATCACACTGAAAACTATATATACAGTCTTACCACATGCAAAGCCTGGAGAATATTCAGGGGGAGAGCAATTATATGAGTGAAGAAACCTTATAATATGTTATATTCACAAAACTAAAAGGCCCTGGAGTTGGTTAGCCTGCAGTAGAGAAGTCTTAGCAGGAATATGATAAAAATTCCCAAATGGTCCAAGGGCTGTGATACAAGAAAAGCAATTTAATTTCTTTTATAGAACTTCAAAAAGCAGGACTAGACAATTAACACTGATGATAGGAACACAGGCTTCAGCTTATTAAAACATTTCTCATTGATAGAGGTGTTTGCAAATGGAAGGTGTGGCTCCTGCTGTAGTGAATTTCCTTTTTCTTTCTTTTCTCCTTCAACTTTTAAGTTCAGGAGTCCATGTGCAGGATGTGTAGGTTTGTTACATAGGTAAATGTGTGCCATGGTGATTTGCTGCACAGATTATCCCATCACCTAGGTATTAAGCCCAGCATCCATGAACTATTCTTCCTGATACTCTTCCTCCCCAGACAGGCTCCAGTGGGTATTGTTCCCCCCATGTGTCCATGTATTCTCATCATTCAGCTCCCAGTTATAAGTGAGAACATGCAGTATTTGGCTTTCTGTTCCTGCATTAGTTTGCTAAGGATAATGGCCTCCAGCTTCATCCATGTCCCTGCAAAGGACACGATCTCGTTCCTTTGTATGGCTGCATAGTATTCCATGGTGTATATGTACCACATTTTTTTTATCCAGTCTATCACTGATGGGTATTTAGATTGATTCCATGTCTTTGCTATTTTGAATAGTGCTGCAATGAACATACACGTGTAAATATCTTTATAATAGGATGATTTCCATTCCTTTGAGATTATACCTAGTAATGTGATTGCTGGGTCAAATGGTATCCATGCCTCTAGGTCTTTGAGGAATCACCACACTCTCTTCCACAATGGTTGAACTAATTTACACTCCCCCCAACAGTGTAAAAGCATTCCTTTTTCTCTGCAACCTCACCAGCATCTGTTATTTTTGACTTTTTAATAATAGACATTCTGACTTGAATGAGATGGTATCTTATTGTAGTTTCAATTTGCATGTCTTTAATGATCAGTGATGTTGAGCTTTTTCTCATGTGTGTTGGCTGCATGTATGTCTTCTTTTGAGAAGTGTCTGTTCATGTTCTTTGCCTACTTTTTAATGGGGTTGTTTCTTGTAAAATTGTTTTAAAAGTTCCTTGTAGAGTGGATATTAGACCTTTGTCAGATGGATAGATTGCAAAAGTTTTCTCCCGTTCTGTAGGTTGTCTGTTCACTCTGATGATAGTTTCTTTTGCTGTGCAGAAGCTCCTTAGTTTAATTAGATCCCATTTGTCAATTTTGGCTTTTGTTGCAATTGCTTTTGGCATTTTCATCATGAAATCTTTATGATGCCTATGTCCTGAAGGGTATTGCCTACATTTTCTTCTAGAGTTTTTATAGTTTTGGTGTTTACAATTAAGTCTTTAATTCATCCCTAGTTAATTTTTGTTTATAGTGTAAGGAAGGAGTCCAGTTTCAATTTTCTGCATATGGCTAGCCAGTTCTCCCAGCACCATTTAATAAATAAGGAATCATTTCCCCATTGCTTGTTTTCAGCAGGTTTGTGGAAGATCAGATGGTTGTAGGTGTACAGTCTTACTTCTGAGTTCTCTGTTCTGTTTCATTGGTCTATGTGTCTGTTTTTGTAGTAGTACCATGCTGTTTTGGTTACTGTAGCCTTGTAGTATAGTTTGAAGTCAGGTAGCATGACACCTCTAGCTTTGTTCTTTTTGCTTAGGATTGTCTTGGCTATTTGGACTCTTTTTTGGTTCCATATGAATTTTAAAATAGTTTTTTTTCTAATTCTGTGAAGAATGTCGATAGTAGTTTAATGGTAATAGCATTGAATCTATAAATTACTTTGGGCAATATGGCCATTTTCACGATATTGATTTTTATCATACATGAGCATGGAATGTTTTTCCATTTGTTTGTGTCCTCCCTGATTTCTTTGAGCAGTGGTTTGTAACTCTCCTTGAAGAGGCCCTTCACTTCCCTTGTTAGCTGTATTCCTAGGTATTTTATTCTTTTTGTAGCAATTGTGAATGGAATTTCATTCATGGTTTGGCTCTCTGCTTAACTGTTGTTGGTGTATAGGAATGCTAGTGATTTTTGCACATCAATTTTATATCCTAAGACTTTGCTGAAGTTCCTTATCAGCTTAAGAAGATTTTGGGCTGAGGTGATGGGGTATTCTAGATATAGAATCATGTCATCTGCAAACAAAGATAATTTGACTTCCTCTCTTTTTATTTGATACACTTTATTTCTTTCTCTTGCCTGATTGTCCTGGCCAGAACTTCCAATACTATGTTGAATGGGAATGGTGAGAGAGGGCATCCTTGTCTTGTGCTGGTTTTCAAGGGGAATGATTCCAGCTTTTGCCCATTCAGTATGATATTGGCTATGAGTTTGTCATGTATGGCTCTTATTCATTTGAGGTATGTTCCTTCAACACTTAGTTGATTGAGAGTTTTTAACATGAAGGGATGTTGAGTTTTATCGAAAGCCTTTTCTGTATCTATTGAGATAATCATGTATTTTTTATCTTTAGGACTGTTTATGTGATGAATTACTTTTATTGATTTGTGTATGTTGAACCAAGCCTTCATCCTGGGGATGAAGCCAACTTGATTGTGGTGGATAAGCTTCTTGATGTGCTGCTGGATTTGGTTTGCCAGTATTTTATTGAGGATTTTTGCATTGATGTTCATCAAGGATATTGGCCTGAAGCTTTCTTCTTTTGTTGTATCTCTGCCGGGTTTTGGTATCAGGATGATACTGGCCTTATAGAATGAGTTAGGGAGGAGTCCCTCCTTTTCAATTATTTGGAATAGCTTCAGTAGAAATGGTACCAGCTCTTCTTTGTACCCCTGGTATAACTCAGCTGTGACTCCATCTGGTCCTGGGATTTTTTTGGTTGGTAGGCTGTTTATTACACCTCAATTTCAGACTTGTTATTGGTCTATTCGGATTCAATTTCTTATTGGTTCAGTCTTGGGAGGATGTATGTGTCCAGGAATTTATCCATTTCTTCTAGATTTTGTAGTTTATGTGCATTGAGGTGTTTATAGTATTCTCGGCTGGTTGTTTATATTTCTGTAAGGCCAGTGGTGATATTCCTCTTATCATTTCTAATAGTATTTATTTGATTCTTCTTTTCTTCTTTATTAGTCTAGCTAGCAATCTATTTTATTAATTTTTTTTAAATCCATCTCCTGGATTTGTTGATTTTTTTTGAAGGGCTTTTCATGTCTCTATCTCCTTCAGTTCCTCTCTGAACTTGGTTATTTCTTGTCTTCTGCTAGCTTTGGGTTTTTTTCTTTTTCCCCTTGGTTCTCTAGTTCTTTTAGTTGTGATGTTAGGTTGTTAACCTGAGATCTTTCTAGCTTTTTGATATGGGCATTTAGTGCTGTAAATTTCCCTCTTAACACAGCTTTAGCCGTGTCCCAAAGATTCTGTTTTGTTGTCTCTTTATTCTCATTAGTTTCAAAGAACTTCTTGATTTCTGCCTTAATTTCATTATTTACCCAGGAGTCATTCAGGAGCAGGTTGTTCAATTTCCATGTAGTTGTGTGGTTTGCCCCTCTTAAAGAAACATTCTGGCTGCTTTTTGGTAGAGCAGGTGTGCTGTGTTGAGGGGGACCCTTCCTCATCGGGACTGTTTAGATTCTCCCAAAGCTGGCAGGCTGGAATGGCTGAGTCCACCAAACCACAGAGATGGTGGCCACCCGTCTCCTAGGGACTTCCATCCCAGGGAGAGATCAGAGCTGTGTGCATATAACCCTGGTTGGAGTGGCTGAAGCCCCTGCAGGGAGATTCTGCCCAGTGAAGAAGAGTGGATCGGTGTCCCTCTTAAAGAAGCAGTCTGGCCACAATCTGGCAACGCAGCTGTGCTGTGCTGTGCTGTGGGGACCCTTCCTTGTCAGGACCGTTTGGATTCTCCAAGCCAGCGGGCTAGAATGGCTGAGTCAACCAAACCCCAGAGATGGCGGCCACCCCTCCCTGGGGGAACTCAGTCCCCTCCCAGGTAGACTCCAGCCTGTTGCTGTTGGCTGGCTGGAATTCCAAGCCAGTGGGTCTTAACTTGTGAGGTGCCATGGAATTAGGGCCCACAGAATGACACTGCTTGGCTCCCGGTATTCAGCCCCATTCCTGGAGGTATGTATGGACGGATCTGCCGCCTCGCCAGGGATCCTAGGGCTGAGGTATGTAAGACTCCTTGGTTTCTAGGTGTGCCTGAACAGTCTCAGCTCTGCTGAGACTCCACCAGCTCTGTGTATTGGACCCAAGGCCCTGGTGGTGTGGGCTCACGAAGGGATCTCCTGATCTGCAGGTTGCAAAGATCTGTAGGAGAAGCATGGTTTCCCGGAGGGGTTGCACAATCACTCACCACTTCCCCTGGCTGGGGATGGAGGTTCCTTTGGCTTCGTGCGCTCCCAGGTGTGCCATCCCACCACCCTGCTTTTCTTTGTTCTCCATGGGTCGAGTTGTTTGCCTCGTCAGTTCAGTGCGAGAACCTGGATGTTTCAGTTGAAGGTGCTGAATTCACTTGTCTCTTTCATTTCTCTCCTTGAGTGCTACAGACCCAGCTGCTTCTAATCAGCCATTTTGGCCCCACTGTAGTGAATTTTCTATTGCTCTGTTGGGGCTTGAACTAGGAGTTCAAGTATTTGATAAGTAGCTTGAGTCAGGCATTGCTAATTCCTAGAGAAACATCACTGAGCGTAATGGAAACCTGGGGGCTCAGAGAAGAGGCTAGTGAGAGGATGCCATAGTTAAATAGTAGGATCAACAAAGAAGGGAAATTCCTCCAGTTGTGGAGGGAGGGCATGGGACAATGATCTGCAGGTGGCTGTAAGGTATTTGCTGACCTGTGCCTAGGGCGTGATGATGGGGTACAGGATGAGAGAAATGGAGAGAATGGTACCACTAGAGAGATTCTGCACTGTCATGGAGGATAAAAATAAAAACAAATGTTAGTGGACGATATACACAAAGAAAAGTCTGATAACCAGGTAGGCTGTTTGTAATCAAATGGAGGTACAGGAAGAAGCTAGAAGGGTGGTGGAGGGATCTGAAGAGGAGTGGGTTTGATTTGGAAAGCCTGAGAGTCCTGGAGCAGGTGGCAGAAGTGTTAGGAATTGTGGCAGCAAACACAGATAATGACAATTAAGAAAGGAGGAGTTGGAAGGCCAATCTGACTTTCACGCAGGTAAGAAAACAAGGACTAAGAGGCAGGATTTAATTAATGAAGATGCCTCTAGGACTAGTTCCCCATCCCCACCCCCCTCAGTTTCCCTGCAACAGAGAGGTGAGGTATCATTCTGTACCAGCGTGCAGAGTGCACTGAGCTCTTGGCCTGTGTAAATACTGGAAGAGATCATGAGTGCACAGGCCTCCCCTTCCCTCCATTACAGGGTTCATATTTGCTTTGCCAATCTCTTTTTGGGGGAACAAAATCTAGAATATATCCTGAGAGTGTTTGGCCTTCTGGCAACCCCTTAAAGAAGATTCCAGACACTGTGGAGCAAAGAGGAGGAGCTGGCAAGGGCCCTCATTACAGGAGTAGAGGATGTGAGGATAGACTCTCAGAGCCATGCAACCTTTTCTAGAAAGAACATTTGAACCGTTCAAGGGTGGTTTTTCTGTTTTTGTGGCTCCAGGGTCTAGCCCAATCCCTGTCACATAGTAACTGGACATTGACATATGTTATCTCGTTGACAGAGAGCTGGATCAATGCATGAACTTGCCATTCCTGGAAGGTTGTCTCCCAAAGCAGGTCAGCTTCTGGCCCTGTTCACCCTTCTCTTTCCCCCTCTATTTTAAACACGCACGGACTCCACAGTCTTAAGTGCTAGACATGAGGCAATCCTATTTCTGAGGCATAGGTTCTGAAAAAAGAAGAACTCACAGGTAAACAGGATTTTTTCCTCTTTGCAAATAATGAGAAGTTCTGTCTTAGTAATAGCTGGATTTAGTAGCAAGTAAAGGATATTTATAAGGATATGTTTCTTAGAAGTGTCTCTAAATACTTACATACATGGTCTTCAAAAAGTTCTTGTTCAGTGGATGACATTGTAAAATAGCTGAAGGCATGCTAGAAACCATCTGTAGATGGCATTTAAAGAGAAGTTGAATTTCCTTTTCACATTCCATTTAGACTTCAGTTCTTAGCCATAGGGTAGAATTTGCCTCCTCTGCTAAATAGCCATATTTTGCTTGTCATGGAATCTGAAATAAGATAGCCCTGTGTGCAATGTGTAATACAATTGTCCTAGACTTGAATACATTTTATTTAAAATGCTATTTTTACAGATTGTTCCATCATTCCTATGGCTCCAAATAGCCAAGTTTAAAGGTACAGAAAGGCTGTGTGAAGACCTTGTGTCACTTTACTTTGTTTTCAAAAGTAGTTTACATCAATACTTCACTGAAGTATTCTGTTCTATGTACTGGGCAAGCAGGAACCACCACTGGCTGTCAAGAAAAAAAAAAATTCCTAATGTCACTTTGCCTTTGGCAGAGCAAGAACAATACAAAAGATTACTTCCTGTCTCTCTACTGCCTGTGCACTTTTCCAAGAGAGAAAAGCATTTTCTTCTCTGTGGCCAAGACCATAAACGCTAATAGGTGCAGCCTGTATGCATTCTGTCCATCATTCCATCTATTATTCTATGCCCACTGGCTGGCCCCGCACTTGGCACATAAGCAGTCTGAGTAATATTTATTTATGTTGAAGGAATGTTACTAGATCAGGGTCTACCCAGGGGAGCTTTTTTGATTAATCAAGAAACTATTTTTATAATTAAATTTGCATGAAAACTAGATTTCTCCTGAGACTTAAGTTCAAGAGAAAGAAAATCTATCCTTTCATTTATTCAGAATCAAAGAGGCCCTGACTTGGAATAAACCTTATAAATACTGTCCTACGAAAGTGGCTTTGTTGGTTGTTGCTTTGAATCATCTTGTGACTGCTAGGAAACACTAAGCCGCACATATAGAAAGAGCCTAATAAGATGGATAGCGAGAGAGCAGAAAATCTGATTAGAACGACCCAGCACAATCAGAAAATAACCACATGGGCTGAACACAGGCCTGCTGTTCTCTGCTGATTGCCGCTGGGCCCTTCCCCATGGGCTTTTTCCTTTCCTCACTTAAGCTCCATTCATTCATTTTCTCTCTCTGCTTCTCTCCCCCTTTTTGTTTCTCTCTCTCAATATCCTGGTCTTACATTTCTAACAGGGTTGGTCTGTGATAATTGTGATTTTGTTACAAGATGTAAATGCAATCCTGGCTTTGTGGCAGGGCTAAAAAAAAAAGGCATCTGTGTAAATGTTTGGATTTGTAATTTTATCCCACTCCCAGACTACAAGTTTTGATAGGATTAACTGAAAATCTAGTGCCCAGGTAAATTCACACTGACTCAAACCTGTCTGAGCCCCTAGTGGGTTAATTAGACCATTGTCATCAGGTTCCCAAGCATGAGAGTTGTGTTCTTTGGAAGGCACTGTGGGGTGAGCGTTCTCTTTATGCACAGGGGGTAGCAATAATCATAGGAGAACTTCATGTCTTTCATCACTGGATCGTTTTCTGAAATGAACCACGTGCAAAGTGATCCAGCAAAGCTGGGAAACAAGCTGACCTGTGGTTAGGACTGGCCAGGGATGAGGAAGTATTTAGCATTCTGGCAAATGCAGGAAGCCTCTAGCTAAGGCAAGTCTGTTGCCCAGGCTTCACTCAGAGGTGGTGGAGACAGGCTTGTCTGCACAAAAAGACCTTTCCCCACATATCCCTACACCTCAGTGTGTCTTCTGCTGCAATGCACAAACAGGTGGGCACTGGATTTCCTGGCAATTGAAAGAACGTGGGTCCCAAATATATGTTACTGACGTATTGAGCCTCTGTCAACACCTTTCAAGTGAAGATGAGAACTGATGCCATGATTCAGATATATCAAGACCCCAAAGGTCTATTAATTCAATATCCAATTAACTGAGAGTTAACCAGTCAGGGTAAAGGTCCTGGGCAACTGTCCCTTCTCTTAGGATGTGCAGATGAGCTGACTGCAGGGCACAGGTTCTAAACACCCAGCCCTGGCCTACCGTGTTTGTGGGAGAGCTTGTTGCAACTGCCAGCAGGATGCTGCCCTCCAAGAAAAAGAAGACTGATGACATTTACCATTGCCACGTGTACTCTGATTAACTCACTGGAAGGGGATTTGTCTGTGTCTTTGGCCTCATGATGTGTGGGGAGACTATTCAGCTTTACAAGACCTTAAGCTTACACATTTTTAGGGGTCCTCTTTAAGAAAAAGCATATAAAATTGGGTGTAGGAGTTTCTAATAAAGTTAACCATACACCTACTCTGTGACCCAGCAATTCTACTCTGACTTATATCCCCAAGAGAATTCTTGCAGTTGTCCACAAAAAGACTAATACAAGAACACTCACAGCAGCTTTATTCATAGTGGCCCCAAACTGCAGAAATTTTAGCTATTTGAGATTGCAGGCTATCAATTTTCCACTTTAGAGAGTGGTTCTAAGGCAATTCCTCTGTTTAATCAGAAATTTTGATTTTTCTTGCTTTTAGCTGGAAAAATGACCATCCGCCAACTTAATACAGTCTTTACTTGTTTTTGATCCAGAGAATATAGCACATTCATTGTGCAAGGTGTTGATTCAGCAAGGCTAACAACAACAAAAAGACAAGAAACTACGGAGGAGCTTGTAACTGCCTGTTTCTGTACAACCCAAATGTCCATCAAGAGATGAATGCATAAAGGAAGAGATATATATTTATACAATGGCATACTACTCAGCAGTAAAAAAAAAAAATGAATTACTGGTATGTGTAATAACATGGACTAACTCTATATACATTATGCTAAGCAAAAGAAGCCATGTAAATGACTCCATTTGACATTCTAGAACAGGCAAAATTAATCTTGGGCACTATTTATTAGAATGAGCAAATGATTAAAAAAATCTGGAACTCTGGTGGGAATGCAAAATGGAACAGTCACTTTGGAAAGCACTTCAGCAGTTTCTTATAATGTTCATATACATTTAGCCTGCAATCCCATTCCTTGCTATTTACCCAAGTGGAACAAAACCTGTATTCATACAAAAACCCATACATAAATGATTAGCATGTTTTTATTCATAATAACCCCCAAACTAAAAAGAACCCAAATGTCTCTCAACTGTGGAATGAGTAACCACGTCATAATATATCAATATAATGAAATACAACCCAGCAATAAAAATAGATCATTGATATACACAACAACACAGGTGGAGCTTAAATGCTCCATGTTAGTGGGAGAAACCACACCCAAAGGATACATACAAACTGTGATTTCATTTCTATGCCATGCCACAGAAAACAAGATCAATGATTTCAAGTGGTTGGCTACAAAAGGTGTGGGGGAAATTTTGGCAGTTATGAAATGTTCTATGTCTTTATTGTGATGGTAGTTACATGACTGTTTATTTGTGAAAACTCACAGAACTGTGGCCTTAACTCCATGGAGGTTTCTCCTTCAGCAGAAGCTATATATGTTATGAAAACCATGAGAGAAACAGTCTAGGAAGAAAAATCAATGAATTAAACTCAGGGAAATATCCACCAGGAGACTTAGCCACGAGCATCCACATAAAACTCTTTCCCATCTCTTGAAATCACAAACTCTATGGCTGGTAACATAGGTAACAGTGTCCTTTTCTCTCTCGGAATCCTACCTCTCACCTTGGCAGCCTGCACAACTGCTTATTTTCTTGACTGAGAAAGACCTGATTCTAAGAGAGAGAATTCTTTGTATTAGACAAGTTAGACCAAACTGAGATAAGAAATAAACTCAAACATTTAATGGCTCAAACAATAGAAGTTAGCTAGAATTCAGTCACATCACCTCACCGAACTAGAAGAGAGGCTGTAATATCAAGTCCAGGTGCATGCCAGGAAGATGGGGAAAATGGAATTGGGGGGACAACCAGCAGTAGATTTTATGCTCTGAAACCATTTAAAATAGCAAGTGGTACTTTCAACTGCTTTGCTTATCAAGGGTTTGGCTTAAACATAGGCAACTATTCACATATCTACTTTGTTTTGTTTTGTTTTGTTTTGTTTTGAGACAGGGTCTCACTCTGTTGCCCAGGCTGGAGTGCAGTGGTGCAATCATAGTTTACTGAAGCCTGAACCTCCTAGGCTGATGTGATCCTCCCACGTCAGCCTCCCAAGTAACTGGGACTACAGATGCATGCCACCATTCTGGGCTAATTTTTTTATTTTTCATAGAAACAGGATGTCTGTATTGCCCAGGCTGGTCTCGAACTGCTGAGCTTAAGTGATCCACCCACCTTGGCTTCCCAAAGTGCTGGGATTACAGGCATGAGCCAAAGAGCCCGGCTACTATTTTTATCAGGGCTTTTGACCATTCATAACTCTTTTGATAGAAAGATAAAGAACAATGGCAAAGAAGATAAAAAATCTTATCTTGTTATATTAACAGAAGTTTCAATAGTGAAAGATCTTATAATTATGGTTTCAGTTGAAGCTGATGAATTACTTGTAGGTTTAATGATGACACCACTCTGATCTTAGGTAATTGATAGGGGTCAAAATTATTAATATAATTAAATTTGTATTTGACATAATACATAATAGGCAAATCAATAACTACTAGGTGTAGCTGCTTTTGAGTTGACCTGAACTTAGAAGGCAGGATAGGCTGGAATCTTTCAGACAGTAAGAAACTAATCAGTGAGATTTTTCTAGGCTTTGCAAATTTTTTTTTTTTAATGTCAAATGCAATTCAGTATGACCAAGGGGGAAAGTGATGGCGCTGGGGAAAATACAGTTATGTAACGCCTAATGACAAAGACATGTTCTGAGAAATGCATCATTTGGTGAATTCATCATTGTGGAAACATTATAGCATGTATTTACACAAACCTAGATTGTATGGCTTGCTACACACTTAGGCTGTATGGTACAGCGTATGGCTCCTAGGCTACAAGCCAGATAGCATGTTACTATATTGACTACTATAAGCAGTTATAACACAGTGGTAAGTATTTCTGTATCTAAACATAGAAAATGTAGAGTAAAAACATAGAATTATAATCTTATGGGACCACCATCCTATATGTGGTCCAACGTTGATGAATATTGACAACATGGTCCAACGCTGTCATGGGGCACATGACTGTACTCCAAAGGATGACATAGCCCTAAACACTCAAGCATTACTCACGGAACAATTCTAATAATTACTACTGACAATGTGTACTAAATAGGTATATTTTACAACAAAAAGACAAACAAAATGTAAGCCATGATTAGAAGGAATACTGGGAACCAAACAGAATGTTTTCCTATCTTTGTTTCAGAAATGCTGGGTTCTGCGGGAAGTGCTAGCTGTGAATTATTAAGTAAGACAGAAATCTACCTGAAATATCACAGGTAAGGACAAGTAGCTAAGCAAGGAGAGTAATATCTAGCTCTGTGAAGGTAAACTACAATATAAAAAGGACTTTTGTATAAAGTAAATGCTCTTTAAATCTTTGTTAAATAAATACATAAATTAATCAAGTCTTATAGGGTATAGAACGTAGACATATTCACCAAATGCTGGAAGTGAGGATTAAGAAGATGAGTCTAGCACACTCATAAAAAGAAAGAATCACTTTGCACAAGAACAGTAAACCTAAGGAACATGTTTTCTTAAGAGGCAGAACGTGAAAAAATTTGTAGGACTGAGAGTGGAAAAATAAATTCATGAACAATATATCATTAATGGGTTACTAAGGGAAGCAAGGGATGTTTGAGGGTTATCTTTTGAGATTGTTGCTAAACTATAGGGTAACTTGGGGGAAGTTCTCCAAACAATGCTTCTCTATAAATCATCCCTGGATGTCACTCTCAGAAAGAGGATAGTGGGATGAGCAGTCTCTGTGTCCAGTATGGTTCTTCTTTTATAAAAACAAGCTTTTAAAGTAAAGCCAGGACAACAACAACAACAACAACAGCAACAACCACCACCACCCAGGCATTTGCTTCTGTCCACAGGATTTTCAGATGGAGCCTGCCAGCTTGGAGATGCTGAGGAGTGCTCTGTGACTGACAGCCATTATCTAAAAAGACATCCATGACACGAGAAAGGAGTGGCCACTCAGGAAAGGGTTCTGTGCCCATTTGTGTCACAAGACACAGTCCAAGGAATCATAGTGATGGAGTTTCTGCAGCCTGAAAGAGAGTAACAATTAATTAATGTTCAAAAAAGTGGAAAGTGTGCTAGCTATTTTTGGCTGCTATGTCTTCTAGAGTAGAGGCTGAATGAACAAGGAAGCAGGAGGTAGACAGAAAAGAGCAACAAAGAGCACCTGGAGCCACTCCCAGAACACAGAGCTTTTGTACCAGACAGCTAGCTTCTCAGGGAAAAGTGTTGTCATTTCCTACAAGCAGAAAAAAGCATGTACATCTATAGGAGTGCACATGCCCTTATGTCAGAGGACCACAGCCAGAGGAAGTCTGGGTGGCATCCTGGAAAGGCCAGGATGGGACTGTAGGACAAAGGAATCACCCAGGCCCATGTGCACAGCTCTGGTGACATCCTTTGAAACCTGGTTTCTGTTCTGAGATTTCCTCTTTGATCTCTTCATTGAAAAGTCTGGTCTGAGGGAAACACAAATCCCTTGAGCTGGGTTATCATACCATCTATCCAGTTCCTCTTCCAGGCAACTTGTTTCAGGACAAAAGTGCCAGAGATGACTGCCAGCACGATGACTTCTGGGGCTTCCTGGCATGAGTGATGCTGTATCACTTGGGTATAAGCATGGCTTGGATGCTATGTCATAAGGACAAAATGTACTTTTCCTCTCCCTGCTCTGGGCTCATTGTTGTTTGCTCTCTGCCTTTCTCTCTATACACCTGTCTCTTTCTCCCTCCTTCTCCCCTGCCCTCCCTCTCTCTATTGCTCTCCCACCCAAGACATTTTTCATTCTAAAAAATGTAGCAACACATTTATTATCCCTGAGTAACTCCACAGACAATCAAGAAAATGCGTTACAGCATGATGAAGTGTCACGCACAATGAACATATAGCAAAATAAATTACCCTATAAACGAAGAAAAACATTTCACCAATGCATAGTGCAGAAATATCTGAAGGTAACAATTTACTTCAATGAACAACTATTTGGAAAAAAAACAACAGCCCTAAGTCAGAACCTGATATTTATAAAGGGTTTCAGACTTGTGCAGGGCAATTATTTAGCCAGTGAGTTTGTTAAGGTGGAAGGCAGGCTGCCAGCACCGAAGCCTACTCATCCTTCATGTCACGTGATCTTATGAGACGCCCCCCCACCCCACGTCTGGGTTGATGCCCGCTGACCTCTCATTACCCACGCGTATAACTTTAATTTGCATCTAATGCATTGTTTTGGGATTGCCATTTCATGCACCTGCACCTGTGGCTAGGTTGCAAGCTTCTTGAGGAACAGGTAGGACCTCAGCTGATTGAACTCTGCTAGCACAAGGCTCCCAGCATGATGGACAATTAATACATGATTGACAAATGCACAAATGGATAATTGATACCAACTCCAAGATCTTGATTGATTTCTGCAAGATGGCAGGGCGCAAAAACTAGTGTGTGGCTTCATGTTCTCTTGAGATCCAAGAAATATGAATCAGGCCAAGTGGTCTGCAAGAGCAATTACCATCATGGATTGTCTTTAGATGGCCTCCAGGCCAACCTCACATAGGGTGGGACTCAGCAGCAACCTTTTACAGTGAGTCCATCCACCATTATTGTAGCATTGGCTCACCTTCAAGTCTTTGCTTGTATCACTGTCTCAGTGAGGCCTCCCGTGAGCACCCATTTACAGTTGCACCTGCCCCACCCCACACCAGCACTCCTGACTCCTCTGGCTCTGTCCTCCATTTTCCTCTCTAGCTCTTATCTCCTTAATGTATTACATGATTTACTTATTCATCCTGTTTATTGTTTACTGGTTCTCTTTCCCACTAGAATGTAAACTCTTCTATGTGCTTGGCACATAGTAGGTGCTCAATAAATATGTGCTGAATGAATGTATGCTACCTTATGACACTGGCCAAGATATATAAACTGTGGCCTAAAGCAATGGGATTTTATCTATATCCTTTGGAAAACAGAGTTCTGCTGAGATACTTCTGGCTGCAGGACACTGAGAAGGAGGCCAAATAGGCAGAGTTTAAGGGCTCCTCCTTCTATGTCGCCACTTTTGCCTGTTTTTTCTTTACAGTTTTATAAAATATTTATTTTGAGAAAGGAATTCTGCTGCTCTTAATAAAACATGCCTGAAACCCGCTGATGTATAGCAAAATATATATCGCTCTGTATTTGAATAAAAATGTACCAGGGAGGATCTTTATTTGATTACCTATATTCTGAACCTTATGTAAAAGTAGAATGAGCTCTTATCTATTGCTTATCAAGGAATACCACAATTTGCCTAAGCCTTTTCTACTCAAAATGTTTGGATCCATAGACCAAAGATGATAGCATCATGTGAGAACTTGTTAGAAATGCAAAATCGGGCCGGGCGCAGTGGGTTACGCCTGTAATCCCAGCACTTTGGGAGGCCGAGGTGGGCGGAACACGATGTCAGGAGATGGAGACCATCCTGGCTAACACGGCGAAACCCCGTCTCTACTAAAAATACAAAAAATTAGCCAGGTGTGGTGGCGGGTGCCTGTAGTCCCAGCTACTTGGGAGGCTGAGGCAGGAGAATTGCGTGAACCCGGGAGGCGGAGCTTGCAGTGAGCCGAGATCACGCCACTGCACTCCAGCCTGGGCGACAGAGCGAGACTCTGTCTCAAAAAAAAAAAAAAAAAAAAAAAAAAAAGAAATGCAAAATCATAGGCCCCACTCCAGACTCACTGAGTTAGAATTTGCATTTTAACAAGATCCCCAGTTGATTCAGAGCCACCTCTAAGGACTGTGTCCTTAATGCTATAATTTCTTGCTTTTTCTAGAATGCTGTGAACCCATTGGGAAGCTAGACTTCACTGTGCTGTCTTTGTTTAGGCTGTATTTAAAGCACAGGACTGCTGAAGAAGTTGGGTAGATAGAGTGGGGGAAGATGGGGGAAGCAGTGTATGTGGACACACCACACTTGAGATAATTAAACTTGAACAGCTGACTGCATGCCTGGGACTGGATTATTTGGCTAAAGAACAGAGTGAGAGCTCAAGTAATTGAAATATACTATATTCCCTGTACTTCATTTCAGCCAATACTTTCAACATCTTCCTGTAATAAATCTTCTACCATTGCTGCTAGCAAGGGTAAAATGAATGGAGTTAAGTTTCAGCTCCTTTCTCTGCTCCTTTGCCAAGTGGAAGCACTAACAAGGGATGACCTATCTGGAAAGTAGGCAGCAGAAAAAACAAAGAGGAGAAAAAGAGGAAGGGAAGTGGAGGCTCTATACAATCCCAAAACATTGTTACCAAGCTATGGCCTCTGAAAAAGTAAGGGCTCACTGCACATTAATTTGAAAGTATGCACACATTCTGTAAGCCAAACTTTATTAATTACATTTGGAAAGAGAAGTTTGGTAAGGTAGCCAAGCTTTTACCCACAGTATACTTTTAAGTTACCTGCAATCAAATTGAAAGATACTTTAATATTTCTTGAGCAATTGCAAGACATCCTATAAATACCTTTCAGTTTCATTTTATCTTCCCTGTAACTTGGGGTTGTGGTTCTTGATGAATGATTTGGCATCTTCCTATATGACTTTGATCATATCAGTTAGCAGCGCTGTAGCAGGATACTTATGTGCCTTTGCTCTGAAACTACCCATTAAGAGATGAATAAAAAATCAACAACATTACCCACATCATTAGTTTATGTAATAAAAAGTGATTAAATACAGCTAGCTTTCAAATGCATGTAAAATAGATCTAGCTGAAAGTATAAATTTTCATAATGTGTATGTTCTGCTTGGATTGAATTACCTTAAATAACAGAAAATCACCATCCTACCTCACTGATAACAGTCAACACTGAAGTCATTACTGGATTATGACAATTTTACAAAAATGGTTGATGATGCTATAATTTACATTGCTAGTATTGTTACACTTCTAATTGGTTAAATCCTCCAAAACTGACCAATTATACCTTCAGCAAAAATAAATGAGAGCATGAACTTTTAGGTGTTGGAAGTAGAAGTGGGATATGTGAAAGAGGGTAAGATGAACTTATTAATTAAGAAATATACATGGTTAGCCGGCATGCCTATAATCCCAGCACTTTGGGAGGCCGAGGCGGATGGACCACCAGGGGTCAGGAGTTTGAGATCAGCCTGGCCAACATGGTGAAACCCCATCTCTACTAAAATACAAAATTAGCCATGCATGGTGGTGTGCACCTATAATCCCAGCTACTCGGGAGGCTGAGTATTGCTCAGCCTCAGGAGAATTGCTTGAACCTGGGAGGCGGAGGTTGCAGTGAGCCAAGTTCGCGTCACTGCACTCCAGCCTGGGCGACAGAGTAAGACTCCGACTCAAAGAAAAAAGAAAAAAAAAAAAAACCAACATGGTTTTGCACTACCAAAAGATTTGACGAGTCAAATGTGTGTGTTTACCCTCTCTGTTTTTAGAGATTAGCAGGATAATGGGCATTCCCAGCTCATGTCCGCATTCCTGGACTTCTTTGGGTGGAAGTTCTAGGAGCCAGGGTACTATGGGTTTGGAAACTTCATCTCTAGAACACCCTTCAGGTGGGTGAGTCATGGCTTATTACTAAAGCTACTTGGAAGGCCACCAAGTCTCAGGTTCCCTAATCAGCATCAGACACTTCTTTTAACATTCATGAACAGTGTTTAACAGCGTTCAACACTGGTCACGCCTCCTCATTAAAAGGTTGTGTCTGGTTCTGAGGTTTGTAATTTAATCTCTTTATGAAACACTTTTGCCATGGAATGATATGAAATTTTCACAACGAACATTTTTCAGTCTTTATCCTTACTGAGTTCTCAGCAGCACCCAAACCACTCTTCCTTGCTGGTTGTTCCTTTCTCTTTGAAACACCCTCTTGCCTTGGTTTCCATGACACTGCATTATGCTGACGTTCTTCTACTTCTATGACAAACACTTCTCTCTCTCATTTAGTGGCTCATTCTCCTCAATATGGCCATTAAGTACAGATGTTCTATAAGTTCACTGTGGCCCTCAGTCTTATCGTCCTAAACTGGTCTTCTTTGCTTCTTGCTGTATTCTCTCTCCCTAATCAATCTCATTCACTCCGAGGCTTCACTGACCATCCAGATGATGATGACCCCTAAATTATTCAGCTCAGAACTACTCTACCACCAACCTTGTCCAACTTATTAATAGTGTCTCCCACCAGGATTATTTTGATTGAACCCTCTCCAAATTGTTCTCCACACCATGGCCAGAGTGATTGTTGGAAATTCAAATCTAACTACGATGCTCCTTGCTGAATAGCTTCATATTGTTCTTAGGTGAACCCTGCCTTAACCTTAGCCTTGCCTACAAAGGTTGTAGGAACTCACCTCTGAGGACTCATCATGTCTCACCTTGTCCCCTGACGTGCCTCTGGGCTCTACCACATTGGCCTTATATTTTAGGTCTCCATGTGTTCTAGGCTCCTTCTTTCCAGAGACCTTTTTCAAATAGTTCTTCTTCCTGGAATTTCGTTTTCTCCCTTGTTGCCTTCCTATAGCAATTTTCGAGATTTTATCTTGGCTTAGTCTCTTCTCTCTGCACTTTCTCACTCAGAGGTTTAGTTTTATCAACTTCTGTGGTTCCAATAATCATTTCTGTGCGGACAATACACGTATCTACCTCTTTTTAATTTTTATATTTTTTCCCATTTAGAACCACCTGCATTTGAAGAGCTACCTCTTTTAAAGCTGCAGATAAACATCTTCAGTATGAATATTTCTATCTAAAAGTCTTATAAATGCCTTAACTTAATATTTAATATGTCTCAAAATCACCTTTTTCCTAAATCTGCTCCTCCTTGTTCTCACTGTATCGTGGTAATGCTATCAGCAGTCTTAAAGTCACTCCCTTTTTAAAATAGCATCTGCATTGAGATTCAATTCACATACCATGAAATATGTTACATTTATATTTACATGAATACAAAAACCCTTCAAAGTGTACAATTCAGTGGGTTTTGGTGGATTCAAAGAATCGTGCAATCATTACTAATGTCTAATTTTAGAACGTTATCATCATCTCACAAAGGAACCTCAAATCCATTAGCAGTCATTTCTCACCCCTCTCTCCCCCTAGTACTTGGGAGCCACTAATCTACTTTCTCTCTCTATGGATTGGCCTATGACAGACACTTCATGTAAATAGAATCAAAGAATCTGTAGCTTTTTGTGTCAGGCTTCTTTCACTTAGCACAATGTTTTCAAGGTTTGTCCATGTTGTAGCAGGAATTAGGACTTTATTCCTTTTTAAAGCTGATTAATATTCCATTCTGTGGATATACCACATTTTCTTTACCTACTCATCAGTTGATGGATATTTGAGTTGCTGCCACTTAGGGCTGTCAGGAATGATGCTGCTGTAAATATTCCCATGCAGGTTTTTGTGTGGACGCATGTTTCCCATTCTCTTGTATATCCCTGAGAGTGGAATTGCTGGGTCTTACACTAGCTCTATGTCTGACTTTTTGACGAACTGCCAAGCAGCTTTCCACAGTGGCTGTACCATTTTACATTCTCATCGGCGGTATAGGAGGGTTTCAGTTTCTATACATCTTTACCAATAAGGCCACTCACTTTTGAAGCCATAGTCATGCTTAGATGTAGAAACAAAGAAGGGGTAACGAGTTAGCTGCCTCATCTCACTTATTCAATCTCTGCAATGTCTCCTGAATCTGCCTCCTGCTTTCCATGAGCATTGGTACTGCCTTACACCATAGCTTCATTACTTTTCCTCTGGGAGACTGAGAGGTGTGCAAAACTCCTCTTGCCTCCCGTTTCTCCTTATTTTAGCTCTGCCTTTATCAAATTAATAAGAGCCAAATTAAAGCTCTGATTCTGTCACTCAAGTGGTAAAAAATTCTCAATGACTTCCCAGTGCCAATTGAATTAAGCCAGACTCCTGGATGGGCATTAGGGGCCCTCCATGGTATGGCTCTTGCCTGATGTTTTGGTCTTAACTCCATCTACTCTAGCATAAAAGTTGAGCTATTTGTAAAGCCTTATCACAATCACATCCCTAGTGGAAACCAGGTGAACTTTGTTAGTCCTTTCCTAATACTTCTATAAGCACATCCATTCGTATTACTGTAAAAGTCTTCTTTGAACAATGTGTAAGTTCTAGAGCAATACATCTAGTGGGTGCACAATAATGCGTCCAACAATTTTTTGAATGAATTTTAAAAATGTATGAGTAAGCTATTCATTTTCTTATCTCTCTCCCATATATTCATTGAATTCATTCAACACCACTCTAGGGCAGTAAAGTTCCTGAGGGACAGGACTGTGTCTCAGACATCTTTGAATCTTCATCAGGTAACACATGACCTGGCATATACTAAGTTTTCAATAAATATTTGCTGAATGAATGAATGGATGAATCAACTAATGAAAACCACACTGCACTCTGTCCTGGTCTTTGGACATGCTCTGAACTTCCCCACCACTTTGCCTTTGATAACAGTGTTCCCTCTTCCTGAAATGCCATCTCTCTCCAATAAGACCCATTTCAAAAAGCTTCCTCCATTGTGCCTTTCTTCTCACTTAGTCCAGTGAGAAACAGTCTCACTCACTACTCTTGTAGCACTTTATTAGTACCTCTCTCATGGCAAATCCTAGCCTGTCTTCCCTCACAGTCGTTTTTGAGCTCCTCTTATTCAATACTACCCAGGCCTAGCCCCTCCCTCAGTTATGATCCCCACAAGAAGAAGAAATGGATATTATTATTCCAGGCAGAATGTTTTACACATAAGTAAATAGTTAAGGACTGAATCACGGAGTAGAACACTGAGGGGAAATCTCGGAAGATACAGTAGAAGTCCTCCTTTTCCCTCCTTGAGTTTTCTCATTTCAGTATATGGCACCATTAAGCCAAAATCTGGGGATAATATTTGATTTCTCTGTTTTTCGTATCCATACATCCCATCTATTAGCAAATTTTATTGATTTACTCCAAGGTAGATCCTGAACCTGTTTTTTTTTTTTTTTTTTTTTTAGTCACCTTGGCTACTACCCTCATCCAGGCTGCCATAGCTTCTCTCCCTAACTGCTGCAACAACCTTGCAGTTGGTCTCTTTACTTTCATCCGTGCATCTATACAAAATTAAATTTATGTTAAAATGTATACATTTAAAAATACACAGCAGATTTTGGCTGTCTGTTGTACTTAGGTTAAATCCAAACTCCTGTGTGTGGCTGCCCCTCTCTTCTAGAGGTGCTTGTTCCCTCGCATTTTCCCCCTTCTCACCTCTGCAGCAACACTGGCCTGGAATACCAGACAGGAGTTATATTTCACTTCCCATTCTGCTGCTAGGAATGATAACTTTGGACAAGTCTCTTTACCTCTGGGGCTCAATCTCTTATCTCTAAGATGAAGGGTATGGACTAAAGGCTCATAAATGCTTCTTTTAATTTAATTATCTTCTGAGTTCCTGAAGTTATTTGTCTCTACAGCCAGCATGGATTATTAGTAGGAATCATTTTTAAAACTGCTAAGCAATAAGAAAAATTGGTTGTGCTATGCCATAGTAATTTATTATGCTCAAATTTTTTGACATAATATTTTAAGACATGTTTTGAACTCCTCTTATCCAATACCACCCATGCTTAGCCCTTTCTTCAGTTATAATATATGTAAGAAGAGGGAATACATATTATTATTCCTAACAGAATGCTTTACACATAAGTAGTTACTTAAGAACTGAATCAAGAAATAGTATATACAGCAAATACATCTTCTGAGACCAGGAAGATGAAAATAAATGCTTCATAAAGTATTTAAGTGGCTGAATTATTCTTTCTTTTTAGTAAATGAAGGTTTCAGACAGTCCCTAAAGTGACTGCTGCTAGTTCATACATGCCATGTTGATTTATTTTGTTCACATATTACTTTACTAGAAAGTGTATAGGTTTTTTTCTCTAATTAAAAATCTTTTTTGTTGGGTAGGATGTGTATTAATTTTCTGTTACTGCTTTAACAAATTGCCACACATCTGGTGGTTTAAAACTACACAAATTATGTAACTTAGTATTCTGGAAGTCAGACTATTGATATTAGTGTTCTTGGGCTAGTATCAAGGTGTCCCTGGTCTGGTTCCTCCTGGAGGCTTTGGAAAACCATTTGTTCCCTTTCCCTTTCCAGTGTCTAGAGGTTGACGGCAATCCTAGGTTCATGACCCCTTCCCTCTTCAGAGCCAGCAATGGAAGGTTGAGTTTTGTTGACGATACATCATCTGACAGAATCTCTGCTGCCTCCTTCTTCTACATTTAAAGGCCTCTTATGATTTAATTGAACCACCTAGATGCCATCTCCTTTTTCAAATTTTTACTTTTTTTGAGATGGAGTCTCTATCTGTGGCCCAGGCTGGAGTGCGGTGGCGCAATCTCTGCTCACTACATCCTCCACCTCCTGGGTTCAAGCGATTCTCCTGCCTCAGCCTCCCGAGTAGCTGGGACTAAAGGCATGCACCTCCATGCGCAGTTAATTTTTATATTTTTAGTAGAGATGGGGTTTCACTATATTGGCCAGGCTAGTCTCGAACTCCTGACCTCAGGTGATCCGTCTGCCTTGGCCTCCCAAAGTGCTGGGATTACAGGCGAGAGCCACTGCACCAGGCTGATAGTCTCCTTATTTTAAGTCAGTTGGTTAGTTACTTGCCCAAAGGCAAATGAGATAAATTTTATTTTTGGCTGGAATGGATCACAAAATCATCATAAAAATGATGAAGCTCAACACTCTTCTTTTAGATAGGTATAATCTGAAACCCAAGAGAGGTCACACAATTTACCCAAAGGTACCTGTGAGGTATCCAGGACTGAAACCTATACTTCCCAACATTCAACCCAGTGTTCTTGCCAATGCAGTGAACGCTTGCATGAAGACTGCTCCTATGCCTCCATTCAGTTCTTAGCCATTACCATTCTATTTTTATGCTTGACATTCGAATCTTGGTTTCATTTACATTGTAGCCCATTATTTAAAGCAGTGCTAATTTATTCATGCAGAGATTACAAATCTTTTTTTAATTTATTCAGTGAACTGATTCACTGAATCAATCACTCAAAACAAAACTCAAAAATTCCCTAGTTCTTGGACATGTTCTGAAATGTAGGACCTTTTAATAAGTGTAGAGCCCCTGTTATGTATATACTAATGGGCTAGTTTAGGAAGATGATGTGAATAAATGTACAATACCATATCTTTGATAATTCAGGACAAGACAACAATAAGGAACCATATAATAATGCAAGTCAAAGTGGGATTAGTTGCCAAATGAAATGACGCAATAAAAATGTTAATAATAAAGTTCAGAGCAGAAGAGAACAAAATGGACTGTTTAGACATGGTGAACTGGATCTTTCTTGCTGGAAAGGATGGAGATTAAAAAAAAATGCAGAAGGAGATGACAGAATGCTCTAAGAAAAGAAATAGTATGAGGAAAGAATTGGAAGTAAAACCTAACATGTTGTTCATAAATATAGTAAGAAAACTGTCCAGCCTGGAGGAAGAGAGTAGCATCAGGAAACGGTGGGTGACAAAGTTGAGTGGAGAGCATAGGATAGTTAGTGGAGAATTCTGAATGCTGTAGTTTGCTTTTGCAAATACGAGAGTCAAGAAATGCTTGTCTTTGTCAATTTTTGCAATGATTTTCAATTTTTATCCAGCAAAAGCAAAATATCTCATTTTCATTGATAAATTTCAGAACAGCTCTTTGTTTTGGCAAAATTATACACAGAGACACAAAATGATCCACTATTAAAAGAACGCCAAAAATAAAACTATGCACTATATATATTTTGTCTAAGTGCCAATAGAATTGAGAAATGAAGAGTGGGGATAATGTATACTGTATCTTTAGGGATGCTCTTCTGAGATAGCTCAACTCATGTTTCCTCAATTCATGCAATCAACAAGTCTGGAATCCTACTCTGTACCAAGTGTTCTGCTAAAAGGAGGGATTGTTAGGGCTGGGAACAATTACCTGCAGAAATTGAGGAATAAGAGTGGACCTGATGGATAAGGTGGCAGGGAGGGGGGCATTCCAAATAAAGGGGAGCAGATAGGCCAAGGAAAAGCTTTGAGGTTAGAATAATTAAATGGGCAATGCCAGTATGCAGGGTGCTTGGAGACTATTGGAAAATGAAACTGAAAGTAGGAGGGAGCCAGATGATGAAGGGCCTTATATACCGTGCTAATTACTTTGAATGTCAAAGCAGTGATCTTTTTTTCTCTTTAAAAATGTTTTAATTGACAAACTTCTATATACTTATGGTTTGTAACATGATATTTTAATAGATGTTTTCTTTTTTTATTTTTATTTTTTAATTTTATTATTATTATACTTTAAGTTTTAGGGTACATGTGCACAGTGTGTGCAGGTTAGTTACATATGTATACATGTGCCATGCTGGTGTGCTGCACCCATTAACTCGTCATTTAGCATTAGGTATATCTCCTAATGCTATCCCTCCCCCCTCCCCCCACCCCACAACAGTCCCCTGTGTGTGATATTCCCCTTCCTGTGTCCATGTGTTCTCATTGTTCAATTCCCACCTATGAGTGAGAACATGCGGTGTTTGGTTTTTTGTCCTTATGATAGTTTGCTGAAAATGATGGTTTCCAGCTTCATCCATGTCTCTACAAAGGACATGAACTCATCATTTTTTATGGCTGCATAGTATTCCATGGTGTATATGTGCCACATTTTCTTAATCAAGTCTATCATTGTTGGACATTTGGATTGGTTCCAAGTCTTTGCTATTGTGAATAGTGCTGCAATAAACATACGTGTGCATATGTCTTTATAGCAGCATGATTTATAGTCCTTTGGGTATATACCCAGTAATGGGATGGCTGGGTCAAATGGCATTTCTAGTTCTACATCCCTGAGGAATCGCCACACTGACTTCCACAATGGTTGAACTAGTTTACAGTCCCATCAACAGTGTAAAAATGTTCCTATTCCTCCACATCCTCTCCAGCACCTGTTGTTTCCTGACTTTTTAATGATTGCCATTCTAACTGGTGTGAGATAGTATCTCATTGTGGTTTTGATTTGCATTTCTCTGATGGCCAGTGATGATGAGCATTTTTTCATGTGTTTTTTGGCTGCATAAATGTCTTCTTTTGAGAAGTGTCTGTTCATATCCTTCACCCACTTTTTGATGGGGTTGTTTGTTTTTTTCTTGTAAATTTGTTTGAGTTCATTGTAGATTCTGGATATTAGCCCTTTGTCAGATGAGTAGGTTGCGAAAATTTTCTCCCATTTTGTAGGTTGCCTGTTCACTCTGATGGTAGTTTCTTTTGCTGTGCAGAAGCTCTTTAGTTTAATTAGATCCCATTTGTCAATTTTGGCTTTTGTTGCCATTGCTTTTGGTGTTTTAGACATGAAGTCCTTGCCCATGCCTATGTCCTGAATGGTAATGCCTAGGTTTTCTTCTAGGGTTTTGATAGTTTTAGGTCTAACATGTAAGTCTTTAATCCATCTTGAGTTAATTTTTGTATAAGGTGTAAGGAAGGGATCCAGTTTCAGCTTTCTACATATGGCTAGCCAGTTTTCCCAGCACCAATTATTAAATAGGGAATCCTTTCCCCATTTCTTGTTTTTCTCAGGTTTGTCAAAGATCAGATAGTTGTAGATATGCAGCGTTATTTCTGAGGGCTCTGTTCTGTTCCATTGATCTATATCTCTGTTTTGGTACCAGTACCATGCTGTTTTGGTTACTGTAGCCTTGTAGTATAGTTTGAAGTCAGGTAGCCTGATGCCTCCAGCTTTGTTCTTTTGGCTTAGGATTGACTTGGTGATGCGGGCTCTTTTTTGGTTCCATATGAACTTTAAAGTAGTTTTTTCCAATTCAGTGAAGAAAGTCATTGGTAGCTTGATGGGGATGGCATTGAATCTATAAATTACCTTGGGCAGTATGGCCATTTTCACAATATTGATTCTTCCTACCCATGAGCATGGAATGTTCCTGCATTTGTTTGTATCCTCTTTTATTTCATTGAGCAGTGGTTTGTAGTTCTCCTTGAAGAGGTCCTTCACATCCCTTGTAAGTTGGATTCCTAAGTATTTTATTCTCTTTGAAGCAATTGTGAATGGGAGTTCACTCATGATTTGGCTCTCTGTCTGTTATTGGTGTATAAGAATGCTTGTGATTTTTGTACATTGATTTTGTATCCTGAGACGTTGCTGAAGTTGCTTATCAGCTTAAGGAGATTTTGGGCTGAGACAATGGGGTTTTCTAGATATACAATCATGTCGTCTGCAAACAGGGACAATTTGACTTCCTCTTTTCCTAATTGAATACCCTTTATTTCCTTCTCCTGCCTAATTGCCCTGGCCAGAACTTCCCACACTATGTTGAATAGGAGTGGTGAGAGAGGGCATTCCTGTCTTGTGCCGGTTTTCAAAGGGAATGCTTCCAGTTTTTGCCCATTCAGTATGATATTGGCTGTGGGTTTGTCATAGATAGCTCTTATTATTTTGAGATACATCCCATCAATACCTAATTGATTGAGAGTTTTTAGCATGAAGGGTTGTTGAATTTTGTCAAAGGCCTTTTCTGCATCTATTGAGATAATCTTGTGGTTTTTGTCTTTGGTTCTGTTTATATGCTGGATTACATTTATTGATTTGCATATATTGAACCAGCCTTGCATCCCAGGGATGAAGCCCACTTGATCATGGTGGATAAGCTTTTTGATGTGCTGTTGGATTCGGTTTGCCAGTATTTTATTTAGGATTTTTGCATCAATGTTCATCAAGGCTATTGGTCTAAAATTCTCTTTTTTGGTTGTGTCTCTGCCAGGCTTTGGTATCAGGATGATGCTGGCCTCATAAAATGAGTTAGGGAGGATTCCCTCTTTTTCTATTAATTGGAATAGTTTCAGAAGGAATGGTACCAGTTCCTCCTTGTACCTCTGGTAGAATTCGGCTGTGAATCCATCTGGCCCTGGACTCTTTTGGTTGGTAAGCTATTGATTATTGCCACAATTTCAGATCCTGTTATTGGTCTATTCAGAGATTCAACTTCTTCCAGGTTTAGTCTTGGGAGAGTGTATGTGTTGAGGAATTCATCCATTTCTTCTAGATTTTCTAGTTTATTTGCATAGAGGTGTTTGTAGTATTCTCTGATGGTAGTTTGTATTTCTGTGGGATCGGTGGTGATATCCCCTTTATCATTTTTTATTGCGTCTATTTGATTCTTCTCTCTTTTTTTCTTTATTAGTCTTGCTAGTGGTCTATCAATTTTGTTGATCCTTTCAAAAAACCAGCTCCTGGATTCATTAATTGTTTGAAGGGTTTTTTGTGTCTCTATTTCCTTCAGTTCTGCTCTGATTTTAGTTATTTCTTGCCTTCTGCTAGCTTTTGAATGTGTTTGCTCTTGCTTTTCTAGTTCTTTTAATTGTGTTGTTAGGGTATCAATTTTGGATCTTTCCTGCTTTCTCTTGTGGGCATAAATTTCCCTCTACACACTGCTTTGAATGTGTCCCAGAGATTCTGGTATGTTGTGTCTTTGTTCTCGTTGGTTTCAAAGAACATCTTTATTTCTGCCTTCCTTTCGTTATGTACCCAGTAGTCATTCAGGAGCAGGTTGTTCAGTGTCCATGTAGTTGAGTGGTTTTGAGTGAGTTTCTTAATCCTGAGTTCTAGTTTGATTGCACTGTGGTCTGAGAGACAGTTTGCTATAATTTCTGTTCTTTTACATTTGCTGAGGAGTGCTTTACTTCCAAGTATGTGGTCAATTTTGGAATAGGTGTGGTGTGGTGCTGAAAAAAATGTATATTCTGTTGTTTTGGGGTGGAGAGTTCTGTAGATGTCTATTAGGTCCGCTTGGTGCAGAGCTGAGTTCAATTCGTGGGTATCCTTGTTAACTTTCTGTCTTGTTGATCTGTCTAATGTTGACAGTGGGGTGTTAAAGTCTCCCATTATTATTGTGTGGGAGTCTAAGTCTCTTTGTAGGTCACTCAGGACTTGCTTTATGAATCTGGGTGCTCCTGTATTGGGTGCATATATATTTAGAATAGTTAGCTCTTCTTGTTGAATTGATTCCTTTACCATTATGTAATGGCCTTGTTTGTCTCTTTTGATCTTTGTTGGTTTAAAGTCTGTTTTATCAGAGACTAGGATTGCAACCCCTGCCTTTTTTTGTTTTCCATTTGCTTGGTAGATCTTCCTTCATCCTTTTATTTTGAGCCTATGTGTGTCTCTGCACGTGAGATGGGTTTCCTGAATACAGCACACTGATGTGTCTTGACTCTTTATCCAATTTGCCAGTCTGTGTCTTTTAGTTGGAGCATTTAGTCCATTTACATTTAAAGTTAATATTGTTATGTGTGAATTTGGTCCTGTCCTTATGATGTTAGCTGGTTATTTTGCTCGTTAGTTGATGCAGTTTCTTCCTAGCCTTGATGGTCTTTACAATTTGGTATGATTTTGTAGTGGCTGGTACTGGTTGTTCCTTTCCATATTAGTGCTTCCTTCAGGAGCTCTTTTAGGGCAGACCTGGTGGTGACAAAATCTCTCAGCATTTGCTTGTCTGTAAAGTATTTTATTTCTCCTTCACTTATGAAGCTTAGTTTGGCTGGATATGAAATTCTGCGTTGACAATTCTTTTCTTTAAGAATGTTGAATATTGGCCCCCACTCTCTTCTGGCTTGTAGAGTTTCTGCCGAGAGATCCACTGTTATTCTGATGGGCTTCCCTTTGTGGTTAACCCGACCTTTCTCTCTGGCTGCCCTTAACATTTTTTCCTTCATTTCAACTTTGGTGAATCTGACAATTATGTGTCTTGGAGTTGCTCTTCTCGAGGAGTACCTTTGTGGCATTCTCTGTATTTCCTGAATCTGAATGTTGGCCTGCCTTGCTTGATTGGGGAAGTTCTCCTGGATAATATCCTGCAGAGTGTTTTCCAACTTGGTTCCATTCTCCCCGTCACTTTCAGGTACACCAATCAGATGTAGATTTGGTCTTTTCACATAGTCCCATATTTCTTGGAGGCTTTGTTCATTTCTTTTTATTCTTTTTTCTCTAAACTTCCCTTCTCGCTTCATTTCATTCATTTCATCTTCCATCACTGATACCCTTTCTTCCAGTTGATCGCATCGGCTCCTGAGGCTTCTGCATTCTTCATGTTGTTCTCGAGCCTTGGCTTTCAGCTCCATCAGCTCCTTTAAGGACTTCTCTCCATTGGTTATTCTAGGTATCCATTCATCTAATTTTTTTTCAAAGTTTTTAACTTCTTTGCCATTGGTTTGAATTTCCTCCTGTAGCTTGGAGTAGTTTGATCGTCTGAAGTCTTCTTCTCTCAACTCGTCAAAGTCATTCTCCATCCAGCTTTGTTCCATTGCTGGTGAGGAACTACGTTCTTTTGGAGGAGGAGAGGTGCTCTACTTTTTAGAGTTTCCAGTTGTTCTGCTCTGTTTTTTCCCCATCTTTGTGGTTTTATCTACTTTTGGTCTTTGGTGATGGTGATATACAGATGGGTTTTTGGTGTTGATGTCCTTTCTGCTTGTTAGTTTTCCTTCTAACAGACAGGACCCTCAGCTGCAGGTCTGTTGGAATTTGCTAGAGGTCCACTCCAGACCCTGTTTGCCTGGGTATCAGCAGCAGTGGCTGCAGAGCAGTGGATTTTCATGAACCGCGAATGCTGCTGTCTGATTGTTCCTCTGGAAGTTTTGTCTCAGAGGAGTACCCGGCTGTTTGAGGTGTCAGTCTGCCCCTACTGGGGTGTGCCTCCCAGTTAGGCTGCTCAGGGGTCAGGGACCCACTTGAGGAGGCAGTCTGCCTGTTCTCAGATCTCCAGCTGCGTGCTGGGAGAACCACTGCTCTCTTCAAAGCTGTCAGACAGTGTCATTTAAGTCTGCAGAGGTTACTGCTGTCTTTTTGTTTGTCTGTGCCCTGCCCCCAGAGGTGGAGCCTACAGAGGCAGGCAGGCCTCCTTGAGCTGTGGTGGGCTCCACCCAGTTCGAGCTTCCCGGCTGCTTTGTTTACCTAAGCAAGCCTGGGCAATGGTGGGCGCCCCTCCCCCAGCCTGGCTGCCACCTTGCAGTTTGATCTCAGACTGCTGTGCTAGCAATCAGGGAGACTCCGTGGGCGTAGGACCCTTTGGGCCATGTGCGGGATATAATCTCCTGGTGCGCCATTGTTTAAGCCCATCGGAAAAGCACAGTATTAGGGTGGGAGTGACCCGATTTTCCAGGTGCCGTCTGTCACCCCTTTCTTTGACTAGGAAAGGGAACTCCCTGACCCCTTTTGCTTCCCGAGTGAGGTAATGCCTCGCCCTGCTTCGGCTTGCGCATGGTGCGCTGCACTCACTGTCCTGTGCCCACTGTCTGGCACTCCCTAGTGAGATGAACCCAGTACCTCAGATGGAAATGCAGAAATCACCCGTCTTCTGCATCACTCACGCTGGGATCTGTAGACCGGAGCTCTTCCTATTCGGCCATCTTGGCTGCCCTTTAATAGATGTTTTCATTGTGGAATGGATAAAGTGAATTATCATATGTATTACCTCACATAGTTTTATTTGTAATGAGAACATTTAAAGTTTACTGTTTTAGTAATTTTCAAGAATATAATATATTTTATTAATTATACCTACCCTAATATACAATTGATATCTTAAACTTATTCCTACTGTCTAACTGAAATTTTGTATTCCTTGACCAACATCTCCTCAACCATTCCCTTTCCGTAGCCTCTGGGAATCACCATTCTACTGTACGTTATAAGTTTGACCTTTTTTAGACTCCACTTATAAATGAGATTATGTAGTATTTATCTTTCTGTGTCGGACTTATTTTACTTAAAATAATGTTCCCCAGGTTTATCCATGTTTTTGCAAATGACAGAATTTCCTTATTTTTAAGGCTGAATAGTATTCCTTTGCATATGTATATATATACATATATATATATGCAAAAAACAAATATGTATATGTATTCGTTTATTTGTTGGTGGACACTTACGTTAATTCTGTATCTCGTACATTGTAAATAATGCTGAAATGAACATAGAGGTACAGATATCTCTTCAACATATTGATTCCAATTCTTTTGACTACATACTGAGAAGTGGAATTGCTGGGTCCTATGGTAGTTCTGCTTTTAATTTTTAGAGAAAATTCCATATTGTTTTCTGCAATGGCTGTAGTAATTCACATTTCCATCAACAGTGTGTAATGGCTCCCTTTTGTCCACATTCTTGCCAACACTTATTATCTTTCATTTTTTTTTTTTTTAACAAATGCTGTTCTAACAGGTGAGAAGTGATATCCCATTGTGGTTTTCATTTGCATTTACCCAGTGACTAGTGATATTGAGCATTTTTTTTTCATGTAACTGTTGGCTATTCATTTGCATGCTTTCTTTTTTTTTTTTTTTTTTTTCAGCTCTTATTGTAGGTCCGGGAGTTACAAGTGCAGGTTTGTTACATGAATAAATAGTGTCGCTGAGGCTTAACCCTGTCACCAAGGTAGTGAGCATAGTGCCCGGTAGGCAGGCAGACTTCCAAGCCATCCCCCTTTCTCCCCTCCCACCTCTATTGTTCCCATCTTTGTGTCCATGTGTATTTAATATTCAGCTCCTACTTATAAGTGAGAACATGTGGTATTTAGTTTTCTTTTCCTGCATTAGTTCACTTAGGATAATGGCCTCCAGCTGCATCCATGTTGCGCAAAGGACATGATTTCATTCTTTTTTATGGCTGAGTAGGATTCTATGGTGTATGTGTACCACATTTTCTTTATCGAGTCCATCGGTGGGCATTGATGGGCATCTTGGTTGATTTCATATTTTTACTATTATGAATAGCACTGAAGTGAACATAGGAGTACATGTGTCTTTTGGGTAGCATGATCTATTTTCCTCTGAGTATATATCCAATAGAGGGATTGCTGGGTTGAATGGTAGTTCTGTGTTCCATTCTTTGGGAAATCTCCATACTGCTTTCCACAGTGGCCAAGCTAATTTATATTCCTACCAGCAATATATAAATGTTCCCTTTTCTCTGCAACCTTGCCAGCGTCTGTTATTTTTCAACTTTTTAATAATAGCCATTCTGATTGGTGTGACATAGTATCTCATGGTGCTTTTGATTTGCATTTCTTTAATGATTAGTGATGATTAGCATTTTTTCATCTTTTTATTGGTTGTGTGAATGTCTCCTTTTGAGAAGTGCCTGTTCATGAGCTTTGTAGGGCGGTGATTTCTAGACACATTCCATGGTGTTCTGGAAGTTCCCTTATTAAGGGAGCAGTGTGTAGTGTTATGGGGAACAGTGCAGGTTGTGGAGAAATAGAAGAGGCTTCAGACACTCTCCCATTGCTCAACCAATGCTTAATATAAGAATTTTTATTTGCTTATGCTCTTACGTAAGTATGTAAACAAAAGTTTTCAGGGCCAAAATGATTATAAACCACTGGAAGAAAAAGGAAGCTGTAAGATTTTGAAAAAGACAAAATCAGGTGCAATTTGAGGAAACTACTCTGAATTCCAGAATAGAGTATTAGTCTCCAATCTGAAGTGGCTGTTCCCCAAAGTATATTGGATTGAATGGGTTGTTGTCAACTGGCACCATCAGCTCCAGTATCTTCTGAGGCTGGGAAATACATTTCTTGGAATTGCCTTCTTAGTAGAGTAATGTTTTAGAGTTTTCTGAGGAGAGGAACTTGGGGAAATTTAGAAGGTAGAGGTGAAGCAAAAAGCATCATATGCAGAAGGTCCTGGGGTGCCCAGGGATGGTCCCGCACAGCAGTTTTCTGAGAATTCTGTAGGAGCTCCCACTTCACTGTCCTTATTTGTGGTCAGTTCTACTGCTTCTGAGACTTACCTGCAAACTCCAACTCAGCATTTCTACTTCAAGCTGAAGCTGTGTTTCTCTAGTCCTGACTCTCCCCTTCTAGACCCACCTGTGCTTCCTAGCTTCTCAGGTAAGCTGTAATTCTTCAATGACTCCTCCAATGCTTGTAGCATCCTTTATCTTGACAGTACACAGGATGATACATGTATGTGTCAAATAATTCATTGAATGGGGAAGATCATCTTAGAACTTCTATTTACGTTTATCTTTTAATCTGTCCATTTAAACATTTTTAATGTGTATAAACATCTTATTATATATATATAATAGCAAAAAAATGTGCATACTTATAAAGAAATCAATGTGCAGGTATGGAGGTGTGTGCTCAATGTTTTCACTCACAGGGGTGTGAAGTTTTAAAAGTTTGGAGAATAGTGGTAGAAAAATGACCTTGGGAGGGAGGACAAAACTGAAGACAAAACATTCCATCCGTAGGCTATTACAGAAGTAGTACTGGAGAGAATTTATGAGCATCTGAAGTAAGGCAGTGGCAGGGGCAGTCCTGATGAAAGTGGTATTTAGGATGTTAAATAATAGGAAGCAGCAACTGATAGATCACCTTTTGAGGAGTCAAAGAGAAGGACACTTTACACAGCTTCTATGCTTGCAGTTTAGCTGCTCCCATTCACAGTGCAAAGGCTGCTGAGTTTTTTATTTGTTCTTCCCAGGTCAACAATTTAGAAAAGCAGCCAGTCCACCAAAACCAAGTAAGGTTTATCTCAGGAACGTGAGGGATGATATGAGAAAAACACTCTCTCAAATCTATCTTATAAGAACCTTAAAAGAAAATGATTCTAGGAGCAAAAGCTAATTTTCTACCCAAATTTTGTCTTGGCTTTTAAGTTGGCTTGGCCCAGAAATGGCTTACATCACCACCACCACTTTTTTTTCCTCACACTCTTTCTGCTCCTATCAGTCGAATGTAGACAACAATAAGGACTTAGGAGTTAATACGGATACAAGGTGGAAGGAGTCTGGGTCCCCGAATTACCTTCTGGAGGAGAGCCACCTGCCTTTCTGTAATATGACTAAGAAGTAAGACTTCCATTCTGTTGGACGCCAAAATATATATCAGTGTAAGCCAATATAGCTGTGTAGTCTACCTTAAATATGACAGGGATTATTATAATAGGAGCCCCAAAGTATGCAATAATAGTAAATAATCATTGCTGATACAAACTTGTGGAAAACAGTTACTTTCTTAACAAGAGGTCCATGGACTTCCAGGGGGTCCATGAACAGAATAAAATTTGGTTGGAAAGAAAATTACATTTTTATTTTGGCATTCCTTTCCATTATGAACACAGGCAACAAATCAAGTGTTATTGGCAGTTCTTGTGACTTGTCACCAATAGAAAACACAGATTTTTCCCCATCATATTACAGCTGTTGCAGATATCTCATAAGGTCATTTCTCCTTGTCACTAATTCAAAATTATAGCAGCATTAGACTGCTGTTCAATTTTGTAATTTAATGCATTAATAAAAAGTATATATGTCACAAACTTTAAAAATGTTTTGACAAATGTGTTTCAAAATAATTGAGTTTTTAGTAACTATATATATTTTATGCATTTAAAAACATAATTCTGAAAAGGGGCCCATGGCATAAAAAAGGCTAAGGGCCCCTGAAAGATATTTTTTCAATGTAGCAAAGAATAGCTAATGTAAACAAGAGTTGCTGCTTCCAAATTTTATATTTCTAGTTTGAATAATAACTAAGATGTAATAAAGAAACAGAATTATAACAGTTAAAAAACTCATAGTATTTCTTAAGTGCCAGAATAATATTAAATAATTTGTAATAATATAATATGATAAAATAACAAAAATTAAAAAAAACCTGTGCATATCTGTGTATGTTTGGACATATGCACATACATGTTTGTAACCTTTTTTATTGAGGGCAACCATAGCCATTATACCCATTAAGACTTCTTTTGGGATGTTTCTTTCTAATTCATTCGTACAATCACTTTATAAATAGTAGAATTCAAGTTAAAGTATTTACAATATTCTTGAGCTTCACCAAACCATATAAGCAGGTGTTAATAGCCACTTTATTCAGGAATCATGCTGGGGATTGCAATACTAAAATTTTTAATTTCGTCTAAATTTTATTAGCCTAAAAATATACTAGTGCACTTTTTCTAAATCCAGAATTCAAAGGCTTCTTGAACTTTTAGTTTTCAAACGTAGGAGAACATACTCTGAGCCACCTGCCATATAAAGACTTGTATTATCAAGCCTTTTCATTTATGACTGTGGGATACCTAAAAAAATCATTTATCAAAATCACTTTAAATCATGTTCCAATCACTTCCTTATAATCAACAGGCCCACCCTTCAATAAAATATCCAAAAGCCATTTCCAAAAGTGAGAAGCTTGACCAGTGATTTTCATGAAGCAGTAGGGCATGAAAGATTGGAACTTTCATATGAAAAAGACTTGAGTTTGGATTCCTAGTCCATTACTTAGAAATGTTGTGAGCTTAAATAATTTACTTATTTTTTTCTGAGTTTCGATTTCCTCCTCAGGAACTGGAGATACTATCACTTATCCCATACTGTTTTTATGACTATTAAATGAGATACAGTACTTCTGTAAATTTTAACAGTAAATGCATGTGAAAAAATGGTTAATTTCCAATCTCCTACTGACCGTAAATGGAATCATGACAATAGATGTGAACAGTTTGACTTTTGCGAAGACCTAGCAAAATCTCTATGGAGGGAACTATTTTGCACTAATGTAGGACTTTTAAAAACTTGGCTTTTTAAACACACAGTATCTGTCACTACAAATACTGATATTTTGAAGACCTGTGTTCTCTCACAGTGTATGTATATAAGTTTTTAAACTATTGAGGTGGAATTCTGTTGGATACAGTGTTTGCATGTTGAGTTTTGAGGTACTGCACACTTCGCCAACAGGAAACCATTTCAAATGCCAATAAAAACTTTCCAAAAAAAAACATCTCTGGGCATGTAATGGCTGATTAAGTCTAAAGCAGTGAATTCTGTGATTACTTAACACACTATCTGTGTATGTACAGCTAGTAGGAGTGCTCCATTTATTTGTTTTGGATGTGATGAATTGTTTGTGATGGTATTACTTTTCCAAAGTTGTGGTGAGATTAAATACTAAAGTGTTCTGCCAAATACATGTCCTCTTGAAGATGTTTGTATTATAATTTTAGGAAAATATATTTGGGGGTAATTTTTACTGTTTAGTTGTCCACAAAATTTGTACACATTCAGAGGTCAGATAATAAGAACAGCTAAAATTTACTGACCTCTTCCACAGGAATAGTAAGAAATGGCTTGCATATGTCATCCCTCCTAAACCTTAAATCTTCTCATGAGATGGGTATTAACAGAAGTGGAACTTGCCCAAGGTCAGAAAACTTGTAAATAGCACAACTGAGATCCAGACTCAGGAGTTTTTTTCCAAACCCCAGTCTCTTAACCACGATGCTGTACAGTCCTTTGATTTTGGATGAGTATCTGGATAACTGAACTAGTCATGATATTTCATGCATGTTGTAATGTTGAGAAATTTCAGAATCCTAAAACAGTTGTTAAAGGTTGGAACATAAGAATGAGCATGAAAATATTATAAGCGACTTGATTTCCTAGAACCAAATGGAAATTAAAATAGTACATGATCACGTAGCAAATTATTAGCATACATCAGAGAACAAAAGATAAGCAGAGCATAACTGCTGAGAGGTATGATGACAAAGCCTGTCAAAACTCTTTCCAATGGGTCTGAAAATCTTTATTGTTTTGATCCCACCCCTACCACACCCTCTCTCCTGAGCTGTGGAAGATCGGTGGGTTAAATTCTATCATCAAATGCAATAATGGAGTTTCAAATATTCAAGTTGAGTGAGGTATGCTTGTCATTCAACTTTACATCCTCTATCCTGACTACTCTCTGAATTCTAGGTTCCCAACTCTAAGTATATGCAGATATTCACCACCATTTTAACTTTACCACATAAATGTAAGAGGGCTATATGCTGCAAACTAGTACTTGGTAGTGAGACCACCAGGCTAGGCATTAGGGTCCAAGGCCCAATTGCTTGTGTTCCAGTCCTGGCTCTGCCATTCAATATCCATGCGACTTTAAACTCATCACCTGGCCTCTCTCTGCTTCAGGTTTCTGATCCATGAAATGGGAATAATAATACTTATTTCATGGGGTTGTTATGAAGATTATATGCATTATGTATAAAGCACTTAGCTAAGTGCTGGGCACAGTAAGCACGATGAAAATGTTGGCTTGTTACTATTATTACCAGTGCTATTATTATTATTATTCTTTTAGTCATCCATGTTGAAAACTGCAGTCTTTTGTTTGGATTGCTGGAAGTGGGATTGGACAGCAAGACCTAGGGAGCAGTCAGTTCCTGCTTTAATTTCTACTTTGGAATATTTATTTCATTCTTACGGCCACCACCCTAATTTAGGCCTCTATTACCTTTGAGTTACCCCATTACAACAGTAGTCTTTTTGTTGCCAGTTACTTTTTGCCTACAGTTTATATCCTATACCACCAGGAGATCTATCTTTCCAAAAGTTGATTTAATCGAATTATTCTTCTGCTTGAAAACCTTCAATGTTTAATGCTATAGCATATCGGTGAATTCCTTATTCTGGAACTAAAAATTCCTTCAATCTAGCCCCAAGGTGTCTTTCTAGCCTCATTTCCCAAGTCCTTGCAGTCAAGGAAACTCTAGGTAAACCAGTCCACTCTCTTGTGTTAGTCTCATGTTTTAGCTCCTGGAATATCCTCTGCTCACTATTCAAATCCCGCCTGCCTTTCAAGGGCCAGCTGAGATTTCCTCTCCTCCAAGAGTCTCTAGACATGCCATAAGCTCTACGACTTGGAGCAGACATGAAGTATGTCAGCATCAAACGTCAAACTTTACTAATTCAGAGTGGACGTATATTGGATATGATTAAGTAAAAAGCAAAGGAAAGGTGTAGAGTTTGAGAAAACCTCTGTGAATCATAAAATTTTAAATGATTTAATTATTTTTATACCGTGTTAGTCCGTTTGGGCTGGTTTGACAGAATACCACAAACTGGGTAATTTATAGTTAGAGGTAAACTTGAACAATTTGGGTTTGAACTGCCCGGGTCCACTCATATTCAGATTTCCTTCTGCCTCTGCCACCCCTGAGACAGCAAGAACAATCCCTCCTCTACCTCCTCCTCCTCAGCCTTCTCAACATGAAGACAATGAGGATGAAGACCTTCATGAGGAGCCCCTTCCACTTAATAAAGAGTAAATATATTTTCTCTTCTTCATGATTTTTTTTTTAACATTTTCTTTTCTCTAGTTTATTTCCCAGCACTTTGGGAGGCCTAGGCGGCGGATCACGAGGTCAGGAGATCGAGACTATCCTGGCTAACATGGTGAAACCCCGTCTCTACTAAAAATACAAAAAGTAGCCGGGCGTGGTGGCAAGTGCCTGTAGTCCGAGCTCCTCAGGAGGCTGAGGCAGGAGAATGGCGTGAACCCAGGAGGCTGAGGCAGGAGAATGGCGTGAACCCAGGAGGCGGAGCTTGCAGTGAGCTGAGATCGCGCCACTGCACTCCAGCCCAAGGAAAAAAAAAATTCAGAATGTAATACATTTAACATACAAAATATGTTAACTACTCATGTTGCCAACAAGGCTTCCAGTCAACAGTAGGCTGTCAGTAGTTCAGTTTCTGGGGAGTCAAAAGTTATATGTGGATTTTTGACTCAGCCTGGGGTTGGGGTGGTCGGCACCCCTAATCCCCCTCTTGAACTGTAATAGAAATTTCTCACTGTTCAGGGTGCTGGCAGATGGGGTGTGTGGTAAGGGCTCTTTCTCTGCTTCCAAGATGGTGCTTTGTTGCTGCACCGTCTGCAGGGATGAACAGTGTCCTCACATGGCAAAGGGAGGGAAGGGTAGAAGGGTCAAGGCGCTCTCTGAAAAGGGCATTAATCCCATTCACAAGGCAGAGTCCTCATAACTTAATCACTCTCCCAAAGGCTCCACCTCTTAATATTACCAACTTGGTGTTTGAGTTCCCACCTATGAATTTTGGAGGGACAGGTACATTAAAACCATACAGCGATGGCAGGCAATGATAGAAGTAGCAAAGGGCTTGCTGTAATCTATTTTAATAAGTAGAAGGCATTGTGTACAACAGAATGCCTGACATAATTGTTCAAGATCAAATTAATAGCCCCATCATCTCAAGTATCTATGCTGCTATGTGACAGATGCATTCCTAGGAAATCTTGCATGATAAAAAAAAATTAATAGACCAAACAGGAATTTTAAATGCATACCATTATTGTTTCTGAAGAAATTTCAATAATAAAGGTGCTTTCTTATACCCGTAAGTGTATAACTATGAAACCTAAATATTAATGAGCAAATATAGTATTTTATCATATCAAAAGACCTTTCTTTATTAGTCCTGGCACTACCACTAGCCAGAACTTCTTGCCATTTATATAATCACCGATACAATAAATGGAGCAGAGCTGCTCAAATAAAGAGTACAATGAGTTTCCCTTTTCAGAGTGGAGAAGCTTCCTAATTAAGACTGCATTGCAAATACATTACCATGTAATGCAAATTGATGGAATTATAAAAGTCTATACTGTAATTAAAAATTTTTTTCATAAAAAATAAAATGTTAAAGTCACTTACCTGAATTATCAGAAATTGCCAATTAGACAAGAAGTAGTTCATGGACTAAGACCCAGAAAAGCTGTATTCTAGATTTGCCAATTCTAACCTTGGGCAAATCATTAAACTTTTCAAGGCTTGAGTTTTCTCATCCAAGAAATAAAGGGCAGGACTAGACAATTTTTAAGACCTCCCAAATCAATATTTTTATACTCTTTTATTTTTCTTGTCTACAAGGCTATTATTTGTGTGAAGTTATGTTACTTACTTACTTTGACCTTGAAGTTCAATGTGTCTATTCCCACATAACTTTTCAAATAATTAGAATATAATTTCTTAATATTAAAATAATTATAAATCTTGAGTTTTCTTTTACTATTCACAAGACACTTTGGATTTTGCCATGGTCTGTTCTAAATACTGCATAGTAACATGACAAAATTGAATTGGTTCATTTTTTCATGCAGTTTCTCTGCATTTCACATAGTATGTTTTTAATGACTCTGTAACACCATAATACATTACTACACTTCTAAAGTTCAATAGTTTACCCTTACTAATTTTTTGCTTTCATGTCAGAGCCACACTCCCCCCCCGCTTTTTTTTTTTTTTTGGCAGGAATGGAGGCACTAAATAATTGCTTAACAACTAAAAATTAATTTTAAATCTCAGATCATGTCGGATCTTTTGACTAAACACAGTACTCCCAATTCCAGGATTTCTTGACTGCGTGCTGGTGAGAAAGAATTTGACCATCTCACACCAGGTCTTTTTGCTGCCTCTTGCCTTATTTCCCTAAGTGCCTAGGAGTGCTCCCTTATCTTTCTTCTGATTCAAGACACTAGATTGTATTGTGACACAGATTGATACTTTTCTAGAAACTCACAATTTTAAAAATGATAAAAATTACATGTATAATGATTGAACAACATGACCCTGCATCAGGCATTCATTTTCTATTTCATAGCTCAAGTAATGGCATCTAGGAAATAGCACTAGAAAAAAATGCTAGTTTCTAAAAAGTCAAAACAATGAAGTAATTATCAATGTACAGGAACTTTTCTTTCTAAATGGTTTACATTTCAAACATGCAGAATTGATAAGGTAATTTTTTTTTTCTTGGCCAAACTACAAGCCTCAAATTTGAGGAATTTCAAGGTAATTAAATGGTGCCACCTATTGGCCAAATGTATCACTGCAGCCTATCTTTTTAAATATAGAGGATGTTCAATAAAGTTGGCAAAATCCTAAGTGCAAAATTAGAGGTTCTTATCCATTTGAGACAGTCACATTTGTGAATAAATTTTAATGCAATATTTTAAATTAGATAACATATCTCAAATATATAGCTATTTTGTTGTTAGAAGGTTTGTCCACAAGGGGGGTGTGTGTGTGTATGTATGAATAAGAAATACATATATATGCTCATGAAAAGGACACTCATTGTAGCATTAGGTTATTTTTCACTCTGAAATGGAGGGGCATACTGGAAAAGCTAATAGCTAAAGGCAATCCTGGACTTACAATAGCTCTTTCTGCTGGTTGGGACTAAACAGTACCTACAACACTGGGGATCTAGTATTGGAAATGACTGTAATAGTTTTTTCATACAACTTATGGAATTAGTTAATCTCAGTGATTTTCAGTTATCCTTCATAATACAGTATCAGAAAAGGGGTTCTCATAGTAGGCTTCTACAGAGTCTTTAACTTGCCCATGAAAATAAATGTCACTTTAAAATGAAAGCCAGAATTAATTTAAGAAGCAGGCCACGAGTTCTGGTAGCCCTAAAGAATAAACTGCTTCTTTTTTGCTTTATTGTGACTCTCCTAATTTGTTGAGAGGAATATTAGTTGTATCTCTATTTTAGATTCCATGACCAACTTGCAGGTTTTTTTTTTCAATATGCTAAAATATTTTTTGCTTCTTAGAGACACTGTCTTGAATTAACATGGACTTTTGGCTAATCTACATAAAACTACACTGTAGGTTAACCTACATTTATTCTAAAAAAACTGTAACATAAATAGAGAGCAATCTAGAAGCCAAGTGCTCATTCATTTGAGATTAATTGCCTCTTCAGATCACTAATTCATGCTCCAGTGTCCCAGGAGAGTTATTTCCCATGAGTGACCACTTGACTCAGAAGGTATTTTAACTCATCCAGGCTTCGTACAGGACAAATCTTATTACTGTAACTTAGTTACACGGCCATAAACATAGTTTCCCTTTCTCTTTCTCAGCTTGTTTACTTAGTACCAGAAGAAAGTCTCCTCTGTGACCACTGGTGACTTAACTCAGTTTGAATGGGCACAAATCCAGCAACTGACAACATTGTGTGACACTGAAAATTGAGTTCATATTATTTAAAATAACTTTAAACAAGGGTAAATGAAGTCACATTCACTGTAAGCAAACAAGGAATAGACCTCATGTCCTTCTGCAATCAAAAAGGGATGTGAAAAATAAAATTCTTATAAAATTGTTGTTGATTTCAATGTCGAAGATCTTAGTCACAAATTTAAAACAAACAGGAGAGATAAAATAGCAATTAATGAACAGTAACCATGAACCTTCAAAGGCAACAACCTGAAATTATAAACTGATGAGCCATGGAGGCACTATTTAACCCGGGAAGTGCTGCTTTTCTAGGGTGCTCAAAGCTTGTACTCTTTTTGGCTTTAGTATTTTTTTTAATTTTGAGTCCCTCTACAATTTTACCATTAAAAATAACTGTCATTTGATAGCAATGTTGTCATTCACACAGTCACCAGATTCAGCAAATATAAAAAGGAAGACACTAAGATAAATTTGAATTTCAGATACAAATTTTTTTTTAGTATATGTACTATTCAATATTTGGGAGACAGGCAGTGTATTTCATTAAATATACTATCACAATTGTGCTGATAAAATAGTGCTACAATTGTAAAACAGGTTAAACTAGTCTGAAACTATGGTCATGCATATCTTAACTACGGGGATATGTTCTGAGAAATGGGTAGTTAGGAGACTTCATCATTGTGTGAATATCAAGAGTGTACAAAACCTGGATTGTATAACCTACTATACACCTGGGTTCTAATAGTATAGGCTATTGCTCCTAGGCTAAAAACCTGTACAGCATGTTACTGTACTGAATACTGTAGGCAACTGTAACACAATGTTTTTGTGTATCTAAACATAGAAAAGTACAGTAAAAATAGGACTACTATCATATTTGTGGTCCAACCTTGACAGAAACGTTGTTATATGGTGCATGACTTCAATTAAAGATCTCTACACCAGGTTTTTGGATTAAAGCGGATACATGACAAAGCTCCAGTTTGACCTCAACAAATCTAGATTTACTCTTCTGAATCATCATTAAGTTGATCAGCATCTAATTCACATCTATTACTGAACATCTATGTGACAGGAACTGTGCTCAACCATTCTTCCTGTAACAAAACTGGACTTCCTGGCAGGCACTTGTTCGTGAAGTCTGTGACAAGGATGACTTTAAACTATTTAAAAACTACTAAAAATTAAATTTGTAGCAAAATGGCATATACAGCTACAACATAAGCTATGAGTACAAACCAGTGTTTAAAAAGTTTAATACCTATTTTTGTACTACTGAATTGCCACTCATTTTAAATAGAGTGGCAATTTAATGACACAAAATCTTTATACTAGGAGATGTAAGAAGTTGTAACTTAAATATAATCCTATCTACATAAAATTAAAGCAATTAGAGACTCTATTTTTATATAGAACGAGATCAAAGCAGATTATAGCATTGCAACCCTACCTGTTTAGTCTATTTTCATTTAAAGGAAACAAAGTTAGTGACTATGCCATTTCATATAAATACACTGTGCCCAAAATGCAACATTTCATGAAATAACTGAAACAGTGAAAGAACTGTTAGATTGATTGAGAGGAAATCTACATGGATGACTCAATGTTAGAAACCCTAAGCATGATTTAACTATCCAAGGATTAAGAGGTTCTGGGAAAACTCTTAAAAGCTCTTGGCAAAAATGATCATGCTATAAATAATGTAAACCATGTCTAATAACAGTAAGAAAAATAAAATGCTTTGAAAACTTGTTTTATATAATGTAAGCATTAATGTATAATTAAAACTCTAGCTAAACGTTTAAAAAGAAAATAATTTTGCTTCAAAATTTCCTTTACCTATAAATTTTAGTTCCTTTTTAAAAACTGGACTCAGTTTAAGGGCCCTTTGCTGGCATCATTTATTTTTGAATAGGTTCTCCCACTATTTTAAGAGTGGATTTGATTGTATTTTTAAAAACTTTATTGGAGTATACTACACATACAAAAAAGTGCACCTAAGTTTGTACAACTGAATTCATCATGTGGTCAATACTCAAATTCAGAAAAACATAACAGAACACAAAACATTACCAACATTCCAGAATCCTTTTTGTCCTTTCTTCCAGTCAATTCTTCCTTTCCCAAGGGTAAGCACTATCCTGACTTGTAGCAGCATAGTTGTGTTTTTGTATTTCATATTAATAGAATTACATAGGATGTACTACTGCGTCTGGCTTCTTTGGTATATTGTTTATTACTTTCATCCATTTTGTTGCTAGTTATAAAGCATTTATTCTCATTATTATATAGTATCCCATTACGTGAATGTGACACAACTGAATTGACAAAAATAATTCTAGTGTGCATTTGAGTAGTTTCTTACTTTTGGTTATTTAGCACCGGTATAGACTTTTACATGAGTAAACATCTTTTGGTGAATATATACATACATAAACACACACACACACACATATATGCATTTCCGGTTGGTCTATACCTCAGAGTGAAAGTGCCAGGTCCTAGGGCACATTGAGCCTTAGAACTGTCAGTTTTCCAAAGTATTTATACCACTTTACATTCCCATCAACAGAATTTTAGGTTGTTCTACATCTATAACTTGGTGTATTTATTTTTTCATTTTTCATTCTGGTAGAGATGTAGTAGTGGTATCGCATTGTAGGTTTAATTTACATTTCTGATGATTAATGAAGTATGGCACCTTACCGTGTTTACCGACCATTTGAGTATCTTTCTTTGTAAATGTTTATTTTTCTGGTGGTTATTTGTTTACTGATTTTAGGAGTCTTTATATATTTTGAATACAAGCTGTTTATTGGATATGTATATTGCCAGATTGTTGAGTATGTATTTATCTTTAACTCTGCTAGCTGCCTTCTCCTTCATGATGTCTTTTGATGAATTAAGAGTTCTTAGTTGTTTTTTGTTTTTGTTTTTTGAGACAGTTTCGCTATCATTGCCCAGGCTGGAGTGCAATGGCATGATCTCAGCTCACCGCAACCTCCGCCTCCCAGGTTCAAGCGATTCTCCTGTCTCCTGGGTAGCTGGGATTACAGCACCACCACGCCCGGCTAATTTTTTCTATTTTTAGTAGAGACGGGGTTTCTCCATGTTGGTCAGGCTGGTCTTGAATTCCCAACCTCAGGTGATCCGCCAGCCTCGGCCTCCCAAAGTGCTGGCATTACAGGTGTGAGCCATGGCGCCTGGCCAAGGGTTCTTACTTTTAACATGATCCAATTAATCATTTTTCCCTTTATATGATTATGTTGTATTCTCTTAAAAACAAATCTTTGTCTACTCCAAAGCACAAAGATTTTTTTTCCCCCTAGAAGCTTTAACCTTTCAAATTTAGACTTGGAATCAATTTAGAATTTTGATGTATGTGTCATGTAAAAGTAAAAATACATTTTTCTATATGAATATCCAATTGACCCAGCAATATATACTGAAAAGATCCTTCTTTTCTCACTGCACTGCAGTGTCACCTCTGTGATCAATCAAGTGACCACTTATGTGCTTTTTATAGTAGTGACATGGTTTTAACTGATTATAATTTCCAGTAATGAATGGAAGACAAATGCTCAAAGTCTCAAAAAACAAAAAATGCTCAAAGCCTTAAGTCTACATAATTAAGTTACAGTTTACATGTATTCTAAGAGGGCAATGAAAACCCTATGAAAAACTTTAAAATATCCTGGTTAGGAATGAGAGGATAACAGGAAAGTTATTACTGCATATTCAATGGTGTGTTTAAGTTAGTAGGAAATTGGGTCCTTACTTTCCAAGTATGGGAGGCAAGATTTAAGACAAAAAAATATAAAGGAACTGTGTACAAAATCGTGTGGTGGAGACCAAGTACTATATAAATTAAGGAAAAGACCAGTGAGGGATGAAGAGCCAGGAAAGGTTTCATAGAGGAAGTGTGACTCAAATCCTTGAATTGATTTAGGCCTGATTAGGTCTCTCTTAATGCAAAATATTAGAGCCTTCATTCTTTTCTATAGCTCCTTAATACATTAAATAGATTAGCAAATCTTACTCTTATTTCCTTAGATGCCTCTAATCCACCAACTATTACTGAGTTTTAGGACCGACCAGAGGTTCTAACCCTGAATGCACACTGAAACACCTGGGAAACCCTTAAAAAGTACTTAGGTCCAAACCTCATCAGACTAATGATATCAATATGTGGGTGTGAGGCCAACTCATCAGTACTAAATGCCCTCAGGGGATCTAAATGTACAGTTAAAGTTGAGGACTTTGAATCAGTGGTTCTCAACCCCAGTGATAAAGTTGTCAGATAAAATTCAGAACACCTGGTTAAATTTGACTTCTGATAAGTATTTTGTCCCATAGGAGAAATATAGCAATAACGGAAGACATTTTTGTCATAACCATGGCTTGCTGTTGGTATCTAATAAGCAGAAACTAGGGAATGCTGCTAAACTTCCTACAATGTCTAGGAGAGCCCACACAACAAAGACTGGTTCAAGACGTCAATAGTGCAGAAGTGGATAAACCCTCCTTGTGACAACAGTCACAAGGAGAATATAGAGTTGGAACTAAAAAGAGAGTTTTGTTCAAATGTAAGGACTAGGTTGATATTACAAGTAACAGAAGCCCAAGAAAGACATGAAGGTTTTAAACTTGAAGCTAGAGAACTATTGTTTGAAGTCTAGCATTCTATAATTGAATTTTTAGATACATGTTTCAGTAAATTTTCAAAGAAACTAAAAGCACATAGCGTTCAATGTAATGAATTCCTAAGTTTATGAAGTGGCAGCATTATCAGTTAACCCAAAAGTTCTTTCACTTTAAATTCTGCAACTCTTTGATATTTTTAATCAGACACTTAATAGACTTCTTGATTATGACCATGAAGTGAATATAGAAAAGAAATATATATAACTAATGGACTCTTGGCCAAGTCCCAGTGCTGGGTCTTAACACTAGCTGTGTGACCTGATGCAAATGCTCCTGTTTCCCATTTTGTCTACCATAAAATGAGGAATGTGGATGACATGATCTGAAAGATCTCTTTCAGCATTTAATTTCTATGTGCTTGATAAATTTTCATCTATGTAACCAGCATCCAAGAACAAAAATTCCTAAGTTCTTGTGAAAACATAACTTTAACAAATAAACTTTTATTCAGTGACAGATCTAATAGTAATTTCAATGGCTCAGTCTTATTTTTTTAAAAGGTAGCAAATTTATGTTTAAGATATATAATTTTACAAATCCTTTCTTGTCCACAAGGTCCTGATCAAGTGAACAGTTACCTGAGGTGTTTTTTTCTGTGGTACATAATAGTCAACCACTTTATATTATTATCATTCAGTAAGAGTTCCTTGAGTTATATTTCTAAAACCTGAATCTTGCCATAATACTTCAGAAAAAAAAGTTTTTAATTAACAGTTACTGCTGATCATATTTGTTTCTGGAAATCCTGTTAAAAAGCAAGTTGATAAAGAGTCTCGTCACCATGTACCCTATCTCAGTACAACAGAATGCACAGACTTAGTCACCTATAGGGAATAAGTATCATTTTCGATCAGTAAGTGACACTTCCTAATTGTTAAAGCAAATGTTGAAATTTCAAGGGAACTTGCCTTAAAGAATGGTGCAAGGTAGGAAATGGCTGAATAAGCAAAATACACATTAGAAATAATGAGAGTGGTGCAAGGTACTTGACCAAATTCTGTATTGTGTAACGCTGTCCTCTGTACTGTGGGACGTTCAGCACTAACCCTGTCCTCTACCTACTAAGTTCTGTAGCACAACTCCCCCATGTCCCTCCAAATTATGAAAATAAAAAATGTCTCCAGACATTGCTAAATTTCCCTTGAGGGGCAAAGCTGCCCCAATTCAGAAGCAATGAGAAGGCAAAAACTAGGCAAACAAATTTGATACCATATACGATAACAGGAATTAATTTCACAATGTTGAGTAAAAGCAGCCAGACACTGAAGCGAACACATTATACAGTTTCATATATATATGTAAAATGTGTGTGTGTATATATACATGTGTATGTGTGTCTACGTATATATAAAGCGTCAAAACAGGCAAAACCAACCTATACTGTACAAGGAAACCTGGACAGTGGTTACTCACGGAAAGGGCAAGGGCTGGGGAGCATGTAGTACCTAGAAGGGAGCAGGATGAGTGTGTTTGAGTATTCTGTGTTTTGATCTGGGTGCTGGTTACACACATAAAAATTTATTGAGCACATATGATGTGCATATATATATATATATATACACTTCAATAAATGTTCTTCTAAATGCTGTGGCAATCACTACACTTCATCATTTCAAAATAAATGAAAACTTTCTAGTTCTAGATCGTAAGCAACACCTCTTATCAAATGACATGTTAACTAAGCTAGGGGTTTTAAAACAAGGTGTGATTAAAAAGTTATCTCCATGTAGTCCTTTTCAAAACAGGCATTTCATGCAAAGAAGAAAAAACAGAAAAAAATCTATTTCAATTCATTTTGTGGAAGTTACATTTACTCCTTAGATCTGCCTATTCCTATTTGCAAAAGCTTCAAAAATGAAAGATGAAGTTTATGATGCTGTAAAAACAAGCTCTGTCTCAAATGAGGCACCTCTGTAAAGTACTGCAGTTTCCACCTATTGCTAAAATTGAAAAATAAATTTGTCAGTTAAGGCATAGTTCTATTTGTCTGTCTCAACTCAGGAGTTAAGAGAGAATTACCTTTTTAGTAGGGATAAGGACAAGACTCATATGCGTTTAAAGATGTATTATCCTTCTTCTTCTTTTCCTGAACATAAATTATTTCAAAGTAATACTCAGACTGGTACCCCAACACTTAATAGACAATAAAGATAAAAGAAAATTTGAAAAAGTCTACAATGAATCCAAAATTCTCAATTGCATTAAAAAGAATTTTAAAAAGATTAATATAGAAACTTAAGAATCAATAATGGTATTTAAAAAATACTGTAATGAAAACACACATTATTGTAACCAAATGTGTGATTTATTTTGGGAAGAAAATAATTAAAACTGAGGCCTTTTTCCAATAAAGAGGAGAAATAACAATAGCAGATCATACCCTGGTTACAAGCTAATTACCACATCCTATACAATGTGGATGTGTTCAACGTGTATTCAATGATATGAATAAATGAACATTTGCAATTTTAAAATCCCAAATCACTTGCCAATGTTGTAAATTCATAAATGCTGAAATAAATACTTAGAAATAAATATATTTTAAAAACTTTAGTCTGACAGTGTTTATAGATCAACCCAAATATTACATACAAATAGTACAGCAAATGAATGGATATTTCTGCTAATTTCCACTTAATTTCTTCATAATATGGCTGTCTGGTGTTGCATTAGTGAAGATACTCCCTACAACTACATGGGTACCCCAGAGACTATGACGAATCACTTTACAGCATCCAAGGTCATCAACAGAGAATCCTAAATGTCGGTAGCGTTCATCAGTTTCAAAAAGAGTGTTGTTTGTATATGGTCCAAAAAACTGAGGAAATAAAAACGAAATATTCTCATTAGTAAGAAAGACATTTTAGTAATAATTTTTAGGTAAACATGAACACCTATCTACTTTAATACTCCAAATATTTAAAAAACTAAATAAGTAAAAAGTCACATGCAACACTTAAACCGCCTTAATATCCCTTTCCTCCAATTCCTATGCATTCTGGAAATCTGAAATGATCTAGCAAATTACATGTTACCTAGAATCAAATGCATAATATTGCATCCTTTGAAGATGGAATAAACCCTAGACAATTATTTACAGTTCACCATCATTTTCAAGACAAGGAAACTAAAGCCCAAGCAAAAGTTTTCCATTTCTCGATTATATCTTATTTGACTTTGAGAAGAAATGGTATATATTCCTATCTTAAGATTCAAAAAATGATTTAATTACTACTTGTTACAGAAAGATATATCCAGAATTTAAAATGTGACTACAGTGGTAGTTCAGTTATTTCTTCAAAGTATAACCTTATAAATGTTAATTTCCAAAAATTTACTGGTCTAAGTATTTATTTTTACCACCTGTATTTTACTCAATTAATTCTAAGAATAATTATTTCTTCCTTACAGAAACTAGACTGTACCAATTTATAATTTTCAACATATAAAATAAACACACTAATTCAATGCAAATCAAATATATAATATCTACTAGTGAGAGCAGAAAGTAAAAACATTTTTAATTAAAAAAATTAAAGTGATGGAGAAACTTAACTGTGAGTGATAGAGGTCTCTCAAAAGTTGAGAATTCAACTGACTCACAGTAGTATTTCTTTGGGTAAAATTGTGAGATTTTTAAAAAGTCTTAATCTATTACCAAAGTTATAAACACATTTTATAATAAAAATCATCTCTACTTCATATAATCTGATTTTCAAATGATAATTACTCACTGCCAAACCAGATGATGGGTCAATAAAGTCAGCCCAATAACCCTCAGCTCGAAGAGCATAGCAAATTTCCTTAGCACCATTGATGAACTGCAATGGAAGTCACAAATAATATGCTTAAGATAGCATTACTAGAGATTGTTTTATTTTTAAATAAAATTTTAAGTGACTATCTTGTTTCAGAAAAGAACTCAAGATTAATAAAAAAATAAAAACCAATGGCAAATTAGACTGTAAAGGCGTAAGATTCTTTTCACCATTCCAGAAGATTAATGGTTAACACAACACTTTATTTCAAAAAGACTAAATTCTGTACTTTTTCTTCTGAATTCTTTCTTTCTTTACGAACTACTTCTAATGAGTTCTGTACTACTAACTTCTGAATCTGTCATAAACTATCAACTATGGTTGCTATTTTGTATTACTATGGTGATAACAGAAATAGGTAAAATACTAAATAGGTATTTTAATAGAAATAGGTGAGGTCAGGAGATCGAGACTATACTGGCTAACACGGTGAAACTCCGTCTCTACTAAAAATACAAAAAATTAGCCGGGTGTGGTGGCGGGCGCCTGTAGTCCCAGCTACTCGGGAGGCTGAGGCAGGAGAATGGCGTGAACCCGGGAGGCAGAGCTTGCAGTGAGCCGAGATCGCGCCACTGCACTCCAGCCTGGGCGACAGAGCGAGACTCCATCTCAAAAAAAAAAGAAAAAAAAAAAGAAATAGGTAAAGGAAAATAAAATGCTCTTAGTGAAAACATCTGAAACATTCATTCGTTTAAATGAAAGTTGTTTAAAAACATTTACTTGTTTGTGTGTCCTTCAGTATACATCTATCTACTCACATAGTCATGAAATAATTCTGAAAAGACACATAAAAATAATATAACCTGGTAAATGATGTACAGAGTTAAACAAGGTACTTGCTTTTCATTATATACTCTTCTCTGTTTTTTGTATAGTGTACAATTACTACTACCATGTGCATATATAAAAATTTTGGTCTTACCATCCTAATTTATAAGATATTTTATTAGCTTTATCAGAAGTCTAAGTAGTGAAAAGACAGTAACAAATATTAAGACCAGATTACAATGTTGAAATAAAGAAGAGATCATGAATGTTTAAAAACAAGGGCACATAGCTACTCGGGAGGCTGAAGCAGAAGAATTGCTTGAACCCGGGAGGCAGAGATTGCAGTGAGCTGAGATCATGCCACAGCACTCCGGCCTGGGCGAGAGAGACTCCGTCTCCAAAAAAAAAAAATCAAGGGCACAGTTCCACTTCTGGCCATAACAGAGTTAACAGGTACTGAACTCACCATCCTGTTGTAAAACTATAAAACTGATCAAAATACACAAGTTAACTATTTTTGGACCCTGAACAACAGGTGAGACAAGACTATAATCTTTGAGAGAAGGGAAACAAATGAAGTAATCCCTATATCTGCTCTAGCTTTCTGTCTGTGGACATTTGCCTGTCACAGGGCAAAGAACTAGAGCCCAAGCAAAGTAATGGTGTCACTGGAGCTGAGGAGATAGAAAGCAAGAGTTCTAGACAGCTGAGGCACCTGGCAAGGTACTGGAAAAGGAGGAGATACATAAAATGGGCTCCTGAGTTAGTCTGCAGAACTATTCACCAGGGTTTCTTAGCTAAGGGCTGAGCTGTGCACTCATGAGGCAAGATTCCAAGAGGCCTAGAAATCCATGTGTCACGCAGTGCTGGGACACATGGATTTCCAACCCACCCAGAATGAAAAGACCTTACTGACCAACTCTGGTATTTCAGCTGAGATCTCCAGAAGTCCAAGCCTTACAAATCAAGACTATATTGTAATTCAGAGGTTAGTAAGCTACAGCCCAAGGGCCAAATCTGATCCGGTGCCTGTTTGGATAAACAGTTTTACTGGACACAGCCATGGCAATTCATTTACATATTGTCTACAGATGCTTTAACACAAGGGTAGAGCTGGGTAGCTGAGACCCTAGGGCCTATAAAAGCTAAAATATTTACTATTTGGCCCTTGTTAAACAAATTTTATGGGAGCTCCTTGTTTTGAACTAGCCTCCTGCACTAGGTCGCAGGAGATGAGACCAAACCACAATGGGGTCACTCATGCTAGGTACCGCCTAATCGAACTGAATTCTGAAACAGACTAGTTTTCAAACAAACAAACAAACAAACAACAAAAAACCCAGGAGATTCACAGCATCCAATCATAATGGGCCTAGTTTACCTGAGCCAGCATAAGAAAGCCACCTGTGTTTTAACCCTGTAAGGAAAGTAACTTTGAAAGGAACAATCTGCTTCTTGTTTCCTATTTCTGCTTTCTCCAGCCCTTTGCCGCCTATAAAGCCAACCTCCTCTGCTTAGCTGTTTGTAACACTCAAATCTATTTTACAGAATGAGGCGTTGCTTAATTCTAGAATTTGAAATAAAAATCAATTAGATCTTTAAATTTGTTATAATTTGTCTTTTAACACCCTTTATAGAAAAAGTTATTTGATCTAAGGTAACTTTTCTCTTAATACTTTCTTATAAACTAACAATAACCATTAAGATAATACTGTATTCTTTAGATTATCTTCCATATTTAATATTTATTGCTGTATTTTATTAATCCTCATAATTCTTAAAAATAGAAAACTACTGAATATGGCTTAGAAAATAGTCATTAGAATGTATTTCAATTTAATGAACAGATGTGTCATACATAAACACTACAAGGAGAGCAAAACAATGAAATGCGATCAAATGTTTACAAAGGTTAACTGAAAGAATCTCAAATTAAAACAAAAAAACCAGCTGAAGTATTTTTCTTAGGATTTCTGTTCACCAACACTGACATCTGCTGGAAAAAATTAGAACAGATTTAAACCATAAAATATCAAATATTTACTTGGAGAGCTAGGTGTGGTTCCAAAATAATCATGAAGAAATCTTTAAAAAAAAAAATCTTTTTTCACAGAAAATAAAATAGCTTCAGTCATTACAAAATTAAAACTCTCAAGATGAAGCACGTTGCCATTCAAACTGGTTATAGGAAACTTAGAACTATACTGGAGTCAGTATCAAATTAGGTTCAGAATCTTAAACTGACCAAAAATTAGAACCACTAATGCAATATACATGTGACAATATACTAGCACTTCAATGATAGTGATGAGTATATATTTACTAAGCATTATTTTAATATGTAAATAGAAAATATCCTATAACTCTCTATAACTCCCTTGTTAATTAGTATATAACTAATATGCTTGTGATTGTTAAAAACCACACGAAATCTATTAGCAGTTATGTGACATTTAAATGTGAAATTATAATATTGTTGAATATGTAAATTACAATATACTTTTACAAATAAAGACCATACATCTAATCCCAAATATAAAATACTTCCTAACATCCTACACAGGAATCACTAAAGGGATTTTTTAACTCAAGTTAGTGACTTGGGCCCCTTAGCTAACCTGAGTTGGAAAGAACTGCTAACACCCAGGGTAAGCTAGCATGACAGCTTATATACTAGAACAGTCTTTTTGATGGGCAAATTGGAAGTGTCTTATCAAAATTTAAAATGTAGATACACACTGATTCAGCAATTCTCTATTTAGGAATCTATAGATATTAGCATGCATAAAAGTATTTGTAAAAAGACTGTCACTGCTTGTTGCCTATAATAGCAAAAGTTGGATTTTAAACTTATAAATGACTAAGAAACTTCTTTTATAAGAGATGGTAGGTATCACTTTGTCGCTCAGGCTGAAGGGCAGTAGCACCATCAAGGCTCACTACAGCCTCGACCTCTCAGGCTCCAGTGATCCGCCACCTCAGCCTCCAGAGTAGCTGGGACTACAGGTGCGCACCACTAAACCTGGATAATTTTTTTTGTAGAGACAGGGTCTCACTACAGTGCCCAGGTTGGTCTCAAACTCCTGGATTCAAGCAATCCTCCAGCCTCAGCCTCCCAAAGTGTTAGAATTACAGGCGTGAGCCACTGCACCCAGTTAAAATTCTTAAATAAATTAAAAAGTTTATGGTTTACCCTGTGATATTAATACTATGCAGATTTTATAAAGAATGAAATATATCTATGTGTAAGCATGGAAACATGTCAAAGCATACTTTAGGTTAAAAGCAAACCACAGAAAAAAATGTGGGTATACATTATTACACTATTATTGTACTGCATACTGTTACTGTTTACTCTTGGAGAGAACTGGCATAATTTTCACTCTTTATTTTGACATGTTCTAAGCCCAGGAGAAAGGGGATAGATTTGGAGGGGAAGATGGGGAGATGAAGGGGGAGATGGAGAAGGAGAGGGAGGGGGAGGCTGAGGGGAGAAGGATAAAGAGTTAATTTTACCTTTTTGTCATTTACCAAATTTTCCAAAATAGACTTTTTAAAAATAAATTGAGGAAAGTAATAAACAGAATCTAAACTTTTAAGGATACTAAAAAGCTGCACTTTTACTCTCAAAAAAGATGTAAGTCCTTTAGTATTATAATACTTTGGCAGAAAATGAATAAAGGGTGGAAATGACAGTCATCATTTTAAGACATTGGTTCACTATTACTTAAATAATGACCATAAAATTAAATTATTAGCAATTGAAAGAATTACCTTTTCTAAGAGCACTTCTCTTTCAATTTCTACTTCTTCACTCCAAACAGTCATATCATTCTTAGTTTTTTGTGTTACAGTCAGAATCATTAGTTTGCCATTAGCTACTTCTGGAAACAGTGATTCAAAATCTACAAATAAGAATAAACATTCCAGGTAGAAAAGAATTTGATTTTTAAAGAACAAATTTTTAAAGAAGGATAAAAGTACTTCTTTAGAAAAATGCTGATTAAGTAAAATTACTGTGGTATTAGTTAATTTTTATAAATGTATGTTATTTTTGAAAAGGGTAAAATTCACTTAGTTTTGTTTACTTCTGCTTTTGTTGGATGAACTGAAATATTACTACCAACAATCCTGAAGGGTAAGTAGGATTACACGTTATTTGGGGTTAATATAATTTTCAAAAATGCTTACTGTTAAGATTTTTCCGTATTATATTAACTCATAAAATTATAACTCTAATAATCACCCAGGAGTAAAAATGACTTTAATTTAGCCTTAGGAAAAAAGTTATTAAAAATTTTACTCTTCCTATCTAATGGCAGCATGAGGTCAGATGTCACAGGACATTTCAAAGCCTTTATCTTGGCCATGCAATCATTTCCAGCCAGATACGGTAAAATATAATATTAAGGTATACAGCGTTCCAATTTCTATAGAGTACATTATTCAACATATTAAAAAAATTAGTAACAGTGTTTCAAAGTATAAAGCATGACATACCTTTTCGCAGCAATTCTGGACATGTCTGTATTGCACACTCTACTCTGGCACTTTCAAAGTAAGTTTCTGCACTGTTAATTTCTTGTTCAACAGGTGCATCATTACCCTAAGGGGAACAAGGATATAAGTCAACAAAATCTGGAGTTCAAATAAAACGGTATCTTGCCTGTTATAAACCTGTCTTCCTTAGAAAGCTTTTTGTTTGTTTTTACAAAAAATTATAATCTAACTGGGAGGTGAGGTAATAACATTTTCTCATTTACTCAAACTTTTCTCTACAATGAATATAAGATTTGGAAGTTCAAAAAATGTGAATACAGCAGAGCATGAATATATAAATATACTGATATTCTAAAACTTGGTATAAACAGAAATTGGCTAAGTAACTAAAATGCCATAATGTGTCTCATAATGTTACCTCTTCTATTTTATGGTAATATTTAATTATCTTTTCTTCTATAATCTGTAAAAGGGGGATAATGATACTAACTTACAAGATACATGACTAAATAATACAGCCTCTCCTACAGGAAGAGCTTAGAGGCTTTTATTCAACTGAAATTTACTGAGAGCCTACTATACATCAGGCACTATGACAGGAGCAGGCGCTGCAATGGTAAAAAATTCAGTCCTCACTCTCAGCTATTTCAGGCCTAATAAAAAAAAATAAGTACAAGCAAATAAATGCAATTAAATATGACAAGTGCTACAGAGTTATGAATAAAGTCTTCCAGGGGCATAGATGAGGAAGAAACTTACTTTGCTGGGAGGAATCAGGAAATGATTGAAATGGTGATATTTGAGCTACAAGTTAGTTGATGTGTTATGTCTGACAGGTAAAAAATAGCTGGTACAGAGGTTAGGAATTCAGGAGGAAAAATAGTCCAGCAAAAGATAATAAAGTACAAAGACACAGAATGTGTATTCAAGAAAAATGGCAAGTATGTTGTGGCTGGAGTGCAGAGGGAATAGGAAGTAGTGGCAGATAAGGTGGGAAAGGTAAGGGATCAAAATTATGAAATGCCATTTATTCAGCATTAAGAAATTTGGACTTTAGTCTACAGGCAATGAGAAACAGCAATATCAAATACAAAAATTAGCCAGGAATGGTGGCATATGCCTGTAATCCCTGCTCGTTGGGAGGCTGAGGCACGAGAATTGCTTGAATCCAGGAGGCAGAGGTTGCAGTGAGCCAAGATTTGCAGAGCAAAACTCTGTCTCAAAAAAAAAGAAAGAAAAAAAAATATTGTGGGCTAGAGATTATTACTATCCTCATGTGACATTTATAAAGAAACAGGAGTGGTCAGGCACACTGGCTCACGCCTGTAATCCCAGAACTTTGGGAGGCCAAGGCGGCCAGATCACAAGGTCAGGTGATCGAGACCATCCTAGCCAACATGGTGAAACCCCACCTCTACTAAAAATACAAAAATCAGCTGGGTGTGGTGGTGCACGCCTGTAATCTCAGCTACTCGGGAGGCTGAGGCAGGAGAATCACTTAAACTAGGGAGTTGCAGGTTGCAGTGAGCCAAGATCGCACCACTGCACTCTAGCCTGGTGACAGAGCAAGACTTCATCTCAAAACAAACAAACCAAACAACAACAACAACAACAAAGAAACAGGAGCTTAGAAAGGTTAAGTAATTTCCTCGAGGTCACAAAATTAAGTAAGTTGCAGAGTCAATCTTTGAACCCAGATTTATTCTATCTTCATTGTGTGTCATGCTACAATGACTCTAAAAATCCAGGTAAGACAAAGAGGCCTTGAACTCTGGCAAAGAATTGAAAGGACACTAATATTTTAGGAGCAACTTGAGAGATAAAAGCGATGTGATTTTTATATTATTTATAGTGATATGATGGAGAAAGAAGGTTGGTGCTATAAGTTTTATCTTACGAGAGAGGGGAGGATGGTTATTCCACTAATAGTATTGGTTATACAGGAGTTAGGACAGGTTTTTAAGGAAAAAAAGATTACTTCAGTATTAGACACACAAAATCTGGGGACTTGTGAGACATCCAAACAAAGATGGTTCAGTAGGCATATAGAAATATAGAACTGGAAATGTCAGAAATAGAAATACTGAATTAGAAATTATAAAAACATAGACTGTGGAGGCGGCCAAGGGATTAAGTGACCAAGGGGTGATTCAAATGAGAAGGTGTAGGACAGAAACTTATGGGAAATGTAATTTAGTTGGTAGACAGGAAGAACAAGGAGCCAAGAAGGCTGAGAAGGAATTATCTGAGATAAAAATATAGGACAGGTCAACTGTGTCTCAGTGTCATGTCATCTAACATAACTCAAATGTAAGGAATTGGTGCTGCTTATAATATGGCTTTGATAAAAAAAAACTCAGCCTAAAACTATGCAAAAATATGAAAAATGATAACCATCAGGGGTTTGACAGAAACCCTGAATTGCATGTAGCTTTCCACTTAAATAAATAATCATAAATGCAAGTTTAAAATGTTTAAAAATGAAAAAAAAAAACCCAAACAAACCTTAATAAATTGTTTAAGAAAAAATAAACTTATGAAACTGGTTCCTTTTTTTTTTTTTTACTATATCTGAACAATTTCAGAGATCTCAAATTTTTCTTAAGCTTTTAAATGGCTAGAGGAATACAGAACCAGTTGGAATTAGATCCATATACAAATTTAATTGCCATTTATTAAAAATGAAAAACAGGGAACCTAAATTTCCAGTCTACAGATGTAATTACATTATGTATATCTAGAGTAGTTACTTAAAAACATACTTTTCAAGAAATATTTTAAAAATATTATAATCTACAGTAAAAAAATTATATAGCAAACACTTTGTAGAGGACAATGCCAAGTTTTCCAAAGCTATATATGCTGTTTTTGTATATACATGTACTGGAATTAAATTGATTTTTTACTTTTTCAACAAAAGTAATATGCTTATAATAATCAAGTCATATAGCATTAATAATCAGGAAAGCACAATAAATGTTACCAACAATTTACCTGAAATTCATTCACATATTGTGCCATCACAAACTCATGTCTTTCACTTGATAAAGGTTCTGCTAGAACATCAGGCAAAGTTTTATGAACCAGGCTTTTCTTCTGTGAAGCAGTCCCATTGAGGTGACAATCAAAACCTATGTTCCCAGGAAGCTGGAACCTCTGATCTTGAGGTCCAAAGGGTCCCATAGTTTCATCAGGCCACACTGTTCGAGAGCCTGAAGAGAAACAACAAAAGGAACAGTTTCTCCTTAATAGTCAAGTATATTGGTAGACTGAAAGAATGCTCTTCTTAAAATTATGTATATTTTTATCTAAAAGATCTTCAAAATCTGCTTTCCCATGTGAATATAAATAGTTTCCTATTGTTTCCAAAACACTAATCAAAGCAACTGATTGACAGATCACAGGCAAGTCCGTTATTAGGGGAAAGACTGAATAAAATACTCTAATCCATACTAAGAAATGCTTGAATGTCATTAAAAAGAAGACAATAAACCTTTACATACTGACACTGAATGAAATCCAGGATACAATGCGTTAAAAGAAAAAGCTAAGTCAAAGAACAGCATGTATAATAACATTTATTTACATCCCCATATTCACGTATTGTTTTGTTTTTGAGACGGGTCTCTTGCAGTACAGTGGTGTGATCGCAGCTCACTGAAGCCTTGACCTCTGAGGTCCACCTCAGCCTCCCAAGTAGCTGGGATCACTGGTGCACACCACTATGCCCAGCTAATTTTGTTTATTTTTGGTAGACACAAGGTCTCCTCCTCCCTCAGCCTCCCAAAGTGCTGGGATTACAGTCATGAGCCACTGTGCCAGGCCCATGTTTTTAAGTAAAGAGAAGATCTAAAATGAAACTTAGTAATGGTCGTCTGGGGAGGGGCATTCTGCTGCTGTTATCTGGTGGCACAAAATACGAACGGGAAAAAAAATCATGCATCACATGACCTAATGCTCTGTTTACCAGCCACATGAGTTAATATGGATTGCAAATATAGAACAGACCACATTACTTTATTCACTTAAAACTTTAAAAAAAATCCTAACTTATAAAAAATTCAGAAAGATTCAGAAAAGAATAAAGTAGAAAATTAAACTAATAATTACTCAGAGTAGAGATCTGGGCTTAGAGAAACAGAGGGACAACTGCTATGCATATTACTTAGCAATAAAAATAGATATTTAAAAATATCCTGTCAGAGAACTAAGTAACTGAGAATGGCCATGTCAGCATGGCTGTCTCATTCCTGGATCATGAGCCACCATATCCCTCTTCCACACTTAGGACATACATCACCCATCAATCATGGAACCATTTCCTGCTGAACCCAGACAACGTCTCAAGATTCTCAACATAAACACTCTAGTCCAGTGCCCCTCAAACTCTAAAGATGTACTTAAGATACATCTGGGATCTAGTTTAAATGCAGATTCTGATTTAATAGGTCTGGAGTGGGGCTCAAGATTTTGTATTTCTAACAAGCTCCTAAATGATACTGATGCAGATCATGTTGAATAACAAGGCTCTATCTAGACAGCCACTAATGACTACTCAAGTCACTTCCCAAGAGAAAACCTGTTAGCTATTTTTGAACAAGATGGTTTTTAAAAGTCTAACAATCCCTAGATTCTCTTTACAGAAAACAAGCATCCCATATTAATAGTAGATTTGGGCAGTGGATTTGACCATATGTTTACTGGTCATTTTAGGTTTTGTTTTCTGTGAAAGGCCTATTCATGTCCTTTTGTTTTCTGATTTTCTGTTGGGTTATCTTTTCCTATTGATCTATTATAAATTCTTTATATATTCCAGATACTAACATCTTATATAATTTGAATGGCAAAATCTTTCATTTATTATAAATATATGGTTAGTCTTTAGGTGATGTAAATTGGGGAGTAGTCAGAGAGTTAGAAAACTTGGGCAGGATGGAAGGCTCTGAATGCTCAAGTGAACTTAAATTACGTTGTAAGTAATGTGTGCCATGAAAAAAGGATTCCATGTCCAATATCTTTAGGACACATTAGGTTAAGTTTCTAAGAGTCTTTAATATTTTAGTGTGCCTTATAAGCCTCCAAGGCAGGAATATGGCATGTAGCATTTCTCAAACTTACCTACCACAGAGACTATCCCCCTACCCCCACTTTTTCTTTTTAACCTTGAACAAAGCTTCATGGCTTGAAGGTAGTCTGGGAACTACTGCTGAAAGCAATGAAAGATAACAGGTTTTTCAAGAAAGGGACATGGTTAAAATAATTTAGAATGATTAGCATGGTAGTGGTGTACCAAACAGGTTAGAAGAAACAGACTTTGTAGAAAGCAGGTAAGTTCAATAAACACTAACACATAAAAAGTACAAGGTACATTTATGAAATCTAGCAAAGAATGGGAAGAAATAATAATATGGTTTAACAGGACCAAAAGGAGATTTGTTTCAGGGAAGACTCTATGTTTGAAGACAGAAAGAAAAGTTTAAGAAGTAAGCTTTAGAAACCAGTACTTACTCTTTTTTCAATACTGTAGCTTTCTGACATAAATATATTTAGGCAGAGCTGTGATTCATTTTCAACTGAACAAACACAACTTTAGAAAAATCCATTAAGCCTTAAGAAGAAATATTAGAGGAAAATACAACTAAAAATGTTTTGAAACAATTATAAGTAAAGCAGTAACAACTTTCACTTACATATATCTGGAGGTGCAGCAGCCACATGAGACTCATCCGAACCTGATGATCCTGCAGTCGAAAAGGCTTTGGGATTGACAACCCTTTTAACTAAAGAGCAAAATCCTGGGAGATAGGAAACCAGTCTGGCTCTGTTACAAAGCACCTAGAAATGACACAAAATTAAAACTATTTGTTCTGAATATAAATGTTATACTTACATAGACAATCTCTGGCAAATCTTCACACTGCAAGGTTCTTTTAAAACCAACATTTATTCTACTTTTACTGAACACCTACTATATGAAAGCATTATATATATTTGTAATTTTAAAAATAAAAATAAAAATTAAAAAAACAAGTAATAAGTTAGTTTGGGTAAAAGCCTATGTACTTTTCAATAAAGGCTAGAATTCAAGAGTGCCACACATGAGAGAATAGACATCTAAAAGTTGTCTTATTTAGACACAACACTAAAAAGGTAGCACAACTAACAAGATTCTTCTATCCTCAATAAAGAACTCTCAAGACATCTCTTTGGACCAAAATCTGTTACTTTCGAACTTTTCTCTCTTCTTTTACTGCTATAAATTGCGCTAATTCTCTCCCATACTGTCCTTTCATTGTGGTTTCATGGCAATGTCTGCTTTTCTCCATTTCAGCACGTATCTTTGTGGTATATTTTTTTCTGCTTATATGTTCACTTACTAGACAGTGAGGTCATGTATTACAATGGATGAATGTGTAAATATCTTTCATTCATAAATTTTTTAACAATCTTTCATTCATAAATTTTTTAACAAAGTACTTGGGTCAGAACAATTTAATGCAGGGATTGGCGAACGATTTCCCAATACAGCCCACTGTTTTGGTAAATAAAGTTTTACTGTAACATAGACATACTAATTTATGTACTGCCTATGGTCACTTTCCCACGACAATGGCAGAGTTAAGTAGTTACAAGAGATATTCTGTGGCCCACAAAGCCTAAAATATGCACTATCCGGATATTTGTATTAAAAACACACATACACACAGACATTGGCAACTCTCAGTTTAGTGAAAAAGATGTAAAAACAAATATCAAATCATCTGTGAAATGCTATGAAAAGATCTGAATAATTGTTAAGAAATCCTTGGGAGAAAAGGTAATAAATTTCATGGAGGATATACTAAATTTTGAATACAGTAAAAATTTGCTTGGGAAAAGGTGCATTTCAATGAGTGACTTTCAGGAACAAAGGAATAAAGACATATTTCAAAGAGTGACAAATTCAGTGAGGGTAGGTATAAGAATGCAATTAAAAAAAGGTTTGAAATTGAACTTATGGGCAACTATAAAAGACTGTATATTTGACACAGATGGTAAAGGGCTTGTTACATCAAGATAGTAAGTCGGAATTTTAATTTGTAGGCAGGAAAGAGTCAGAGCAAACTGACAAAAACAAAGGCTGTTTTAAGAAATGTACCACTAAGGGCAGTATAAAAAATGGACTGGAGGAGGAGTAGAGAGGTGGTGTGAAAATCAGTTACCAGGATGTTGGAAAAATCCAGCCATCTGACACCTGAGAATTATTCTATTTCCTTTTCACAAAGTACAGTATTCTAATATCCAACCTATTTTTTCCTTCCTCCTTTGTCACTATGAGTGCATCTTAACTGGTCTTTTTGCCTTTCTGACATAATTTCCTACAAATTTACCCTCCCTTCCCTTACTCTACTTTTCAATTACATAAAAATATCTCCCCAACATTTCCCATTTCTCTTCATTCTTTATACTGCCATAAGAATTCTTCTGCTAAAAGATACTGTTTCCTTATCGTTCTAGAAAATTCTAGCAAATTCTTACTTTTTCTTTAAGACCTGGATAAATATAACCTCCTTTGTGATACGTGTCTCCAAAGCATTCTGTCAACCTGAAAATTTAGGCTGCCTCTCTTGGGGTCTGTACCCAACTTGCCCAAAGAAACAAAAATGGTAATTATTTGGCTTTTTACTTACTAAACAAACTCAGACTTTTGGGTGTTTATATAATACAAATTTACCTTTACAACTAAGGATATTTAAGAGAATGCCTCAGGATCTAAAGGAATCTAAAATTTCAAATTCCAAAAATATTTTCAGCAAGGGCTCAAAATAAGCAGCAGCAAAATAAAAGATTATCTGAAGGGGCCAATATTTGAGAGCATGTAATAGTAATAATCAATGTTGGACACTATGGGTCCAAGTTCTATAGTAAGTGCTGTACATATACATTGTTTTATTTAATTTTCATAACAATTCTATATACTGTTATTAGAACTAGTTTCAGCATGGTTAAACTACAATCTGCGATCATTCACATCGTTTCACAAGCAAAAAACAGAAGGAGGAGGAAGATCATCCAAATTATTTCAAAAATCGCCTATTATTTATTATTTTAGCCTGTCTATCAAGGCCATTAGATTATATTTTGACATTCTTTTCTTGGTGATAGAACTTTTAACAAAAGTTATATAATAAAATATGAGTTTTGTTCCTAGCCTAAGAAAATCCAATTACCAAATTTCATTTTAATAGCAAAATAAACCAGTATCTAAATTGCCCACTGAAAGCGACAGTTGATGATAGTACTAATCTGTTTCAAACCTTACCCGTTAACCTGTGAGATTCTCAAATCTTGGCTGGGTGCAGTGGCTCATGCCTGTAATCCCAGCACTTAGGGAGGCGAAGGTGGGTGGATTACCTGAGGTCTAGCCTGGCCAACATGGTGAAACCCCGTTTCTACTAAAAATACAAAAAAAGCCAATTAGCCGGGCATCGTGGCAAGTGCCTATAATCCCAGCTACTTAGGAGGCTGAGGCAGGAGAATTACTTGAACCCAGGAGCCAGGATTTCAGTGAGCAGAGATCCCGCCATTGCACTCCGGCCTGGGAAACAAGAGTGAAACTCCGTCTCAAAAAAAAAAAAAAGAAAAAAGAAAAAAAAGAAGAAAAACAAATCTGTAATTGTAATTGTGGAAGTGGAATATTTTCTGACAACTTGACAGATTTTATGACTGGTTCAGCTGGTGAACATAATTAAAAATAATAGCCAAAAAGCAAGTCAAAATTACAGCAGAGAGTTCATTCTAGTTTGAGGAAAAGCATTTATTTTATATATGATTAAATTCAAACTTCTAGACTTGGGAAGATGACATGCTATTATGTTTTAACTGTAAAATCCTTATTAGTATATAAAGAGAAAGTGCCTTTTGTGCACTGCCTTAGGACTAAGTTCTGCTTTTGATCATGTGAGGAAAAAATATGGTCTGTACAAAAACTAAAAACTGGTAGTTTATGTAGTGCATCCACATCTATCCAGACATTTTTGTGCATCCCACAGTGTTGCAAGATATTTGAATTAAATACAAACATTGAGAAATCGCAATATTTACACAAAAGGTCCAGAAATTTGGCTCTTCTTGAAAACTCAGAAGATCTGGCAGTATTGGATTCACATAACCAAATGGCATTAGTTAGCAACAAATCACTGTAGCTAAGGAAAGGTTGCTCCCCTTTGTTCAGAAAGGCTTTGTCACAGTCCCCATGAAGGCTTCTTAATGTACCTGTCTAGACTCTGAAACATGAACATTCTTGCCCCTTGTTATGAAACACTATCTGCATATTTCATTAGTAACATCCATCCACAATTTACAATCCATATAAATTAACACAAAAATTGTTATCGTACATTTGGATACTGAAACTTAAATTTATTTTAATATGAACTTCTTTCTAACAAAAGACTTATAAAAGGATCTTCCCTACTGAACTATTATAATTTATTCATTTAAACCAAAATAAAACCAGGTCAAATAATAGCATTCTATTCTACTTCAATTAATTTCTCTCCTTTGAAAGTACCACATACTTCTTTTACAGCATTCTCTTTCTGTGCAGGTTATGGGCAGGCAAAAATTCACCATAGAACTTGGCCAAGACTAGTAATCTATTCTTATGACTTGTCTCTATAGTCACACTTTAGACTTAATATACCATGTTCAATTACAGAAATAGCATCCTGGCTAAATGCTGCCATATAAATCTTCCTAGCACACAGCTCTAAGTGAATAATCACAATTTAAAGAATGAAGTCTAAATTACTGAGTTCGGCATTCAAGGCTCTCATTTACTTGGTACCAACCTCACAATTCAACCTTATCTCCCACTTATCTCTTTCATGCAGCTTACATTCAGGTTGGCAGGCAGCAGTCACTTTTCAGTTTTTCAAAGGGGTAGGCGGGTTGGGGAGTTCTTTGAATATACCTTCCTGTCCTTCCCGCTCATATTTTAGACTATACAAATCCCACCTATCTTTCAAACCTCAAGTTAAATGTTTCCCTCATGAAGTGATCCCAAACTCCTCTCCACAAAGACTTGAATCTGCATTGCACCTTCGTGTAGGTTCTAAAAAAAATTATTACTTTATACTTTAATTGTAGCTGTTTTTATATATGTCTTATGACCGCTACATATGAATTCTATAGATAGGATGTGTCTAATCACTGCAAAGTTACAGTCAATAAATATCTCTGGTGTGTGAGAGTATCTCCTATTCTTATTTTGTAGGATTTAGAAGGTCACTTCCAATATGGAAACTGTTTTAAAAAAAAGAAAAAAAGATTAAAAAAACCCTTCAGTTTAGCTAACCCAAAAGCTAAAAAAGGGCCTAAACATAGATTCTAATATTTACTGAAACGCTGTATTTAAAAAATACCGAAAGGGTGCTTGAATTTCCACATCTGTACAAATGAAATTGTATAAATAAGTGTATTTGCAGTGCAAAGAATGCTACCATCTTCAAAGCATAACATAATTTCACACCACTTGCTTCCCTTGACATTTTTGATACATTATATCTAACACTATACCACCCAATGCCATCATAATTAAACCCGTTCTTTCATTCCTAACATTCCCAAACGAGTTTACTATGCTGATTCTTAAGAGATAATTTACTCACATTGGCCATCTCCGCTGGAGAAGATAGTTCGCAAAATAGCTTTCCTTTGGTAAAGTTATTTCTGGGAAAGAACACAACAAAACAGACGAGTGATCGATTAAACTCTAACAACAGACAACTGAGGTAACGTCCACTCTTCGAAGGTGTGTCGTCCACCACGTCAGGACCAAAGTCCAAGCTCTCCCCGTACCCTAAGGAGGCCAGAACTCGCCCCCATGCCAGGCACAGATCCCCCAGCCCGGAGCCGGCAGTGCAGCTCAGAGCCCTTCCGGTTTACAGCCGCGGAAAAACAACTCGGACCAGATCCGGGAGGGGAATGGGGGCTGGGTGGCCAAAATTCAGTCCAGAGGATCGAAGCGGCTGCTTTAACAGAAGTTGGGGCTGCGTAACAACAGCTCCAAGCAAAGCTTCAGGCTGATCGGAAAGATGAGGAAGCAGAAAAGAGACTAAAGACAGACGGACAGGATGGCTGGGGACAACGACAGGGACCCAGTGAAAATACGGGCAATACCGAGGGCTGTAACCCTAACACGGGCAAATTTGGAGGGGCTAACATGGGCGGAAACCATCCGTACCAGTCACCACCACTGTCTCCAGCTGTCCCAGAACCGGACTCTTCCTGCCATCAAAATGGCGGCGGCGACGGCAGCGGTGGTAGCACCTACGCTGGCGGTGAGCAGGCAAAGGAAGTTGCTTCCGAGCGCGTCGAAACGATGATGCGCACGCGCAAAGTAGGCCTACGTGGAGCCGACCTGCCATTGGGTAAACGCAAGGGAGGAGAAAAGGTGGGGCAGGGGTGATTTGGGTGGATGGATAGGAGGGCTTCCGACCTGCGTTAGGCGGGTCAGTTAATCTTCAGTAACTCCTTGATGCGTTTGATAGTCCTCCCAACTTAAGCCTTCCTTACTGCCTCCAGGAGATACAGTCTTCTGTTCTTTTTGTCATAGTTGTTTATTTTTCATGAATCGCTGTTTTTGAGCATAGGGCACTTACCTCTTTCTGTGTCCCCAGCCCTACCACAGTGCCAGGCTCTCAATATGCTCGATAAATATTAGGCGATTGATTTGTAAATCGTGTATCATTTTCATGTATCTAATACTTTTTTAAAAATTGATTAAAGCCCATAAGCCCATATTTTATTCCAGATGTCCTTAGTTTTCGACCTGGTATTCTTTTCCATTCCAGGATCCTGTCCGGAGTACATCACCATGTCTTCCAGGCTCCTCTGGACCGTGACCGTTTCTCAAACTTTCCTTGTTTTTGATAACCTTAATAGTTTTGAAGCGACTTATTGGTCATTTGGTCAAATGTCCTTCAATTGGGTTTTGCCTGTATTTTTCTCATGCATTAACTGAGGTTATGGGTTTTTCTTGAGTTAAGAGGTAAGGTAAAGTGATCTTCTCATCACATCACATCAAGGGTATATACTATCAACATGACTTATTACTGTTGATGCTAACCTTTATCACCATTATTACAGTGTCATACAGAAAAGTTTTATAGTTCTACAAAGATCCCCTTTGTTTCATCTAGTAAGCCCTTCCACCTCCCTATGTAGGGTTTGTCAGGTTTCTCCACTGTGAAGTTACTGTTTTTCTTTTCCTCTCCATACTATACTATTTGGAAGGACATCTCTCTGTGCAGCCCAAACTATAGGAATGGGAAATTGTTATACTCCACCTTTATGAGGACAGAATATCTTCATGAATTATTTGGAATTCTTCTGCATGGGAGATTTGTCTGTACTGCATTTATTTATGTATTCAATCATTTATGTCAGTATGGACTCATGGATATTTATTTTACATTTTGGGTTATAATCCAATACTACTTTATTTTGTTGTTCATATTGGTTCCAGCTTTGGCTATTGAGATTTCCTTTAGTTGGCATTTGTGTCTTTTTGACAAACCCTCCTCGTTTTATGTTTATTGATTTTTTTTCTTGAGCATTTTCTTAATTTCTATAAGTTGCTCCAGGCTCATCTTGTATATTCCCTGCCCCAATCCTAGAATCAGCTGCTTCCCCAAAAAGCCAAGGGTACTTTTAATGGAAAATGATATTAGAAATCAAGATTTGGACATTTGGGATGTTGTTGCTTCTAGACACTCTCAGCTGACAGAGCAAGGAAATATTTGTGGATATGCTAACCTGACTAAATACGCATATCTGTAAGTATTTATATATGTATCCATCTGTATCTTTGACAGCTACACAGGCGTTCTAGGTTCAAATACTAGAGCTGTTATCTTCAGTTCAATTCCAGCACCATATGGATCATTGCAGCCTTCTCCCCTTGCTTGTCTGTAGCCTTCCACTCCAGTGTGAGACACCTGGCTCTCATCATCTGCCATCCATTTACCTAATTGTTCAATTCCAGGTTACGTGTATAATGGATTCAGAACCGTCAACCCGTATTCAGAGTACATGTATAGTTGTTTCTGAACTGTTATCAGGTATACCTGTGAGAAACAGATTTACCAATTAGAGTACAATGCTTATGTATAGTTCTTTTGCTTTTAATCTTATAGATTCCACTTATTTTCAAAGTTACTGAAGTCAGCAGCCCTCCCTCCTACCTCTACCCGGCCTCAGTGAAGTTATTTTATATGCTCGTAATACAGTTGTAATCTTTTGCCACAATCTGCATTACTCCTGGGATTCTTTGAGTTCCTAAGATTTTTTAAAAAATCTTCCTCCGTTTAGGTTCTGTTTGTGCAATCCTCATAATGCACATTTATTTTTTTCTTTTCCTGTACATAATAGCAGACAGCTGGTCAGTAGTGGGATAGAAGTAAAAATTTTTTTAACTTCAAATTTTCTTTCTATGGGGTTTGACAAATCCATACATAGTGTCATGGATCCACCATTATTAGAGTGTCATACAGAAAAGTTGTAGTTCTAAAAAGATCCCCTTTGTTTCATCTAGTATTAAACCCTCCCACCTTCCTATACCTCTAGCAACCACTGATGTGTTTACCATCTCTATAATTTTGACTTTTCCAGAATGACATAGAAATGGAATAATACAGCATGTAGCATTTTCAGACTCATTTTCTTCACATAGTAATAGCTGCATTTAAGATTCATCCATGTTTTTGTGTGGCATAACAGTTCATTCCTGTCTTTTTATGGATTCTTTTTTAAGACAGGGTCTGATAGCTCTGTTGCCCAGGCTGCAGTCCAGTGGCACGATCATAGCTCACTGTAACCTCAAATTCCTGGGCTCAAGCAATCCTCCTGCCTCAGCTTCCCACGTAGCTGGGACTACAGGTGCACACCATCATGCTTCACTAATTGTAAAAACTTTTTTGTAGAGAAGGGGGCCTCAAACTTCTGGCCTCAAGGGATCCTCCCACGTCAGCTCACAAAGCATTAGTATTACAGGTATGAGCCTCCAGGCCTGGTCTTTATTTCTGTCTTTTTGATCCCTGAATAGTATTCTAATGTATAGATGTACCACCATTTATACTTATTAAAGAACATTGTGATTCTTCCAGTTTTTGACAATTGTGAATAAAGCTGGTATTAAGTATTTAAGTGCAGGTTTTTCTGTGAACATGTTTCAAGTCAGTTGAGTAAATATCTAGAAGCACAATTGCTGGCAATTGTATTTTTATAAGATATGTGAAAATAGTTCTGCTAGGTTATTTGAGCATCTTCCCCACAATCATATATATAGTTAATTTAAGAAATGCTCTTCTATGTTGATAACATAGAGCAAACTTCATTCCACTCCTGTCTGATTACTACAAATTGGTAATGTCCAAATTAGTAGGCTTTATGAATCACAGGCTGACACTCCTGCAGCTGTTCAAATCAATGAATACTCAATCGCAGATAAAGGAGAGTATCTTGGAATGTCTTTGTTAAGGATATCCAGGGAAGAAATTCTAGGACTTTCCTTGGAAACCATCTGATATCTCAAAAAACCTTAACCTTAGGAAATTATCCCTGCCCCAGAATTCTCATGTTGTACATTTATTTCCTCTTTTCCTATACATAGTAGGAGACAGCTGGTCAGTAGTGGGATGGAAGTCAAAAATTTTGACTTCAAATTGTGTTTTTCTTTAATAGATGCTTTTTTATGCTGGGAATTTGTTGCTCCAAAAGTGGGCCAATTACTAAAGTCATCAGACTCTCTTTCAATTTCTGAGATGTGAAATTGAAAGAGAGCTGCATATTTTCTTACAGAAAATGCTAGATATAAGGCACAACCAAGGAAGGGGTGGGAGCTCTCTTTCTCTGTTGTGACTTCGTGATTCCTAGTTAAAGTCTGTGGGTGTCAAGTTGTTTAGTGATGAAGAGAGCAGAAAAGTGCCAAAGAAGCTGGTGATTTGAGACCTTTACTTTGCAAACATTAGTGATAGGAAACTAGAGTTGAGGAGAAATTCTAAATTTGAAGAGAGAATTCTAGATTATCCTTCCAAACTAAGTATGTCCAGGAGTTACCAGCCTGAAGACCTCTACCACCACTACTGATGCTGTTCTATAAAGGCAGAATGTTGTATGTAATGGTACAGGTATAGACTAACACCATATGGCCCTGATTGGATTCTTGAATCTGACATTTCTAGCTAAGTCATTGTCTTAGTCTATTTTATATTGTTATAAAATAACAACATAATCCCACAGACTGACTAATTTATAAAGAAATTTATTTAGGTCATGGTTATGGAGCTGGAAGTCCAAGAGTATATGCTAGAATCTTCTGAGGGCCCGTGTGCTTCATCATCTTGTGGCCAGAAGAAATGTAGGGGGTTGAGAACATTTCAGGCAAAGGAAGCAAAATGAATAGAGGAATAGAATCCAAAAGACTGTGGGCAGTTTGAGAGATCCACAGCTAGTTCAAGGAACTGAGTTGGAGGTAGATGGGGATCAGATCATAATTGATCTTCAGTGCAATACTAAGGCGGATGTAATCCTGGAAGCAATGAAAAGTAAGTGGGCAGATTTAAGCAGTCATGCCATTATCAGATTTGTGTCTTGGGAAGATCTTCTGGCTACAGCACAGAGAATAGATTGGAAGGGTGTTGGGCAGCAATTGGATCAAGCAGTTAGGAGACTCTTGTAGTATCCATGAGGAAGAACACAAAGAGCCTGAACTAAGGGAAGGGGAGCGTTAAGGAATCAACATGACATAGCTATCCATGGGTTGCTGATGAGGAAAAGAGGACAAGTTGAATCTTCAACTTCTAAATTTTTGATTCAGGATATTTGGCGAATGGGGTTCCTTTTACTGAGATTGGGAATCCAGTAAAAAGTGGATATTTGTATAATATATCCTACGTGGCAGGCACTTGGATAGGCATTTTTTCAATATCTATTTTAATCCTCAATAATGCAGAAAATTGAGGTATTATTATCTTCATATCATAAATGAAAAAATGAAAGCAAAAAGAGGAAATATATTACTGAAGCTTCTGGGGCTGGATTTAAATCTGAATCTGTTTGGTTTAAAACTAGTATTCCCTTTTTCATAGGATACTTCCTCCCAAGAGGAAAGCAAATTTAAGGAGAATGATAATATGCTTAGTTTGAATTTTGAATTTTAATTTAAGATGCCTGAGAGCATTCATGTGGGTTTTTGTCCAAGAAGTCATTTGAAAGGTCTATTGCTCAAGAAAGTGGCTTGTCTGAGAGATCAAGATTTGAGATTTTTTTTTTTTTGACAGAGTCTTGCTCTGACACCCAGGCTGGAGTGCACTGAGTGATCTCTGCTCACTGCAACATCTGCCTCCCAGGTTCAAGTGATTCTTCTGCCTCAACTTCCTGATTATCTGGGATTACAGGCATGCGCCACCATGCTGGGGCTAATTTTTGTATCTTTAGTAGAGACCGGTTTCACCATGTTGGCCAAGCTGGTCTCAAACTCCTGACTTCAAGTGATCTGCCAACCTTGGCCTCCCAAAGTGCTGAGATTACAGGTGTGAGCCACCATGCCCAGCCAAAATTTGAGAGTTTTTAACAAAGAGTTAAAGCCATTGGAACCCCTTGGACTGGAGTACAATGATGGGCTTTGCAGAGAGTGAAGAAGATTTGTGAAATTCCTGAAAATGCATGTAAATTCCTGAATAATTATAAGTAGGTTCTGTTTCCCCTTCAAGGGAGCTGAGCTTCTTTAGGTCTTTGAAGGAGTCTGTGCCTCTGAAAAGATCAAGGGCCACTAGTGGAGAGTATAAAAGAAAAAGGGCAAAAGTCAGAGCTCTAGGAAGTATCAATTAAAGGAGTAACCGAAGAAGAAAACTGGCAACAGAGACTGAAAAACTTTAGTCAGTGGGTAGACAAAAATCAGGAGAAAGACATATTTTAAACATCATGAAGATAATTGCTCAAGATTATTAGATGCTACGCAATGGTCTTATTAAGGACCAAAAAGAGATCATCATATTTGATAGGCCAATGGTGACTTTGCTGGAGGAATTTCAGTGGAACAGTAAGAGATGAAATTTTGATTACTGTGGTATTCAAAGGATGAAACATAAACCTCTTGAGGACAGAGATTTTTTTGTCTGTTCACTGTCTTAGGACTTCACTATATTCCTGCTACAGAGAGGTAATCAATAAATATTGTTGAAAGTTGAACAGATGAAGAAGTGGTGGCAGTGACCATTAATAACAGCTTTTCTTTGTTGTTCTATTTTCAGGCTCCATACCTACCTAACATCTATCTTCTCAAGAACTCTGCCAGGGAAGGAGTAGTTTCTGTGTTTCATAAACAGACTGAGACTCAAAGAGGCTAAGTAAACTACCTGAAGCCATATATAGCAACACACAATGACGGATGTGAGATTCAAACTTGGATTTATCTGGCTCCAAAATTTCTAGTTTTTTTTTTTTTTTTTTTCCCACTACAGCAAAACTAAGGAGAAGAGACAGAGGTGAATAGCTGTCTCTCAGTGGTTATTCTGTTTTCCCTTATCTACATGTTTTCCTCCTTTCACTCTCTCTTGGTTTGTTCTTATCCTTCAGAGGTAAAGAGGAGCCTTCAGAGAGCTATAAAGGTTGATCAAAGTACCAGATTATGAGATTATTTGGAGGCTAATATGTAATCCTTGGGGTTTCCTTTCTCATCTCACCCTTACAGCTGCCTGTATTAATGCTTTCTGATTAACATATGGTCTCCTTTTTATTCTAGAAAACACTAGATCTGAATAACAAAGGATGCATACTTAAGCAAACTAAGGCATATATAGTTATCACTAAATGCTCAACCTGGAAAGAATACTGGATTGCAGTCTGCTTTTTCTGTAAAGACAATAGTATTATAAAACCGAAAGAGACAACAGGGAATATTTCCCACTCAACTAAGCATATCTAAAAGCACATTTGAAGTTTGGAGACAATATTCTGTGTTATTTTAAGAAAAGATTCTATAGCATTATTACCTGGTGGTAAGAAAATAACATGTAAAAGAAAAGGTAATAAGAATAAAAAAAATAAGTAAAAGTATGTGAACATGCTAGACCTGGTTATACAACTCAACTGTTGAGAATGCATTTTTGAAGTTGCCTGCATGGTTGCTGCAAGCGTTCTTCAGTATTTAGTATATGAAGACAGGCATATGCTCTGGCCATTTCCAGAAAAGCCAAGGCTATCCTGTATATTCTAGCCATCTGTTGTTAGGTGAAATGCGTGAATGGCATAGAGAAATGTTATGGAGAGTGAATGTTACATGCCTCTGAGATACAATAGAAAAGAAGCCCTTGATTTAATATTTTGGTTCTTAGTTTGACTGTGATTTATAGGGAGTGATATTGCCCTGGGCCTTTCTGTCTCCTTTGTATCAGGAAATGATTTGGTTTAGAGAAAAGCAGGCAAAGGTTTTAGTGGGACTCCCACCAGGATAATGGCCTTCTTTGTTCCTAGCTACTTCTTGAGGTGACTATGGCTATCCTTTAGGCCCCAAGCATGTGGACAGAGTCGAGAACAGGGTTAAGGAGAAGATTTAAGCAAAATCTCTTTAGTCACTGAGCAAGAAGCACCTATAAGTTGCATTTTGTAAACTCAGAGGATTTGGTCTGTGGTGATCTAGCTACATAAGAACTGGAAATGCCTAGGTTTAAAATCGGGGTATAAAGCAACCCAGAGCTTGTTAGATATGCAAGATCTCTGGCCCTATCCCCAAACTACTGTCCCAGAATATGTATTTTAACAAGGTTGCTAGTGACTCATATGCTCAATAATGTTTGAAAAGCCCTGCCCCAGACTCTTGAATAGGATTGGCCAGGAGGTGGGAAAAGGGATGGTAGCAGTGGTGCTTGCAATGTACATAGCCCCAGATATATAGAATCAGAATCTGTAAGAGTGGAGACTTAGGAATCTATGTTTTAACAAGCTCCTCAGGGAATTTTTATAAACACTGCAATTTGAAGATCACAGGTAAGAAATAAAAACAGTTCAGGGGAGAAGTGCAATATACACTATGAACACCAGCTGTCAGTACTCTACAATTTAAAAATGACCTTGATGGTTAATAGTGAAAAGAATTATTACAAGAACATTTTCTAAATTTGAAATGTAAAGATCTAGGGAACATGAGCTCTAAGTTAAACAGATTTGAATTATCCTGTGATTTTATCAAAGATCTCTAGACATATAAATAGTTTACAGAGAGTAGTGGTTGGAGATTTAGAGATTTTGGGTACATGTGAGTAAGTCCATGTCAGAATAATGTCTTACTATACTTGGGAAAATAAAGTGAATGCTTTTGTGGTTTTAAAACCAAACTGGACTCTACAGTTTGAAAGTATGTAAGGCAGGTCAATGACTCTTTCTAAGAATATCTTTTCATTTTCTTGGCATTATGTCCTGATGTTACTGGGTTTTTCAGGTACTTAATTTTCATGTGTAGCTCAGGGATTAAAAGTCTTGTGCAGTATTCAAAGGAACTTTTTCTGTATTTGTAGACACTGCACCATACTGGGAGACTTGGATTCGAATTCTGTCTTTTCCTTATAGCCTCGTGCAGATTACAATGACAATTCCTTAACATCTCTGAGTCTTTTAGTGTGCATAAAAATACCCACATAAGGGTTGTCAAGAGGAGGATCCAGATAATATAATAAATATGAAATGCTCTACCAATTATGAAGCATTAAATAAATGCAAGGTAGTACTTGAATGCTTATGGCATTGGGCTTTCACTTTTATATTTGATCTTTGGAACCCCACTATAGCACCCATTTCCATAAAAATGACTCAGGTTTCACTAGGAGCCTAGTTACTTTTCCTAGTTAGGTATTTTTTTTTTCCCCACCCCAAATAGCGTTGCCTGATAAAATACTGGACAGCCAGGTAAGTTTGATATAAAGTTTGATTTCATGTAAACAATGATTTCTTTTTAATTCTTCAGCTAAGACAGCGGAAGAGATGATTTATTGTATGGTTGTTACACTCGGCCACAAGTAAACACATAAATAGTCCAGAATGTCACAGGTCTAGGGCAAAGGACCAAAATGGGCAGTTTTGGTTATGAGCAACATGGGTCTTAGAGGTGATTGGCGATCAGAGGGCGATGAAGTTCTAGATCATGAGATAAGCTCTGGACAGTAGCATGCAGTCCTACAACTTGTACCAGCATCTCCAGCGTCTAGCATTCCATGTTTCTGCTCCTGTGGCCTCCATGGTACAAGAAGCTAGTGGTTTACTTGGACATCTGACTCATCTTTCTTCTTTTGCGCTTCAACCTGTGCATTCGCTTCTTCCTCCACTTGGCTCTTATGGCACAGAGGTTTTCAAGAAAATGGTGCTAAGGCCGAGATGACAATGAATAATTTTTTAGTATGACTATGTCCCATGTATTGCACAGCAAACTGGAAAATCTAACTCCAAGACCAAATGCTATCTACATTCATGCATCTTCTACTCACCAATCTCATCTAATTGCTTACATCTTCTATTTTGCCTGTATGGAAAAAGTCTGACTCAAAGACAGTAATGTAGATCTAAAAATGGTCTTGAGAGAAATTATTGCTATCTGAAAGCTCACGTCTTCAAAAATTTTTACACTTCCTGTCTAGAAACGGCTCTGGCTTATCTCTAAAGAGTGCTTAGAATAAAATAGAGTCACTTAAGTACTTACTCCTTGGGATTATTTTTGATTTTTTTTTGTGCTGTTATTCTGTTGACTTTTGATTATTCATTAACATCTCTTTCTCTGTCTCACTGTGTGGTTGTGGGAGTAGAAGGAGGGAAGAGGTGACTCTCCAAAATGAAATAATTCGAAAGCCACTTACATGTTGCTATTATGAACAATTCTGAGGCATTTCTGGTACAGCTTTCTCTTTCCAATTATATTTGGTATAGCAAATAATGCTATTAAAATATATAGACTTTATATAAAGAAAGACCACATCCTGATACTGAAGGAGAGGAAGAAGAAGGAAAGGTGGGAGTTCGCTGTGTGCTCAGCAGAAAGCAGGGTCGTCCTGGGGAACACTTTGCAGTTTCAAAGTACTTGAGGAGGGTAGGCCACAAAATGGGAGTTTAACTGTACTAAAGTAAATTCTTAATGACACTTTCACGTGGATGCCCTGAAGCAGAGGGAGGAATCACACCAGGAAACCTGATGCGGGAGAGAGCCATGTCCCACAGTTTGACCGAAAAAAATGTTGCCTTTGGGCTCACCTAACTCTGGACACTAGGTGTCAGTATACAGCAATGTAACGATTTTAGGATGCGGGGTTGATGTGCTGAATTAGTGGGGGAAGAGTTGTGAGATGATGTTTCGTTTCCTGCTGTTAACACAGGTCCTCGATTTATGGTAGAGGTTCTTTCAGCTGTGATCTTATGAATCATCAATAGAGACAGGAACTGTGTCAGAGTCACCTCTAGGGGTTTCCTTCATATTTTCTTTTTCTTTTCTCACTGGCTAGGACTGATTACTTCTTCACATCTCTGCAAAGTACTTAATTAGTCTCATCAGGCAGCCAAACTTGATACCTTCGTCCAATTTTAGATACAGAGATGATGAAGGTGTTTCATTGGCAGTTGGGGCCATTAGAGGGACCCCGCAGGGCAGAGCGACGTTGCACTGAGGCGATCTGAGCTGAGCACAGGGGTAAGGATATATTCCTGGACTGTGTGCTGCTGTCACCGAGAACATTTGCAAATCTGCTGACACATTACAGTGGGAATATCCCCTGGACGCATGGAAGGCCCAGTGCCCTGTCATTTGAGCAGTGCAGGCACGTCACCAGCCCATGGGGATGTCAGTATTCATGCTGCTCTTTGATATAAAGTTCGCATTTTCTATATGGTTTGATGATGTTTAGTGGGATCAGTGATGCCTGTTTGTTAATTGCTTACAGAAGATTTGGGCTTAAAAATAAAATCTTGGATCAGGTAACATTCTCTGTTTTAAATTTTATTGATATTTCTGAATTCCAAGGAAATTACTTACATATCAGATGGTCTTTGAAACCTTATTTTTTTCTATTATTTTTAGTATTCTCTGCACTCTGTCTTATATTTCTGCCCTTTCTCCTGCATAAGTAAAACAGAAAGATTTAGTTAGCGTTTGAGGATGAAAATTATCAAGCCTATATTCTCAACAACAATCTGGGATTTGAGTTAATTTTAATGTCCAATTTGTGTCCCTCTTGCCCCCTTTACATGTGTGACTTTATTTTCAGCTATCTTTTAATATTATTCACTCTTAGTCACACCAACTATGCTTATCCCTACCTAAGTCCTTCTCATCTTGTTATCACCAGCTGGTAAATTCTTCCTGCTTCCTTTACTTATATAAATGTGGCTGCTTTTTCAATATCAGCTCCAAGCCATCTCCTCCATGAAGCTATCTGGGTAATTCACAGAAATCTGCTTTCCTGAATCATAGAGCATTGCTCAGTGTAGCTCATGATTATAACCTAGTCTTAGTTGCTTTTTAATTAGTTTGCACACGTGTACATATACACACACATGCACACACACACACACATGACCAACTAGATTACAAGCTTTTCAAAAGTGGGGGCTGTACCCCAGTGACATCTAGTAATATGCTGAGTATCATATATACATTTTCAATAGATAGCCATTTTTTGTTTATCTCTTTGATTGCGGAGGCTAAAACATAATAGGTATTTAATAAATGTTGAGAGATCTGAGGAATTGATTTAAATTACTCTGCTGAAGTACTAGATCTTTGATAATATTAGATTGTGACATTTGGTGTGACAATTCTGGTAGTCATTAGCATATACCTTTGCAAGAGCTAGCTCAAGTCTTATACCTTCCATGACAACTTCTCTAGGCTAATACAGTCCTCATTGTTCCTCCTGGTCCTGAATTTCTCCTTCTCCTGTTTCTGAACTCCTAAAGCATCGTACATCTACATTGGGCAAGTGCCTTAGGACTACATCTGTAGAATGGGTTTAATAATAGTGCCCATCTATTTGGAACTATGATAATTAAATGACAATATGTATAAATTACTTAGAACATTTCTGGCATATTATAAGTAATCAATAGGTGTTTTAGTCATGGTTCTCCAGAGAGGCAGAACTGATAAGATATATGAATTAGCTCAGTTGATTATGGAGGCTGAGAAGTCCCATGATAGACGTCTGCAAGCTAGAGAACCAGGGCAACTGGTAGCATGGCTCACTGCAAAGTGTGAAGGCTTCAGAACCAAGGAAGCCAATAGCATAACTCTCAGTCCAAGGCCAAAAACCTGGGAGCCTGGGGGTTGCTGGTGTGTTTCCCAGAGTCCAAAAGCTGAGAAGGGGAGTTGTAACATTCAAGAGCAGCGGGAAGAAGTTATCCTAGCTTTAGAAGACAGAGCAAGATTTTGCCCTTTCTCCACCCTTTTATTCCATCTGGGCCCCCAGCCAATTGAAAGGTATCTGCCCACATTGAGGGTGGATCTTCCCCACTCAGTTCAAAGACTCAAATTCTAATCTCTTCGCAGAACATTCTCAGAGACATACCTATGGTGGCCTAATAATTTTAATCAAATGCCAAATCACCTGGAGTTTCCTTTCAGCGGAAGAGCGAAGGACTTTAATTTATCACAGTCTAGCTGGCGAGATTGTGGAGAAAAGGGAAAACTTATACACTGCTGGGGGGAATGTAAATTAGTTCAGCCATTGTAGAAAGCAGTTTGGCAATTTCTCAAAGAACTTAAAACAGAATTAAGATTTTGTCCAGCAATTCCATTATTGGGTATATACTAAAAGGAATATAAGTCATTCTACCATAAAGACACATGCACACATATGTTCATCACAGCAGTATTCACAATAGCAAAGACATGGAATCAACCTAAATGCCCGTCAATGGTAGACTAGATAAAGAAAATGTGGTACATATACACCATCGAATACTATGCAGCCATAAAAAAGTACAAGATCATGTCCTTTGTAGCAGCATGAATGAAGCTGTAGGCTGTTGCCCGAACAGAAAACCAAATACTGCATGTTCTCACTTATAAGTAGGAGTTAAACATTGGGTATGGACGCAGATAAGGGAACAACAGACACCAGGGTCTATTTGAGGGTGGAGGATGGGAGGAGAGTGAAGATCCAAAAACTGCCTATCAGGTATTATGCTTATTACCTGGATGATGAAATAATCTGTACACCAAACCCTGTGACATGCAATTTACCTGTGTAACAAACCTGCACGTGTACCCCAAAACTAAAATTTTTTTAAAAAGTCACATATTGAGGTAAAAAAAAATACAAATAATTTTCATTAGAAAAAACTTATCCCAATCTACCTTATACCTCTTCACATGCAGTATAAGAACCTCACAACAGGGTGCTTCCATCTCTTTATCCTGATGGCTGCTGTTCTCATGTATTTTACTTCCATGTTTGCTGTGAATCCCATACTACACTGCTCTCATTTTTGCTTTAAACAGTCGATTCTATTTTGATGATATTTTGTAAAATGAGAAAATTGTTTTTTTACATTCCTCTACAAACTTACCATTTCTGGCTTTCTTTAATCCTTTGTGTAGATTTAATTTTCCACCTGGTGTTATTTTAGCTCTGCCTAAAGAACTTCCTTTAGCGTTGTTGGAGTGGAATTCTTTTGGTGATGAATTCTCTTCATTTTGTTCTTCCAGAAATGTACATTCATTCTTCACATTGGAAATATATTTTTCTTGATAAAGAAATGTAGGTAGACAATATTTCCCCCTCTCAATACATCTGGCTTGCATAGTTTATGATGGAAGTCTGCTGTCATTCTTCTCTTTATTGCTTTGTTTGCAGTGTGTCACAATGTGTCTTATTTTTATGGCTGATCTTAAGATTTTCTTTTTATCATTAGTTTTTGGCCATTTAATTATATAGTGCTTTGGAATCTAATACCATTCTCAAGCTTTTACTTGATACCTTATATATTTCGTTTTTGGTTTTTAAAATTTTGTTGTTGTTGTTGTTATTGTTTCATCTTGGCTGGTGGGAACATGAACAATTCCTAGCGCTCTGTGAGCTGCAAGAATATTTCTGAGTACTCCTTTCTTGTGTTTTTTTCCCAAGCATGAGTCATTTCCTCTCATGCATGCACAGATCAGTACTTAGGCAAAGCCTCCTCCAGACCCCACTGCAGATCTCCAGAGTTCCTTTTTTGTGCAGCTCCTTCATCTGTGCTACCATGCCCCACGAACTCCACCTTTTGTAATATCCCTGAATTCTAATCTCTCTTTCTTCAGCTTAAAAAGACTGCCTAACTCTGTGCTGTTGCCTGGAAACTGCCTACAGGAAGTAAGATGGTGCAGGTTAACATCTCATCATCTGGTTTCTTTCTCTCAGGGATCACAGTCTTATAATGCCTCTTTTCAAATGCCTCTAAACCAGTGTTTCCTATGTTTTGTCTGAGTTTTTCTAGTTGCTTACAGCATGTGATGGGGTTCCTTTTGACTCTATTTTGACTTGAAACGATAGTGTCCATGGAGATGGAGCCAGTTTCTTACTTCCTGACATCCTATTCCTAAAGACTAATAGAATACTCCAGAGTTTGTGATAAAAGAGAATATCCATTAAATTAATGATAAGATCAGTGCATATATGAATACTCCAGTAATTCCCAGGTAATGATAAATAAAACAGTCACAAAGAGCTGCAGAATTAGAAAGCTATTTGAACTTTGAATCAACTATGTTGAAGCAACATAATGAAATACAGAGTCTTCTAGATACTCTGTAAAGTCATAGAATTTTAGAAAGTATTGTTCTCATTATTTCTGATGCAGTAAAGTTCAAAGAGGTAATTACATTGCTTTCTGGCAGACAGTTGACCAGAAAGGCCAAAGTAGAAATCATAAGCCAACTGCCTTAATGGTTTGGGTAGTGGTATAGGTAAATGAAAAGGCAATTTTAATCTTCTGACTTCAAATTAAGAGATTATATATTTAACTTCCTAATAGATAAATACATTATTGCCTTTCAATTCATTTTTGTTTAAAAACAGCTTCTTTTAGAATTCTGCTTTGGTATATTGCTTTAGTGTGGGCACAAATTCCCAAAGATTCCATGAAGAATTTAGTATATAATCTCCCTTAGAAAAAGTACAGCATTTTTATGAGCAGAATAATAATATTCAGAAATGATATAAAGGTACACACAGGAATATGTGTGTAGCTTCAATATCTATAAGGGATTATAATTTTAACATTTTATTGATCTTTTAAGGTGTTTTGAGTTTTCAAATAAAATTGCTCTCTATTATTGTGCACTTAGAGATACTTTTCTAGGCAATAATATGTAAATTAATTGCCTTTTCAGGCTGCGCTATGGTTTCCCATTGTGGCATGGAATAATATATTGGGGAGATTTTTCTGTTTTATGGCAGTTTTAACTATCTTTTAAAAATGGTTAAAATTTCCAGTTGCAATAACGTAGCGTTAAATTATTTAAAAACTGTTATGAAGAAATATATCTCAGGATTAATAGAAAAAATTTCTTATATTGGCCAATTTCAAATTTAACCACAATTCTTAATACATTTCTCTTTGACATGAATTTATAAATAGCAATTATAATGAGTATGGTTCTCTAAATCAAATAACCTGTTAAAACCAAATGATCCAATTACAGGTTTATATTAAAAATGAATGAATAAGGAAAGCTTTTTAGCTCCTTAAGATGCTATCATTCCTTTTATAGAATGTCAAGATTTACAGAATATCAGGAAAGTAATCAATCTTCCTTTGATTAGGCTTGTATCTTCTCTTTCTTTCAAATTTCTGCAGACTTTTCATTTGCTGGGGGGAAAAATGGAAAGCTATGGGACAGTGAAAGATAACAGTTAAGAATTTCCAAAGGATTCAAGGATGTAGAAACAGAAATGACTCAAATGGTCATCACACTTCAAATTCCATCATAAAGGCTGAAACGCTGTAGTCCTATCCTGAACTGGTCCTAATGATTTAGTGCTCGATTCTAGGCTTGCACATAGGTAAACATGACGACATTATAGTATGTCAAATAATGCTCATGAATGAAAAGAACAGTGAGATTTTCAATGTTTTTTATACTGACTTGTTTCCCTCTATTTACTTTACTTGACCGCCCCCAAGAATAGTCAGATGACATAATTTGAGTCAATAGATACGTAACGGAGACAAACCAGATGGCCAATTCCTGTGGATTTATGGGACAATTCTGCATATTTTAAGCAAATAATTTGTTCTTTTCAATTATATTCAAAGCTTACATTCTGTTATACTGTATATTTTATTAGAGAATAGTTTTTCTGTGAAGATAATACCATTAGCTGAGTTGCAAAAAAAATTCTAAATTTTAATATATACTTTCAAACTATTTTTTTCATTCCAAAACTACTTCTGAGGAAACTCTTACATAAAATTAAGGTTAAATATTTTTATATTTCCTGACTTTCAATTTATTACCTATCTTCAAATCAACAATTAACTAATTGATTTACCATATGTTATAGACAATAGAAGTAAAGGGAAAGTGTGAGCATTTACAAAGTCAATTGAAAGAGACATTTAGCTGGAAAATATTTTGAGCATTGTGTTTTAACTTACTGCTCTGGAGGATGAGGATTTAACTCTTTTCAGCTTCTTTCTTCTATCATGTTTAGTCCACTTCAGAACCCACCCACCTCCCAAGATAGCTATATGACAATTTGATTAGACCAGTAATCAGGGTTTATGTTTCTATGACTATGTAATTGCTCATGAATGAGCTAGGTAGCATACCATGATCTTTTTTTCTCTTGACAATATTTTGTTCTCCTTAAAGTTAAGGAGGGCCTGGTTTTACTGTCATTTCTTCCTTTAGTTTTCTATAATCATATCATTTTCTTCGACCAAACTCTCTCAATTGTGGAAACATCTTCTCAAAACTTTTGGACACATTAGGTATTTTGTCACCTTCACTGTCTTGAAGAAATCTCTCCTGAGACTTTTGACCTGCTCCAAACTTAGATTAATTGTTTTCTAGGTCTGCTGTGCAGTTGTGGGATCTTTATTCATGAGTCTTCTCTTTCCTATATCATATTCTTGTTTCCCAAATTTCATATCTTCCTTCTTCTTACTCTTGTGTTGGAGAAGCACACTCTCCACTAGCTTCTTGAGAAGACTTGCATAAGAAGTAAAATTTTTGACATTTATGTACTTCTGAAAATGTCCGTATTCTACCTTCACATATGATTTTAATTTTTACTGCATATAGAATTCTAGGTTGCAAATAATTTTCCATAAAAATTTTGAAAGCATATTTCTATTGTTCTCTGATTTCAGATTGGAATTAGAGAAATCTCTGCCATTGTGATTCTTGAAACTTTGTTTGAAATTCCTTCCCTTTAAACTTGTTTCTGGACTCTTAAATTTTATTATTTTAATTATTATTAATAATTTTTTTAGAGATGAGTTCTTCCTTTGTTGCCCCAAACTGGTCTCAAACTGCTGGGCTCAAGCAGTCTTCCCATCTTGGCCTCCCAAAGTGCTGGGATTACAGGTGTGAGCCACCATGCCTGGCCTGTCTGGACTCTTACTGGATTGTCTAGTTCCTACTCACCCTCCCCCTGACCAAGTGTTTTACAATTTCATAGTGATGGCATTTGGTGTGGGCCTAATTTCCTTCATTATGCTTAGTACTCACTGGATCCTTTCAATATGGAAACTCATGTCCTTCAACTCTATAATATTTTCATGGATTCTTTCTTTGATGATTTTCTTCTCTCCATTTGTATTTGTCTCTGAACTCCTATTATTCAGATAGGAGTTGTATTGTTCTTCTAATGTTTTTCTTTCCTGTTTTCCATATTTTGACTTTTTGTCTTATTTTTGGAATATGTGCTCAATTTTTTATTCCAGCCCTTCTATTAAGGTTTTGTTTTGTTTTGTTTAGGTATGAAACGAATATCTATTTAGGCTAAGAAATTCCCACAAATTACAAATTTTAAAAAGGTGACAAATATTATAAACATTATTTTTTGCTATGCTTTTTGATAATTGTTGGTAATTTGAAATAACAAAGTAGATTTATAATGATCATAAAGGCAAGTTAAGTATATTATTCTGCTATTGGCATTACTTGTCAAATCCAGCAGTCAATTTATTATCTCCTCTTACTCGGTTGTTCTGCAGCATTTGACAGCGGTGACCACTGCATACCTCTTTTGACACACTTTCTTCTTCAGCCTCAATGACACCACAGTCTTCTGGTTGTTTCTTCTGCTTTACTGGTTGGTCATGCTCAGTGTCTTTTGCTGGCTTCTCTTCCTCTGCTGAACTTCTGGATAACGGGGAATTTAATAATGTGCCAAGAATTTAATCCTAGACCTCCTTCTCTTTTCTTATTAACCCTGTAGGTGATTTTATTTTTTTTAATAGAAACTTTATTGAGCTATAATTCACATACCATGAAATTCACCATTTTAAGTTGTATAATTCAATGTTTGTTGTACAATCATCATTACTATCTACTTCTATTTATTTTTCTTCAAAAATATATTTTTATTTTTAAATTTTTTTTACTTGAAAAATCATAATTATATACATTTGTGGGCTATGATGTAATGTTTTGATATATGTATTCAATGTGAAATGACTAAACCAAGTTAATTGACCTAGCCATCACCTTACTTATCTATTGTTTTTTACAGTGAGATATTTGAAATTTACTCTGTCATTTTGAAATATGCAATACATTTTTATTAACTGTAGTCACCTGCTGTGCAATAGATCTCAACACTTATTTCTCCTGTCTGTCTGAAACTTTGTACCCTTTGACCAGCAACTCCACATTCCCTTCCTTCTCTCAATCTCCCAATCTGTGGTAACCATCATTCTACTCTCTACTTCTAAGAGTTCCACTTTTTTAGGTTCCACATATCCACATGTCTTTCTGTATCTGACTTATTTCACTTAGCATAATGTCCTCCAGGTTCATCTCTGTTGTCACAAGTGATAGCATTTCCTTTTTAAAAAAAGGCTGAATGGTATTTCATTGTGTATGCATACCACATTTTGTTTACCTATTCATTCATAATGGATACTTGATTTCATCTCTTGTCTATTGTGAGTAATGCTGGAATGAATGTGGGAGTGCAGAGATCCCTTCAACATGTTGATTTCAATTCCTTTGACTATATACCCAGGAAGTGAGGTTGCTGGAGTATATGGTAGTTCTAGTTTTAGTTTTTTTGAGGAACATCCATACTGTTTTTTTAATAATGCCTCTACTAATTTACATTCTCAACAGCAATGTATAAGAGTTCTCTTTTTGCACATCCTTGCCAACACTTATCTTTCATCTTTTGGATAAAAGCTATTCTAACAGGTATGAGGTAATATCTCATTGCAGTCTTAATTTGCATTTTTCTAATGATTAGTGATACTAAGCATTTTTTCATGTATTTACTGTCCAGTTGCATGACTTCTTTTGAAAAATATCTGTTCAGACCATTTGCCCATATTAAAATCAGGTTATTTGTTTTATTGCTGTATTAGGTCAATCTTGCATTGATATAAAGAAATACCTGAGACTGGGTAATTTATAAAGAAAAGAAGTTTAATTGGCTTATGGTTCTGCAGGCTGTATAGGAAGTGTGGTGCTGGCCCCTGCTTAGCTTCTGGGGAGGCCTCAAGGAGCTTTTACTCATGGTAGAAGGCAAAGTGGAAGCAGGCACGTCACATAGCAAAAGCAGGAGCAAGAGGGGTGGGGTGAGGTGTCACACACTTTTAAATGAACAGATCTCATGGGAACTCACTCACTATTGTGAGGATAGCACCAAGCCTTTGGGGATCCACTCCCATGATCCAATCACCACCCACCAGGCCCCACCTCCATCATGGGGATTATATTTCAACATGAGACTTGGGTAATGGTATGGTTTGGCTGTGTCCCCCTCCAAATTTCAACTTGAATTGTATCTCTCAGAATTCCCAAGTACTGTGGGACGGATCCAGGAGGAGGTAATTGAATCATGGGGGCCAGTCTTTCCCATGCTATTCTTGTTATAGTTAATAAGTCTCATGAGATCTGATTGGTTTATCAGGAGTTTCAGCTTTTGCTCCTTCTCATTTTCTCTTGCCACTGCTATATAAGAAGTGCTTTTCACCTCCTGCTATAATTCTGCGGCCTCCCTAGACATGTGGAACTGTAGGTTCAATTAAACCTCTTTTTCTTCCTAGTCTCAGGTGTGTCTTTATTAGCAGCATGAAAACAGGCTAATACAGGTGGGGACAAATACTCAAACTATATCGTCCTGCTTCTGGTCCTAAATCTCATGTCCTTCTGGTCCTAAATCTCATGTCCTTCTCTAATTGCAAAATACAATTATACCTTCCCAATAGTTCTCCAGAGTCTTAACTAATTCCAGCATCAACTCAAAAGTCCCAAGTCCAGGTTCAAAGTCTCATCTGAGACTCATTTGCTTCCACCTATGAGCCTGAGAAATCAGAACAAGTTATTTGCTTCCAAGATACAATGGGGGTACAGGCATTGGGTTATCATTCCTGCTCCAAAAGGGAGAAATCAGCCAAAAGAGAGGGGCTACAGGCCTCAAGCAACTCTGAAACCCAGGAGCACACCCGTTAAATTGTAAAGCTCCAAAATAATCTCTTTTGACACCATGTCCCATGTCCCATGTCCAGGGCACACTAACACAAGGGGTGGGAGCTACAAAAGTGGAGCTCATGGAGATAGAGAGTAGAATGATGGTTATCAGAATCTGGGATGAGAAGAGGAGGAGGATGAAGGGAAGTTTGTTAATGGCTACAAAAATACAGTTGGGCAGAAGGAATGAGTTATAAAAATCAATAGAGTAGTAGGGAAATTATAGCTATTAATAATTTATTGTATATTTCGAAAAAGCTAGAAGAGAAGAATTAAAATGTTCCAAACACAAAGAAAAGATAAATATTTGAGGTAATGGATGTCCCAATTACCCTGATTTGATCATTACACATTGTATACATCTATCAAAATACCATATGTACCCTCAAAATGTGTACAAGTATGATATATCAATTTTTAAAAAAGAAACCATTATCTACGGTCATAAAGATTTGCTGCTATGTTTTCTTCTGAGGGTTTTATAGTTTTTGCTCTTACATTTCAGTGTCTGATCCATTTTGAGTTAATTTTTGTGTATGGTGTGAGATAGGGATCAAACTTTATTCTTTTGCATGAGGATATCCAGTTAGCACCATTTATAGAAAAGAATGCTTTTTCCACATGGAATTGACTTAATATATGAAATTTTGATTATGTAATCACTTTTAAGTTTCAAAAATTCTGTTTTCCTTTCAGAATATTCCTATTTGGTAGTATCCTGTTTTTGTTTTTCTCTTATTTTCTCTGAGGGTATTCTCTGAGGGTATTTTAATATGACTCTCTGCAGAAAATTTTTTTCCCTTTTAAAAATCTCCCTCCTCTACTCTCTTTTTGGTCACATCTCCCATGGTACCATATTTCTTCAGCTATCTGGTAATCCTTGGTTGCTGGTTCTTGATTAATATTGGTGTCCTATTTGGGGGGCTTGTGAGTATTGAGCTCAATTGTAGGGTGATTTGAGTGGGCTTTTTTTTGGTGAAATGCTGATGCCAGTATATGTAAGTCTTTTTTCTTGGGTTGGTCAAGTTCTGCAGTGAATATTCCTCCATTCTCTTTCCAGGAGGGTAAAGGTCTGGCTGCCAGTATTCTGGAAGCTTTGTGGGGGAAGAAGTTAGGGGCCTCATTATTCCATCTCTAGTATGATTGTTGTTACTTAAGTCTCCTGTATCAGGTCTGGTACCACACATTCAACTATGCCCAGTCAGTCCCCAGTCCAAGGACTTTATCTGTTACCCTCTTCCAGAGAATAAATTCCCAGTTTCCTTTCTGAGAGGTGATGGGTCAATTTCCCAGCAACAGGAATGGGGAGGAGATCTAGGGTTCTAACTATTTATAAGCAACTTATATAAAAATATTTTTACAAGTGTAAAACTATGCACAGTTTCACACATATAGTAACCTTGCATATATACTTCTGCTCTTGGTGCAATGTAACCTTGCACATATAGTTTTGCACTTCTACAAATAACATTGCAATATTATTTATAATTCAAGTACATTGGACAGTATCTAGATTACTAGCAATAAGACATATACACACTCCATACAATAAGATATAGTATAAAGATTAGGTAGAATGTATGTTAATATGGAAAAATGTTCATAAAATATTGCTAATATAAAACAATTGGAATAACATGCTCCAATTTATGTAAAAATATAAATATGTACAAATATTCATATTATTTGCATGCATAGAGATGAGTCTGGAATAATATATACCAATATGTTAATGATAGTTGACTGTATGCCAGAATTAGAGGTGAGTATGGTTTTTTCCCCTTTATTTTTAGCTGTATTTCATGCTATTTTACAAGACAGATCAGTTACTGACAAAGAAATGATACTTTTATAAAGTGCAATTCTCAGTTCACAGGTGTGAGCTCCTTTCTTAAGCAGGAACTATCATTTTTGAACTCGTGTATTGTAAGTAAACAGCACAGAGCCTGTACCTAAGTACTCAGAAAACGTATGTATAAGGAATTCATTCCATTTGCTTTCTTCCATGTTAATGATTTCTCCTACATTCAGTGAAATCTACTTTACCTTGATGTTCCTGTTTTCTTTTGTCTTCATCAGTGTGAATGCTAAGGGAATGTGTGAATGTAATTTGTTAAAGTGGTCTGATGAAACTTCTGACAAAATTGATATAAGATTGTTTTCAAAAGATTTAACAATATCTTAAACTTATAAATAACACTGTTGAAATGACTTTTGACTTAAAATTGAAAAGCTATCAACTCTGAGTTACTGTTTAGGGGGCCATCTGAAGAAGTTGCTGCATCCTAGCCCACAAAAGAAGAAATGATAAAATCATTTTACATTGTCCATTGGCAGACATACAGAGTGGAGGCAGGAAGACAGGATTGCTTGCTGATTTTGAAAAGTGTTCTGAACATTTGATTTGGGGTTCTGTCTCATAGGAATCACTGGAGGAAACGGTGGGAGTTGTGTTTGATAAATCACTTAAAAAATAAATTCTGTTGTGTATATTTAAGGTATACAACATGATTTTATAAGATACATGGATAGTAAAAAAATGTATAGCGTGTTCACAGATTTGCATGTCATTCTTGCACATGGACATGCTGATCTTCTCTGTATTGTTCCAATTTTAGAATATGTGTTGCCAAAGCAAGCACTAAATCATTTTTACTTATTTATTCTCCTACTAACTAGTAGGAAAGAAGACTTGATA